>NC_000003.12:157038907-157341937 GCF_000001405.40 Homo sapiens
CAGATTTTATCACTAACTGTGATGAGCTACAGCATTTTTTTCTTTTCAGAGCTTTTTGGATGTCAAAAGTAAGGCTAAAGGACTATAGATCTGTATTGGCTTTCATTAAAACAGCTGTTTTTATTGTTTATTGCCCAACAATCTCCTAGCATCTCGAATCTCTTTTGTTTAAAAAACAAAGGAAAGTACATGTGTATCTCTACAGGGCTACCAAGATGATAGGAAAAAATCAAGGATTTGCCTCCTATTAACAGTGGTTACCTTAGAAGTGTAGGAAGAGATAGACAGGGGTTTTACTTCTTACATACTTTTTAAAAACATTGGCATCATGGGTTATTTTTAACATTTTGGTGTTTTGAAAATATGTTTCCAATGTAAACTCTATTTTTAAAAAAAGAAAGAAAGAAATTCCATTTACATAAGAAAGTTCAGGCCAAGTGTGGTGGCTCACGCCTATAACCCAGCATTTTGGGAGCTCAAGATGGGAGGATTGCTTGAGCTTGGAGTTCAAGACCAGCCTGGGAAACATAGGGAGACCCTGTTTTTACAGAAAATACAAAAATTAGCTGGGCATGGTGGCACACGCCTGTAGTCCCAGCTACTTGGGAAGCTGAGGAAGGAGGACTGCTTGAGCCTCGGGGGTTGAGGCTATAATGAGCCGTGATCGTGCTTCTGTACTCGAGCCTGGGCAACAACCTGAAACCCTGTCTCAAAAAACGAAAAGAAAAAAGCTTATTAACAAATCTAGCAAAGACGGATTCATGTAAACTCTAAGATTAAATTTTAATAATACATGGTATTTGCAAGCACAAATAGTTTATTTGCAAGAGGGACTTGCTTAGTTTTAGGGTAAGCATTTATTACATTTGCATGTTTAATCAGTATACAGAATATGGCACACACTTCTCTGGTAATTCCTTCTATGAGAATGGAGAAGCCAAAGTACCAGCAAGTAAATTACCAAAAAGTAGTTCTCAGTTTGGGAACATAATAAATTAGAATATTTACGTCTTTTTTAAAGAGTAAGAGGGTAAAGGGAGGTTCTCCAACCTCCAGCAGGAAACATGGGGAGGATCAAGAAAGCTTTTAGGGACAGGGACTATACCTAGGCTTGGTTGGCAGGGAGGATGAGTGAACTGACCACCTGAGAACCTTAGCCTTGGGCCATGGGGCAGAAGGGGGCTCAGACTGGGAGTCTCTGTGGTGAGGAAGATACCAGAAAGTTGACAGAATGAGAAGATATATTGAGAAATTTTTGTATATTTAATTAGTGCTAGTTAAATTTTGTATGTTTAATTAGTGCTAATTAAATCTAAATTAAGTTGGATTATTGACTTAGAAAAGTAAATGTTGAATACTTTGTCATCATGGGCTCTTCCTCTCTGTCCTGAAAATCTGCCTCTGAAGCATATCAGTCTGAGGGATTATTGCCCTCTGTTGCTACAACTTTTGTTTGGGTATGTCTATTGCAGTTGGTTTTATTATGTTTGTAAGCAGGGAAATATAATTTTGAAAACAACCAGCCTGACATCCATCTTACTTGTTTCCTGGAAATCTTTTCAGATTCTCATTCTTCTCTTACCAAAAGGCCATTTCCACTAACTTTTGGCAGTGTTTTGGACTGATCAGATTAGTTGAACAGAAGCCTGGAAGCCTTTGAATGGAAGCTGGGAACATCCTTTGCTAACTCCCACTCATCTTTCTGGTTTCCACACTTTTCCACAGAATTTCCTTTTACCTCAGCTCCCCACCCACCTGGACAGCCACCCACTCACCTTGGGATATATCCAGTTAAGGCTGGTGGAAACTGTAATCTGATCATTCCATGACTGATTCAGATCTTACTGGGTCTAAAGCATGAACAAAGCCATCTATCTGTGATTGTTCTTCACTGAGGAGGACTTGCTTTCCTGGCATGTTCCCCCCAAAATTGTGCCAAATACAGCTGATTCCCGTTGCAAATGGGAGTCTTACCTTCAGAACAATCAAGTTACACAGTAAAACCTTCTCTCCCTTCTTCCACTGTTTTTGAAATTTAAAGCAACCCAGCTGCCTCTAAGAATAAAAAGGAAAACAAATATAAAAATAAACCACTCTTATATTGCAAGGAGTAGGGGAAATTGGCCACTTTTTAATATTAGAAATTTCAAACATATGGTGAACTAATTTATATTTTCATTTTGACATTTTCCTTCTCAGGGGGAGGGCAATTAAGTCATATTTTAAGCCCATTCAAGGTGGGCTTATTCTGAAAATGTTGTAGTGATATCTATAGATCATGCTCGCCACCAATCAGCAGAACTTAAGGATGCAGGAATGCCTAGTTCTCCCCTGCCTAGACCACCTGACCCAAGGGGCACTTGAGATAAGGACTTCCTCCATGAAAATTTGGGGCTCCTACTGTCCTCCCTGGCTCCCATCTTGCTCAACTTCAGGCTGTTTTCCACAAAGCTGGCAAAGGGATCTTCCTTTCATGCAGATTTGATCATACCAGCCATCTGCTTGAAATAAACTTTCAATGACTCCATATGAGCCTCAGGATTAAGTCAAAACCCTAGTATTAGCACACTAATAAATTTTCTCTTGATCTGACCCTGCTCACTCTTCCCTATATCAGTCCTGGTCTCTCCTCCCCGTGTGCACCTGCCTGAGTCATATTAAGCCATATTTCATCCCAAGGTGTGCCTCTCCTTCTCTCACTGCCCACTCTGCCTTGAAAACCTCATTGCCCCTTCTTCACCTGGCTCATGCCTTCCTTTCCATTTTGACTTCCAGTCTAGTTACAATCCAATGATTCTATTTTTGCCATGTTAAAATATGGCCAAAGATAATTTTATCTAAAACATAGAATATTGTGCATGATTTTCAGTCTTACTGAACATATTTCATCTTGCACATTTGTCCTTGTTGCTCAGTGAAAACACATTAAAATTCTGCAACAATCCAACCTTCATCTTGACTAAATTGCTGAAAACTAACCACTAGCAGATGATTCTTTTCACGTATGATGGAATTTTCCACTAATGTGTATACTTACTCTAGGCACATCCACATATCCTCTAGTCATGCCTTATCAGACTACACCCCTGAAATAGCAATCCCCTATATTTCCATTGTTTTATTTTCATTTTTTAATCCCATAATTGAATAGATTATAAATCTGAATTGCCTATTGAACAAAACAGAGTTATAATCTCAATTTTAGAGGAGGAGGTAATGGTGGCAGATGATATGAAGATATTGTGAGGTTCACCTAACATTTCATAATGTTTTGGCACAGAAAAGAATAGAAGTATCAATTTTGGATCCTATTTTCAATTCAGGGGTCCTCCTGGTTTGGGAACTAATAGAAGAAAGAGGATTAATCCTTTGTCTTGCAAGCTAATAACCTTGAAGAAAGATGAGTTGCAGAGCAGCGGGCCCCAGGCAGTCAGCAGCTCTTCCCCCACCCCGCTGGCTGGCCCCATTCACTTACTTTGTAATATGTCTAGTCAGTGTTGGTGGAAACTATAATCTGATCCTTCCATGACTGATTCAGACTTCACTGGGTATAAAGCATGGGTGCACAGTTCAGCTTAGAGTCTGCCAGGAATTTGCTCCCATTGAACTTGCTATGAGGACATCTTTTGGCTCACTCTACCTTTTCATGTTCTCCTTAGTGGAATGTCACTTGCCTGAAATAGCTTTTATGTGACTTGCTTTTTGGTTGTTTTCTCCAGATCATTACTCCTTTCCTTTGAGACTTGAATTTAATCTTAGTAAATTGATTGAATTTATTTTTCTTTTAAGAAGAGCTCTTGTCATCACATCCTCCATCACTTTATCATTCCATATTGTTGTGCCTGTTATTCATGTCAGTAATATGTTGGCCTCATTTTTCATTGCTTTATTTCTTTTACATATTCAAATAAAATTAACTCTTTCTCATTGCTTTCTTAATTAGTGATATTTTTATACTAATTTATTGAAAACCAAGCCACTTGATATGGTTTGGATCTGTGTCCCCACCCAAATCTCATGTCAAATTGTAATCCCCAGTGTTGGAGGTGGGGCCTGGTGGGAGGTGTTTGGATCATAGGGGCAGTTTCTCATGAATGGTTTAGCACCATCCTGTTGGTGCTGTTCTTGTGATACTGAATGAGTTCTCATGAGATCTGGTTGTTTAAAGTGTGTAGGGCCTCCCCCCAACTCTCTTGCTCCTGCTCCCGCCATGTAAGATGCATCATTATCCCTTTGCCTTCCACCATGACTAAAAGCTTCCTGAGGCCTCCCTAGAAGCAGAAGTGGCTAAGCTTCCTGTACAGGCTGCAGAATCATGAGCCAGTTGAATCTCTTTTCTTTATAAATTGCCCAGTCTCAGGTATTTCTTTAGAGCAATGCAAGAATGGACTAATACACCACTTTAATAACTCCAACACGTTGCCAGCTTACTCTACTAGTAGGCAAAAAATATAATGGATTGGGTCTTCCCCCCACTTTAAAAGAAACTTTGATTAATAGAACTTAGAAAACCTGGGCAAAACCAGATGAAAATGTCCTTCTGTGTTTTTTTTTTTTTTCAGTGTCCTGGGAACAAAATGGTCCCTGCATGTTTGACGTAATGAATTAGACAACTAATTTAGGCATAGGCAGCATGGAGCAGGTCTCTGAAAGTGAGCAGGGCTACTACTTCAGAGTGGAGTTACTCTCAGCAAGTTACATAACAGTGTGAGCTTCAGTGTCTTTATTCGTCAGATATAATTGTTGGGAGCAGGAAATAAGATGACACCTAACATGGTGCCTTGTTAATCTTCCTCTCTATTCCCTCCTCCCCTGCCTTTTCCACAACTGTTTCCACTAGAGTTAATGAGAACTAGGTGATAAAGCCACAAACACCATCCTTGCTCTCTCCAGTTCCTCCAAAAAATAAAAATAACTGGAAGCAAGTGATTAACCCATGATTTTTTTAAAATGTGTGTCATGTAGTAAATAAATCGTATATGTAAATGATGAGTATTTGTTTGACCCAGGAATGCAGCTTTTATAAAAAATTACTGTGCAACTGGCTAATCTGGAATTGCTCCATATTTTTCCATTTTGATTACCAAATTTGGAATTGAATAGAGTTCTGTCTATAATCATGAGAAACTCAAAAACAGGAAGATACTACTGTCCCTGGTGCTTTGTTATTTAGTTCTTCTGACAGCAGATTAGTCAGTCAACCCTTAGGGAGGATGTTTTACACTAAGAAGCAGACTTGGGAATGCCTTGGCTGTTTTTACAAACAAGGTAACCTAATGGAAATTCATTTTTGAGTTGATGAATCCTATAGCACACTCATTTTACTTGTGTTTACTTACTAGGATACTGCTTTGAATTATTTACTTTTCAGCCTCATTTTTGACATCATAAAGACATGAATGTCAGGACACTGGGGAGATCCAAGACTTAATTCTTACCATGGGACTTGAAATAATTTTGATGAATTCCATAGACAAAACATAGGTAACACCTCAACTAGAAATGCAGAATTTCAGAATTTCGAAGAGACTTAATTATCTCTAGTCCAGTCACACATTTGAAGCTTAAATTTGCTTCAGTACATCCCTGTCAAGTGAGATTCAACCCTTGAGTGTCCTCCAGATAGATCTATTAAAAAGTTCTTCCTTATTTTAATCCCCACAGTTTTCACCTTGGGTCTAGATTCTATTATGGACATAAAAGGCAGTTCTGCTCAAACCTACGAAGGTACAAACTTCTTGAGGGCAGGGACTGTATTCACTACAGCTTCTAGTAACTTGGTAAATGATTGCTGAATGAATAGAATTAGTAGCAGAAGATCTTCTCTATTTTGGGATATTATCTTACAGAATGGCAAATGAGCCTCTTATTTAAGTTCCACTGAGAAAGCATCATATGAGAACTGATTTTATTGTTTCAACGCTATAGCTGATTTTTTTATTCTTTCAATCTTATACTTCAAGCACTTTTACCTGTTTATGTTATTATAGTATACCTTCACTACAAAAGAATATATTTAATGACTCTACAGCTATTAACTATTGAGTATTACATGTGCAGAGCATACTGTCTGCGACTTGAGGCAGAGAAGTTGAAACTCCACTGAAGTTAGGTATAAGAAGTCCTGAGTTCTAACTCCAGCCGCACCACTAACATCTGAGTAACCCTGGACAGGTCACTCAGTCTCTGTAGTTCTTGACTCCTCATCTGCAAACTGCAAGGGTTGAACCAAATATTTTCTTCAACTTCTTTCCACCATCACAGATTATTTCTGTTCTTGACTTGTCTGTCCCATGAGGTAGAGTGTCATAGAGACAAAGAATACAGACCTCTGATTTCCAGTTCTGTTCTCAAATTGTATTGTCCGTAACTATCTACTTATGTACATTGTTTAAAGCTAAGTCTGCTTTCTTTTCCCCTCTCTCTTTTCAGAATACTTTTCTTCAGGAGACAGTGCGTAGAGAATGTGAAGAACGCTTTGAACTGACAGAGGCTTTGAGTCAAGCCAGAGAACAGCTCCTGGAGCTCAGTAAGCTTCGTGGAAGTTTACCATTCTCACCGTGTTCCCTCAGCAAGGGCAGCCTAACCTCCCCTGCTGCAGCAGTCAGTAATCATGGAGAGAGAAGCCTTGCAAGACTGAACTCTGAAAAAGGAATCCAAATTCCCAACCTGCGCGGGGTGTCAAAACCCACCACTTTCCCAACCTCAGATAAGCCGAAGAGGGTTAGATCAGGCGTGCCCATTCTCCCCCAGCCACATCCTCCCAGGGGTGGAGCATCTTCAGCAAATGAGACTAGACAGAGACTGGCTGCCATTCTTAGGAGAAGGCGGAGTCAGCAATGATCCAAAATGAGGAGCAGGAAGCTCCCTACAGCGTGCACGCTCTTTCAGAGAGTGCCAGGAATTCACTGTAACTGAGAATGACAATGATAAAATTATTTTCACAGATCAGGAAGGCATACCTATAGATGTATTTAACAAAAGACTGTAAAAAGCTGGAAAATTGTGAAGCCTTATTTTTCAAGAGGGTTTTGATAGAGTAACAGATCATTAAGTTGTTGGTATTCCAGAGGTCCGATTTCTATGTTTATGTTGGAATGTGCTCTATGAATATAGCCTTTTAGAGATCACAGGTAAAATTTTTCACCCATAACATCTTTTCAATTTCTTGCGCCACTACAAGCAGATATATTTCCACAAAAAAATAGATTGTTTGAGATTTGTTGGTATGTGTTCATTTGTTTGTTGAGCCGAATAGGTTAAATCGATGTAATAAGTATTCCAAACAGAAAAAAAAAGTACTTTATCTAATTAAAATTAGATAATCTCCAAAATGCTTAGTTCAGGTAGTTGCAGAGCTCATCATCATAATCAAAAACATCTTTTCCTCACCTTACAATCTAATTGGTTAATCTAATTTCTCTTTAGGCTAGCTCAGAGTTAATGATAGATAACCTTCAGGAAGACAATCTTCTCTGAGTGGCTGGGGACCTTCTAGAAAAAGAGATGGTAATGTCAATTCAAGGAAATGGTAGTTTATTTCTCAAATTATGTAGATTATTTTAGTAAACAAAGAACCTGATCATATTGATAGATACTTTCTACAATGAGTGCTTTTTGGTACTCAGAGTTAGGTCTTTATTAGACCTTGTATTCTCGAACCATTGGGAAAAGAACTAATTCAAGACAGTTTAGTAAAGTTATACAGAGCTAATTTGGGATTCAAATTTTATTACCCCTGAAAATGGGTAACTGGTTAACATGTTTTCTATTTTCAGAGTGAAAAAGTAAAACCAGAAGCCAGATCATCTATTCTATTTTAAATCTGCAGACACTTCCTGTTTCTTAAAACACAACTCTTTGCCTTAGTCTAGTGTTCATCTATGTTTTTCTCCATCTAATAGAAGTGTATTTTCCTTCAAAAACTAACTTTACTTAAATACTCCATCTGACTACATCATGAACATCCAGACTTCCTATTCCCATATTAGAATAATAGTAACACATTTAAAATATGCTACATAAAATTCTCTGCTATTTGACCATCTTAATAAGATCAGAGAATTCAAAGGTGTTTGGGATCCCTTCCATGTGCAAAAGATGTAAAGTTACTAAACAAAATCAAATTGATTTCTAGTCTTCCAAAAGATTAGTCTACTCTATTAATAGAGTATCTTAACCTCAAAAAAATTCCACATTAGGTCCACTGATTTGCCTGACTAGTTTAAGTATGGCCTCTTGTGTTAAGAGTTGAATGCTTACTTTTGTTTTGCAAAGATTGGCATCCCTTGTAATGGCCTTTGACAAGAGAGCACAACATCATTGAAGAATGGCACTGGGTGGATCTTAGAAGTCACCCCAACCGTAATTTTACAGATAAGGAATAGATGCCCAGAGAGATTGTGACTTGGCTAAGGTAGTACAGCTAGTTAGTAACAACTAGAACCAGAACCACAATCACCTGACCCCAGACTTTCTACCTCACTGGAGCTTCCCAAGCCTCCATCATGACCTTTGTCAATAGCACCTACACTATATGTAGTTTATATTTTTCCTTAAATGCACTTATTTTTTAACCGGAAATTTATGTAAAAAGTAAATTTGACTCAAGGAGAAGTAGCTATAATGAGTTTGATTCACTGTTTTTTTCTTATACACTTGGAAATAAATGTGTATCTAAGAAATGTTGGCTGGGCATGGTGGCTCCATGCTTATAATCCCAGCACTTAGATTGCTTGAGCCCAGGAGTTTGAGATCAGCCTGGGCAACATAAGGAGACCTTGTCTCTACAAAAAATAATAATGAAAATTAGCCAGGCATAGTGGTGCTTGCCTGTAGTCCTAGCCACTTGGGAGGGTAAGCTGGGAGTATCCCTGGAGCCCAGGAGGTCAAGTTTGTAGTGAGCCATGATTGTGCCACTGCCATCCAGCCTGGGCAACAGAGTGAGACCCTGTCTCAAAACAGCAACAACAACACCAGAAGTGTTAGTCGGTGCACCCTCTAAAATCATCTTCTATAATACCAACAGGCGACCACTGCACTGGACCTTAGGGTCTCTGATCTGTTGTTTGCATGTTTAAATTATGAGTACTCATGACATAAGGAAAATGGCAAAATCTAGTGAAAACTTTAGTGAAAGCACAAGAGATTATTGTGTGCAACAGTCTTTGTTATAGGGTTATACATGCTTTTTACAGTCTTGCAATTTCAGCTCATGGAGATACAGTGGGTCTGTATCTTCAGGAACCATGGGGATAAAGTAGGTTTCTTCATTTTTTCTAAGTTATGAACATATTTAGA
Organism: Homo sapiens; assembly: GCF_000001405.40. Lineage (NCBI taxonomy): Eukaryota > Metazoa > Chordata > Mammalia > Primates > Hominidae > Homo > Homo sapiens. Next base: position 157,048,208 of record NC_000003.12, read on the forward strand.
TTTATAAAGTCACACATAAGCTTTTCTAATGGTGATGTAGACTATTACTGCAAAACCTGATTTCTCAGTTTGCTATTACATTTTTGCCTTATTAGTACTTCGGTAAATAATCACTCTGAGAATAGAATCATGATCTGCAATGAGGTTGTATTATACTCCACAAATATATCAGAGAAGTAATTCCATGAATAAACAGAAATGTCATATTAACATTTATTTCAACCTAGACCATTTGAATGGCGACGACTAAGCTATGTTGCCTTTAAAGAAAGACATCTTTAACAACAAAAAAAATAGCGTTATAGTAGGTAACCTACAGGTTAGGAACACATTCAAACTTTTCTTGATTTTCTCACTGATAAATAAGTTCCTGGCATGAGACAGTTATAAGGAATCTTAGGAAAGTAATTGAGTAGGATGAAAAAATAAGGCTCCAAATGCATATAATGGATATTTAGTCTAATACTTTTAATTTCTCCATGGATTGATGTTTGCCATGACTTGCCATGGAAGGATTTACAGGTGTTAAGAGAAAAGATATCAAAGAAAATATTCCTTAGAGAAGTATAACCCTCTGGTTTTCTTCTTAAACTGGTATTCATGGACAAAGATGGAGAATTCTTCTAAGTTAACATAGAATTCTCAAACGATTTTTAAAAGTCTTATTGAATTAAATTACTATATTTGTAGTTGGTCAGAACTACTTAAAAGTCACATTTTCTGGTAAGGGAATTGACTGGAAGATACATTAACACAAAATTATGTAAGACTAAGATATTTTAATGTTCTGTTAGTCTGAAAGTTTTTGTCATATTTAAGATCAATTATTGCTAATTTATTTGACTATGGAGCTAGCTTTCTCAAGTTTTATCTTTTTAAATTCTTATGACTCTTACACTATTGCACTAATAGATCAACCTAGTATCCTAAAAGAGGTAACGCACTACAGCTGAAAATGTTTAACCATTGCGTTGCGGCTTATGGAGCACAGGAAATCAATTTGGTATGTGTTCAAAATTCACAAATGCTATCATGACTATAGATTATTAAACTTTTTTATTTTCACGTTTTAGGAAAATAATGTAGACCATCTCTTGCAAAGGACACCTTTAATGGTCCCCCAAATCATGACAGACAATTATGGTATCATTGCTAAGGTGGTATCAATGGTATTTTGAGAAAGAATTTGACTTTTCTGCTTGAAAATATTAACCCTGTTTAATACCACGTTGTGAAGCCAATACTATTGTGTTGCATTTTTAGAATATTAAATATAAATTATATCATCTTTGTATATTCTGAATTTTACATATAGAATTTTCTTAAGAACATAATAGATGAATCTGGGATACACTTTTCTATGACAATATTTACCATGATCTAGTAAGTCAAAAGATATCCCTCTCTTCCAACATTTATATAGCACAGTGCTTTATATTCATTAGTTAAAAAAAATTTACTAAACATCCCTTACTCCATAAGAAACTATGTGAGAATACTGAGTCACAGTAAGTAATTTGCCCAAAATTAAGTAATTTGGGCAAAATTACTTAAGTAATTTGGGCAAAATTACTTAAGTAATTTGCCCAAAATAATAATAGATTAATAAATAATTTTAAACTTCTGCAGTTTCTGAACATCTTGATCCATAGATTAATACTGAATCTGTATTATTCATTCACTCATTTCTTCAACAGACACGAGGAACTGAAAAAGTACTGTGAGAGCTACAAAGAAAATTAAAGCATCATACAGATTCCCAGGAATTATACAGTAGAGAGCAGGGAGAGAGCATATATAGAAATTAGAATATACAGCAAAGGATATTGGGTAAAAAGAGAATTGACAGCAGGGTGTTATGTGAATTCACCTTTTTGCTAGAAGAATCAGGGAATACTTTAAGCAAGAATTGGCATTTACAATGGATCTTGAAGAATAGATAGGATTTATGGAAGAAGGTATATTAGGTAGAAGAAATGTATAAAAAGAGTCACAAATTCTGTTTATGGGAAATGTAGAAGACATTTGGTGAAGGGAAGTAGTGGGAACCTGAAAAAGTAGGTTGACCTCATTGCATGAAGGTGTTGAATAAGGACCCACTGCAGGCTTTCAACTAGAAGTGACATGGTGTGCATTGTTGAAATTTGGAAGCATTGCTCTAGCAGGGGTGTATTGGAGTAATTATGAGATGGAAAGGCTGGAGATGGGATACTAGTTGGTGGACTAATACAGTAGTTCAGGCAAGAGTTAATGAAATTCTGAGTAAAGATATTGATATTGGGGATAAACAAGAGGCAACTGATTCAAATTCTATTCAGAGAAGGGAAAGGATTTGTTCCCTGTTAAATGCTATTTAATACCACTACCAGCCATTGCCATCTTAGCAGGAGTGCGTTTTATGAGACTGGCTCCAATTAAAGGATCAGCCCCTATCTAAGAATATTACAGCTTCTCTGAAACATGTGAAATAATAGAAACTACATTTTTATATAGGCAACAAATAACCCCACAGTCTCTGTATTCATTTTAAAAATCTCCTTAAAGTTAAAGGAAAATACTAATCTCAATAAATGTCCTAAGAATTATGGAGAAAGACTGGAAATTGACCTTAAAAAGAAATAACTATCTTGGCTTAAAGAATGCAAAGTGCAACTAAATGGGAAGCTTTGGGAGTAACACAGCACAATAAAACTTCTTTTTATTTTCAATAACCATTTATGAAGGAAAATAAAGAAGACAGCAGCTAACATAAAAATAAGAGTTATCTTAAAAATTAATAATTTTATAGTTCTGAAGGGCCTGATGCATCACCTGGTCCAAACCTGTAATTTTACTGTAGACAATAGGGCCCTCAGACGGCCCTATCTAGTCACTTAGTGACTAGAATCTGATTTTTAATAAGATCCTTAGGTGATTCGTATACTCACTGAAGTTTAAAAAGCACTGCTTATGATGTTACCACTGGCCCTGGCATATTCTACTTTTAAGAGCTGTGTATTAGTATTGAACAGAAATAGCCTTGCTGTACTCAGTTCCCTTATGTTTAACTGAAACCTGTGGTACACTGAGACCCACCCTCATAGAATGAACTATTTAACACTCTGACTCCTAGCACGTGCAAATTCTACTTCTTTACCCACTGACTGTGAATCTATAACTCTCCAGGGAAAACTAGTGAATTAAAGAAAATCAATATTCATTCATAAAAGCTTTAAATATTTTATACCAACACCCAAAGCCCTGAGTCTGTAAAGAACTTACTGTTTTAAAAAAAAGTTACTAAAAAAATCCAATAGAAACATTTTGGTTTTGATCATAAGCAACTGAATAATACTAAAATCTAATCTCCTAACAGCATGTGTTTGGAGATCTGATTCCCAAAAGAAAATTGGTAATGCTGGTTGTCTTTTGAGGCTTGTGAGACATAGAATGCTTAGATAGCTTACTAAAATTATGAAGAACATATGACAGTACCATTATTCTCCCTGACAGTAGTTCTAAATGACTTAAATATAACACTGTAACTTGCAGTATTACACATAGATGGATTTATTTCAAAGGTATAGCTAACAATGTCTGAATGAGGATCCATTTAGATTCTCAATTTCAAAATCTATATTTAACACAATGAGGCATTATGCTCACTTGTCTGTAAGGATTAAGTCAGCTCATCTCATGACACCACAGGGTGGCCATCTTCTTTACATTTTTGAATTTAGAAATAATGAAAAGGATTTATTTTGTTTGCCATTAAAAAGCTTTTGAATACCTCTTATTAGCATATTTAGTGCTAATATTTAGCTTGTATGGTTATTTGTTATTACCATTAATAATTCTCATAGTTAATAATTCAAACCAAGAATTAGATAGATATATAATTTAGAATATTGAAGTATTTTTAAGTAGAGCCTTTCACAGGACATTTGTGTAAAAAGACTTAGCACTGGAAATATATTTGCTACAAAACATGAACGTCTGTCTGCATCGTGCCCCATTGCCAGATTTATCTACTTTTCTCCCAAGGGAGCTTGATATGGCCTAACACATTAATCTAAAGAGATACCTTCTGTCTTCTGTCTTCTTAAAAGTGAGTGAGTTCTACAGTTGTCATTTTCTATCCAGAACCTTAAATTTCTAGGGAATTAAGGTTTCTGCTATGATTCAAGTGACTACTTTTTTCACTGATTTAAAGCAGAATTTCTTAAAACCCAGCACAGCCAAGTTTTCATGCACTATTACCAGACTTTTTTAATGGTAGAGTTGAGGTTTAAGCTGGTAAACTGTAAAATAGTATCTCAAGACCGGAATCTTTTTATTTTTCCAAGTAGTACATAGTGTTCACTGTAGTAACTGAGAAATGTATTTTTTTTGAGGTTAGGAAGAAAAGAATCTACTAACTTATTTAATAGCAGTGATTGGCCCGACCACACAAGGACTTACTCTACATGTTCCATGCTCCAGAATTATAAATCAATATTTTTCTAATGTACCCTGCAAAATTTTTTAAACTATGTAACTTTTGCACATTTTTAGGTTGATATCTGAAATAGTTCATCCTAAGTTTAAATAGCTACAAAGAATATTGTAAAGACAACCAGCGTGTTATAAATATTGGCATTTACAAAATAAATTTATTAAGATATTTTCATGGTTGTAAAACTTTTATTGATCTCTTAAATTACTATGAAAACTTGCATAACTTCTAGATTGTAACACAAATGTTACAAATTTTGATAAATATTAGGCAAAGTTTAAATTGTATTAACAATGAATTTCTTGATGAGATGAATGAATACCTAACATTTTGTTTACATTGAATGGAAAAGAATGGTAGATGCAGACAAAAAGAATTGGTCTGTACATAGAATCTTATTTACTTTTTATTAATAGGAAAAAAGTAAACATCTTTAGATGAGGATTTTACTGTTTTGAACATTTCAAACAGTGTCTAATAAAATTATATTAACTACTTCATTAAATAATAAGTGCCAAGGGGAAAGACCTCAAAGAACTTTTATCCAGTATGTTTTCATAGACTAGATAAAAATATATCTTCATATTTTAATCAAAATGTATTTGATTAAAATTTTATTTATAAATGTTGAGTTTAAGAAAACATTGTTAATTACATTTAAAAGAATTAGTGACGCTAACCTATACTTCTTTGGCTATTTAAGATTTTTTTTTCCAGCTAATGATGTGTCCTAGGGATTAATATCAAGAAGAAGTGAAAAGAGCTGCTTATATTTAAATGCATTGCCAGAGGGGGCATTTGCAACAATAAACATTTTTTACTAATGTTGTTTTTGGCTTGCTTTCATGACACTGTCCCTCAGATGCATACTTTAACAAAGCCAGGGCATAGAAAAGGAGAATCATTAGTCCGAAATTGTCTATTCCCATCACTCCACTCTACCTTGTATCTGGACTGAGGAAATTTCAGTGTATACTAAAATATCATGTTTTTAGCGCTACACTTAAACAAGAATATCTATGTCAGGGAAATACCAGAAGCCCTATGAACTAACAATCATCAACTCCTTCAAGTACTCCTAGGGTACACAGACTCCATGTTAAATAAAGACCACTCTTCAACGTTCTCAAGTCAGGTCAACCAGAATCCTGTTTGCGTCAGAGCTTTAGACTTTCTGGCAAAATCCGGTAGAGTACCTCAGGTCCAGGAGTTGGGCCCTAGACCTCAGAACCAAGGCAGAAGCTATGCTCCCTTCCCTCAGCCTGCCTCCACCTAGGAGTTCACTGTGTCTTTGAGGGGACCCTGAGAGCTACTGCATGTCTCATCTGGCCTTGAGCCCCACATAGCATAAGAGGAAAGTCTCCGAGTCAGCATTGGTGGTGTCCTTGTGGTTCTCTGTGACCATATCCCCATGGAAATCCTTATACTCTTAACCAGAGGGACCCCATGACTGACCAAGCCCATCTACCTTACGGAGTCTAAGACAGACCTACAATCACCAAGATAAAAGTTCTTCAATTTCCAGCCCTTGGCAGCAGTGAGAAGAGTAATGAAAGAGAAATGTGAGACATAAAAATTGAGTTTGGGGTCAGGGAGAGCTTAAGCTCTTTGTAACTAACATGGTTACCTGAGCCAATCATTGTTAATGTCATCAAATTCTCAGTATCTATACAACTCACTGACTTGCAGAAAAAGAGATTATACTTGTTTTTACCATTTGTGTCCTAGATGTAGTACACTGGTAGGAAGAGATGGCTCTATTTGATGAAAAGAGAACTTTTTTCCATGTTTTAATGTTGTATTGATGATTCAGATATAGTCATACAACTTAATGTTAGAGTTTGTTTTGATTATGTAGTGAAGGCCTTTGAAAATGCCTTCATCTGTAATTTGTACTTTGATGCTTTAAACTGGTCATGCATATATGTATAGAGTCTATGTTGCTGTACTTAATTTAGTTACTGACATCCTAAATGTTTCTTAGGCTAATTTCATAGGCACACTCTTAATTGTCCATGGTCCCCATATACCCAGGGCTCCTAGAGTCATCCCCACCCCTCCCAGGAACTAGAACAGCTATTGAAAGGGCACAGAGAAGAGTGTCCAACTGGGTCTAAGGGCACATGCCCTGATTGAGTGTATGGTCCTGACTGCTTTTCAATCACAAAATCTTTATGAACTGTTCATTGTTTTATTATTTATGGCTTTTCTGGCCTCATTAATATAAAAGCACCTAAACTTTCAATGACGAGAACTGTGTATTCATATACTATTGAAATTCAACCGTTAAATGTTGAACATAAACCTTTTTTCTAAACCTAATACCATGGGTTTCAGCATACAGATCTTCTCATAAACGTTCTGAATTTTCCTGGACAAATGGTAAGGATATTGTCTCAGCAGTATTTAGATGTAGTCTTAGCCATCCTGAGAGGATAATTTAGCACCAAATCTAACTTATCTAAATACATGTAAAAATGGGGCAATTATACTGCCTTAGCCAACTCACATTAGGGTCAAGGTCTCACTGCAGGTCACTGAGAGGCTTTCCTTCATTACCAAAAAGACTTCCTCCCTGCTTGTTGAAAGGACTGTCTTCACAGGCATCAGGCCTTCTCCCACAGTTTGTGTTCCCACTTTAAAAGTAGTAAATAGACTTCCAGTATAAGATGGCATGACATCTGGCTAACAAGCCTTGAAGCAGCCCCTTCCAATATCCCATTAAAAGCTCTGTGATGGGTCAGGTGTGGTGGCTCATGCCTGTAATCCCAGCACTTTGGGAGGCTGAGGCTGGAGGATCACTTGAGGCTGGGGCAACATAGCAAGACCCCCATCTGTATTAAAAAAAAAAAAAAAGGCCCTGTGATGAAAAAAGACCAAAGACTCACAGCCCAAAAGCAACAGAGTATCAACAAGAACCTCAGCTGGGCATGGTGGCTCATGCCTGTAATCCCAGCACTTTGGGAGGCCAAGATGGGTGGATCACTTGACGTCAAGACTTCGAGACCAGCCTGGCCAACATGGTGAAACCCCATCTCTAATACAAAAATGAACCGAGCGTGCTGACACAAGCCTGTAGTCCCAGGTACTCAGAGGCTGAGGCAGGAGAATCGCTTGAACCCGGGAGGCGGAGGTTGCAGTGAGCCGAGATCATGCCATTGCACTCCAGCCTGGGTGACAGAGTGAGACTCCATCTCAAAAAAACAAAACAAACAAATAATAATCATAAAAAGAAACTGGACCTTCATTGCTGTGCCAACTGGGTGCTGCCCCTCAAGGCACCGAAGGCCACTTTGCTGGGAACATTCTAAGATGGCAAGTCTGAAAAAAAGGCTAAAAAAGTTTGTGTGAGTGGTGGTGGGGAGGGAGAGATGAGCAGTGGTGTTAGATCCTGGGACGTGGAATTCTCTCTGTGCAGCAATGATGTCAGAAGACTAAGCAGCATGTATAGAGAAGTTGGCTATGTTGGAAGATTCCAGGTACACCACAGTAGTAGCAGCAGCAGCAGCAGTATAGTAACAATAACATTATAGGAGCTGACAGGTATTATTTATGATGGGCAATGTATGGTGCTCAGGGCTTTAAACACTTTTAGACCTCAAAGAACCATGTGGTGTTGGTATGTTTACTGGTTTCCTTTTACAGATAAGAAAACAGAGCTATAGAAAAGTTAGCAATTCACTCAAACTGACACAGGTAAGAAGTGGCAAAGCCTGGATTAGGCAAATAGGCACAAATAAACTGGGAACTGGACTAGAGGCTATGCACATCATCTTGCCCTCCAGTTGTGCCTCTGAGAAGGAATATGCTGCTCAACCCTGAGCAAATTTGAAGACATCTCTGTGTCCTTTTGGTGACCAAACAAACAAACAAAGAACTCAGAAACTATGGCAAAAAGCATTACAGAACAAAATAAAGAAGTAGCACGTAGGACCAAGAAAAAAAAAACCCATGGAAAGGATCCACTGTGGAATCTTATAAGGATCCTTTAGGAAGCTATTTAGCATCCTGTCGAAGCACGATATTATAGACCGCATTCCTTTTTTAAAATATCACTTTCTATATTAAGTCTTGAGGTCTTGAACTTTCTGCTTCATTTCTTTAAAAAAAAAATGGTATTCCATCTCTAGCCTTAAAAATACCAGGTCCTCCTAAATACAAAGGAGAAAAAGTATTAATATAGGAGTGAAAGGAGAAGGAGAACTAACAAACAACACAGCAGTTCACAAGATAAAATTCTCAGATAAAGTCAAAGGCCAAATTTTACAAGAATAAAAACATGTTCTAAATCTAGTAACCGTAAGAGCGCTCTTGAAAACTGTCTATAAACGTCCATTTTTGAGAGACAGGCCTTCAAAAGTTTAAAGCTTCTTTTATGGAATAAAGCCTTTTATTCCCAAAGGACATCTACGCTACTTATTCACTGTTAGTAGCAGTATGAAATTAACACTCATGATTTTAGAGTGTGTATAAACTCCCATTGTTTTGTTATCATGCAGAGGATCTTAAAACTCTATCTTTGTTCTTTTTGCTTTGATTTATTTCTACCTTCTTATGTGCTTTCTATTTTTCTAGCTTTCTGCCCTGTCTCTTGCCATCTTTTTTGTTTTCTTCTTTTGCTTATTCCTCTCCCCACCTCCTCTACCTTCTGCTTCTTTGGAAGCAATTATCTCTATTTTAATTTTAGGAGTTACCATAGACATGTTAACGTGCTTGCTTAAAGTTAATTTCTTGATGCTGTACCCAAGCAATGCAGGAACCATAGAATACTTTATAATTTTTCATCTTCTTCCATTTTGTATTATACTTTGGCTAGTATTTGGATTCTATATTGTTTTTTAATCTCACAAATTAGATATTATTATTATTTTTACATGTAGCCAATGTTTATTTAGCTTTACCCAATGTATTTTTTGATTTATTTGTCCACAATTTTTTCTCACATCTCAGACCTTCCTGCATCTGGCCTCATAATCTTACTGCCTAAAGCAATTATTTCTTTCCAAAAGCTTTATTTGATTTTCTTCAATGTGCTAGATTTTGTAAAAACTATTATTCCTTGCTTGTAAACTTTTCATTTCTTTAAACACATCAAACTTGCTATTTTATATTCCGAGTCTAATAATCTTTATGGATCTGATTTTACTGTTTATTGTTTTTGATGGTTCTCATTCATGGTGCTTTGTTTTCCCGTGCTCATCCTCAAGGCGGGCTAGATCTTTCTCAAGGAAAGGTGACTATGTGTATATGTGTTTCAATGTGAAGTTGTGTCCCTTGGAACCTTATCTATAAGAATTCTTTGAGACCTAATTGAGATTGCATTTTTCCAGAGAAGATTTGCATTTGTCCCTCCCAGTTAATTATACAAACATTCTGAGACCACTTCAATTAAAATTCTTTTTTGATTTTTCATATGTGGGGGATATAAATTCATACAAAAAGCCAGGTGAGGGTCAGGTTGTAGTTACAGATTCTGAAGTGAGATTTTCTACTACAGTCAGCCCTCTGTATCTGTGGGTTCCATATCATGGATTCAACCAACCAGTGATTAAAAGAAATAAACAATAAAAAATAACAATGCATTAATTTTTAAAAGACAAAGTTTTTAAATGCAGTATAACAAGTATTCACATAGCATTTACATTGTATTAGGTATCTTAAGTAAATCTGGAGATGATTTAAAGTATACGGCAGTAAGTATGTACATTATATGCAGATTCTATGCCATTTTATATAAGGGACTTGAACATGGTATCTGTGAGAGTCTTGGAACCAATCTCTCAAGGATACCAAGGGACAACTGTATAAATTTCAAGTGAGATTGTGTTTACCATCGCCACTGGCCAAAGACATGCAGTGCCTCTCCACTCTGTTCTTCCCCTTCAGTGCACATGGCAAAGGCCTAGAAATGTTACAAGTTGGGCTGGGTGTGAGTGGTAGTGAAACTCTCCCTGCTGTATCTCAGTCTGTGACTGTTTAGCATATATTCCTCATTCAAAGTAAATTTCAAGTTAGTTTTTTACAGAAACACCTTTTGAAGTTGCTGGGAAAATATGGCAGAGCCAAGAAAGTTGACATCTTTATTGTCTTCTGTTTGACATTGGGATCAAACACTGTATTTGTCATCTGCAGAACAATAGTATTTTGACCTTTATCTCTCTACACAGCATTTAGGCAAAAAAAAAATGGACTGTGTAAAGATTTTTTTATTATACTCTGCTGAGCAGGACAGTTATGTTATGACATCAGTTTTACAATTGTTCTTTAATCTTTATGTCAATAATATATTCAAACGTATTGAATCTCCTAAAGTAGTTAGCATTTACTAAGTTCCATACCTAATGCCTAAGTAACTACCTGGGGTATGTTTTAAGAAAACAACTCTGAACTGCCTGCATCTGCTGCTTTGTCATGCCTGGGAGAAACAGACTCTCTTATATTAATCTATGAAGAATTTTAAAAGAATGAAAACCCGAGTTTATCAAGTTCATGTTACTATCTTTATGTATTGACATTTGGAAATGTCTCTAGTCATTGTTTTTCATTATCACTATGGCTTTTAAAGCCTCCAATATTGTCATTTTGGCAAATAAGTGAACACCATCAACTGTGTGAAAACAATGAGCCTCACTTTGTGATGTGACATGGGGAAGATATTTTTTAATTTTCTAGCAGGTGCTGGGCCATGAGTCTGACTCATAAAGATAGTAATTATACCTCTTTTCTGAAGTGAAGCATCAGAGAAAGAACATACTAAAATTAATGGAGAAAGCAAGACTTGGGTAGTTCATTCTCTGTATCTGGAGAATCCGTGATCTCTAGAGATTTTTTTTTTTAAATGAACCAGGATAGCACAGGCATAGATATTTGTCTTTGTGTCAAAACCATGGCCCCTTAGCAAATTGAATCTCCTCTTATCTTTAGACAATTCAAGAAAGATAAAAATCTTGAGGTTTTTATAGTATTGCACACAGATAAATCCTTCTTACAGATTGGAACCAAATTTTTAATGTGTTTGAAATGGCAAAGAAAATGTATTTCAGAAATGATTTTCACATGAAAAAAACTTTTAAATTAGAAGACTCCATACAGGCAGGGTGGTGATTGTGTAAACATGCCACATTATGTGAAAATGAGAGCTGATAGATTCATGTAGAGCATGCACTAGTGATACCATGAATCAGAACAAGAAATGTTCTCTCATTCCTTAAGTGTTGAAACTAAGGTGGAAGGAGAAGTGGGGAGAGGGCTGGTTTGATAGTGAGATAGTGTTACAAAGACCAGCTGAAAACAAGAAGCAAAAATTGCAAGATAGGTGCATTTTAATTTGAATTTCAAGGGGCAAATATGTGACCTTGAATATTTGCTCTATGCCTCTTCCAGCAACCATAGATATAGGCATAAAATAGCCCTAAACCAATAGAAGATTATCTTCTCTCTCTCCCTCCCCCTATTTTTATAATATAACATAAAACAATAAGAAGAAACTGATTAAAAAGGAAATTACTAGGAATTAATTTGAGAAGGAAAATGTTGAAGAATAGTTTCCATCAATCTGGCATTACTGCATGTCCTTAAACCATCCTCTGATTGCTTGTAGCAACTTCTTTCCCAAACCTCTTCATTGTTCTTTAGCCTCAGTAAAGGATGGTGTTGCGATTAAAGACCACTGTCTTGTACACAAGTGACATATTGTGCATTACTTTGCAATCAATACTGTTTTGTGGGTTGATGATGATACTAAAGAATTGTTTGAGGTTTCCTTGGGCTTCAAACAATCAAACAAACAAAACCTACATGCAATCAGATCTTGTTATTGGCTGTGGAGAAAGGCAAGTTGTCACAGACTTCTATTACCTAGGTAGGTCATTATTTTAAAGGGATATGAGAGCAACAGCAATATAAGCCTGGAACTTATGACTAGGACAGTGTTTATGGATAAAATTTTGATCACTGTGTTCATTGTTTCTTTTCCCTGACATCTACAAGTACAGGAATGCAAACAATAACTAAGAATTTACTGTGTCCCTTCATGTTATGGACTGAATTGTGTCCCCCCAAAATTCGTATGTTGAAGGTCTACCCCCGATATAACTATATTTAGAGATAAGGTTTTTAAAGAGGTAATTAAATTTAAATGAGGTCATAAGGGTAGGACCCTAATGCAATACAACTGATGTCCTTATAAGAAGAAGGGACGCCAGATGCTTGCACACGGAGAGAAGGCCATGTAAGGACACAATGAGAAGGTGGCCGAGTACAAGCCAAGCAGAGAGGTCTCAGGAGAAATGAAACCTGCTGATCCCCTGAGCCTGGACTTCCAGCCTCCAGAACTGTGAAAAAATAAATGTCTGTTGTTTAATCCACCCAGTCTTTGGTATTTGGTATGCCAGCCCTAGAAAACTAAGACCCTTGGGATGGTTTACAGGTGTAATGCCATCCCATTGTGATATCAAGTTGCAGCCTAGAATCCTGAAGATAGCCAAAATCCCGTGAGAGCCTGACATACATACTAGATTTGGCTTCTCTATCAACTTTTTTTCTCCCATGTGCACTATACTATAGTAACAGGAACAGAGGGACCATCAATTAGATTCAATGTGCTGAAACCCCATGAAAAACTAGGCAGTGCATGGGAGACATTTCTCAAAAGAAGAAATACAAGTGGCCAACAAACACATGAAAAAAAAGTTTTAATTTGCATAGAAATGCAAATTGAAAACACACTGAGATATCATCTTACACCAGTCAGAAGGGCTATTATTAAAAACAAAAAACAACAGATGTCGTTATGGATGCAGAGAAAGGGGAATGTCTATACACTGCTGGTGGGAATGTAAATTACTTAAACCTCTATGAAAAGCAGTGTGGAGATTTCTCAAAGAATTAAAAATAGAACTACCATTCAGAGCAATCCCACTACTGGGTATTAACCCAAAGGAAAAGAAATCATTATATAAAAAAGACACCTGCACATGGGATATATATATATATATATATATATATATATATATATATATATATATCCCATGTGCAGGTGTCTATATATACACACACACACACACACACACACACACACACACACACACACACCATGGAGTACTACACAGCCATAAAAAAATAATGAAATCATATCCTTTGCATCAACATGGATGGAACTGTAGTCCATTATTCTAAGTGAACTAACTCAGAAACAGAAAATCAAATATCACATGTTCTCAAAAGTGGGAGCTAAACAATGGGTACACATGGACACAAAGATGAAAATAATAGACACTGAGGACTCCAAAGAGGTTGGGAGGGGAGTGGGGGTTTGAAAAATTATCTATCGAGTACAATGTTCACTATTTGGGTAACACACTAGCCCAACCCCTACCCTTATGCAATATATCCATGTAACAAGCATGTATATGTATCTCCTGAATCTAAAATAAAATAAAACTTTTTTAGAAGGAATCAGTGTGCTGGACACTGCTAAGTGCTCTGAGAATACAAAATGATTTAGAGTTGTTTCCCTTAAGGGACTCATCATCTCCTGGAGAAAGACAAGATGAGCCAATACTCTGATAAAGGTGTAAAGAGAAACTTTTGGAGCTAAGAGTGATTGATTTGAATTTTGGGCTTGGGATTCTGGGAAGGGCAGGGAGGATCAGTGAAGGTTTCACAAACAGGGAGAAGTTCAAGTAGGACTGTTTTGGTACCTATTGATCTCTAGCAATACAACTATGGAAAAACATAAAGAAGCTCATTCATTATCTCAAGGCAAGCTATGTGCCTGGACCTGAGCTAAGAATTAGAGCTATAACCTTAAGCAAGACAGAGTTCCTGACTTCAAAGAGTGTATAGCCTGCTAACACACTCGTGATCACACCACCAAGAGTTAACCACTGCTGATATGTTGGTGCGGTCCTTCCCAATTTGAAAGAAAAAAAAGTTGAGATTACCCTGTGCGTACAGTTTTGTGCCTTGGTTTGTTTTTTCTCTCCTGGTACACAGATATTGTGAGAATTTTCCTCACAGCATTAAATAATCTACAAAATCATGATTTTGAATTGATACATCACACATTGTCATATGAATATATCATTGTTTACTTGAGCGATTCTCTGTTGCTGGGAAATGTTTTCTAGTTTTTGCTACTACAAAATAACACTGTAACAAATATACTTAATCTTTATGCTTCTCTCACAATTTTCTTAGGGTAAGTTTCCAAACTAGCTAAATAACTAGTTCAAAAAGAAAGAACATTTTAGAAGCTCTTGCTGATAGTTTTTCTAATGTGGCTTATAGAAATGTTGTCCGGGTTTGTGTTTCCCTAGCAGGTATCTGAGTGTCTTCTGCCTGGAGATTGTCAAGCGGCAGACCATGAGGAAAGCAAGCCTGGTCCCAGGAATGGGGTGGGGAGTTTTGGCCAAGCGTGACATGAACTAAAAAATGCTGAAAGAAACCAAAAGACAGGCTACAAACTACAATCAATGAATAGCCAGTAGGAACTTGGCAATTAAGGAAATAAATTGTAGGAAATGATTACAACACAGTCCAAGTCAACACAAAGATTTTATTTGCTTCTAGCACAATTTTAGGGCACCATTCTGAAACCTGTGTGTGACTAAAGGGATTCTGAGAAACAAAGGTTCACTGTGGGTGTAGTTAGAGCTCCTTGAGTAGCAAGCAACAGAAACTGACCTTGGCTCATCTAAATCAAAAGGGAATTTACTGGAAAAACAGCTGATCTTTCAATAGCTCAACTGGAAATCAGGTCCAGAAACTAGGAAAGAACAAACAGGAACCGGGGTGACGCCATAGGCAAGAAGCAGCACAGAATCAAGACCTAGGACCTCCTCATTGGGGTCGCTTGGCTACACAACTGTGAATCACAAATGAGCTCCAGTTGGTTTCCATCTTTTGATGACTTTGTTCAAATGTCAGATTCCAAGGAAGGAGGATCTGACCGACCTCATGTGGCTCACATGCATTACCCCAGGCCAGAGAAAGGCAGACACCCTGACTAACAACTTTCCATATGTAGAATAAGTAATTCTTAGAGGTAGGTCAGGGCACAGCCAGCCAAAACCAAAACTGTTTACCATACCATGTTACCTGGCAGGTGAGGTACACTAAGATTTAACCATTGTTAATCTCTGAGCCCAAATTAATTTCCCACATCGAACTCCTGCCTCCCCACCCCACCACACCCCACCAAAGTAGAATTCTGTGGAAGTGAAGAGACCCAGGAACTGTTAAGCTTTGATCAGACACGACTGAGAAATTCTAAATACCAGCCATCGTGTATGTGGTGCTGTGCTGGAAGTTGGTATGAATAAATAATTAAAATAAATAATCCTGCTTTAACTTGAACTGAGGTTTAGCCTTTCTCCCTCCCCACTTCTTTTTCATCTGGAGCTCTGGGCTTTGACTGATTAAAAACAACAAGGGAGCAAGTGAACTGGAAGGAGTCTTGACTGAGAGCCAAAGCCAGACTCCTGCTGCCTTCTGCTGGGCCAGAGTCCCCTCCTCCATCTGATGAGCCTAGTGCAGAAAAGAGAGCCCAAAAGATATTGCCTGGCTTTGTTTGAGAGGAATGCTAAAACCAGATCAGTACAGGGGGCAATGGGAAGCTGGCTCTCCCCAAGAGGTCTCTCCCTTGAGACAAAATCTCTCAGGCTTGTCTTTCTCTCCTGGCTTGTAGGAATCACGCCTCATCCCAGTGGCTATAACTGAAGCCATTGGCCCTGCGTGTGCTGCTTCTGGTACCCGCGAACAGAAAGAAGAAACCCAGTTCCCCTCAGGCACCCTCATCATTCAGCCAGGCAGTGATAGGAAGAAAAGGGGAACTGATAACTTTCAGGAACAGAAGCAAAGTAACACAAATCTCATGGCACTGTGGCACATGACAAGTCACAGGATCAGGGCGGGGGTTCATGCAGGAATGTAACACGGGAGATGAGCTGCCCTTGAGGACAGGGCGGTGGTCAGGAAATGGCAGACTCCACTCTTTCTGAAAAGAGGCCAGGAGTCCTGGTCTCAGGTCCTTGGGTACTGCAGAGCAGACGTCATTAGACATTTCCTTTGAGTAATCAGGACTGCAGGTAATGAATTACTCCCTTGGGAAGTGGGTTTGGGGCTGCAAAGTGGGGACAGTGATCCTACACTGATCTCCAGAGTCAACTCAGTCTTCAAGAGTACATTCTAGAAAGACTTTGGGATCTTTACATCCACAGAGCCAAGGCAAGATCCCAAGAGCTCTGGAGAATGCTCTTTCAGAGTCCCAGAGGAGTGGAGAAATGACCATTTGGTCCAGGACACTTGCTGATTTGGGAAGGGGCGGCCTTGCCAGTCTGTGGAGCCAGGGTCTGAGTAGAATCATCACAGAGTACTCTGCCCAGAAAGAGTTACAGTGGCCCCACCACATGCAGAATTTAGAAACTGCCATGCCATACAATACTAGTAAAAATATTAACAGGGTTCCAGTTTTCCCCACGATAAACACTTCAATATTTTTTTCTAAAATATCAAATCATTTCCATTTTTTCTCATTTTCTAGGGCTTTGTTTGCCTAGTCTGCTTCGGGTAACGATGTGCTAGGCATGGCCCCAGGAGGCTCCAGCAGACTTTGTTAACTGGCAAGAGGCTGCTTTTGTGCATCACAGCAGGAAGAAAGTCTACATGTGAAAAGCTTCCTGCTTGGAACATGGGGGTCAAGAGGACTTGCTCCTAAGGAGGAGAATATCTGTCCTGGGCAGGCTCTGTTCTCCCCCACAGGGCTTCTCTGGGTGGGCCCCTCAGCCCCATCTGCAGAGCGGAGGCTGAAGGACCAAGAGCAGGTCATGTGGGTCTGAGGGCACCTGGGATGAACTGTCACCCTGAGAACTATCTGTTGAACGCAGCCTTCTCTTCGGTGACACTTAGTCCCAATCTAAGGGTCTCTGGCATGGAGCGTGTCAACTCAGCATGCAAGCTCTGCTGCACCGGCCATCCCTCTTCCACAGATGCTCTTGCCTGCCTTTCCCTGTACTCAATCCCACCCTCGCTCTGTGTCCATCCCTAAACCCACTGTAGCTGGAAGTCCATTTCTCTCCTTCTATGGGGCACTTACATTCTTCTGACCTTTCACCTGTGTTGCCTACACTTAGCTTTTCCTTTTAACTTTTAATCTGTTTTGGGCTCATATCTAAAGTCTATCATATGCTCCAGAAGGCCAGGGTCATTTTTTTTTCTATTCTCTGTGTGTCCTGCACAGTCCCTAACACATAATAAGTGCTCCTCTGTGTCCCTTTTTCCTCAAAAAGCTTGCTGATAATAGCTCAATTACAGGACACATACATCACCTTCACACATTACCTAGAACAGTGGCCCTTAACCTCTTAAGAGTGACTATATTCTTAAGAATATAGTGAAAGCGACAAACCCCTCCTCAAAAAGATGCACATGGACATATATGGAAAAATTGCTTCATGCAAATTTCAGGATTTTACAGCCCCTCTGCAACCTGTTCAGCCATTGACTCTAAGCTAAGAAACACTGTTTAAACCGGTTCTTTTAACTGCACTGCGAGGTGGCTGCACAGACATTGTGGCCTGTGTTTAACAGGTGGGAAAAACTGAGGGTTGGAGATGGGGAGAGACTCCTCCAGACTGCTCTATATGGTTGATTGGTGTGGCTCCTTGCCCAGTGCCCACATCTCCTTTGATATCTATTTTGCAGATTTGCCCTGAGAAGTGCAAAATCAACACAGAAATATCTCTTCCATCAGTACCTGTGCATCAGGGCAGAAACTGTAATTCTTGTCATTCTTGCCCTTGCTATGATGTTTGGCATCTGATGAAACAGTGCCTCACAAAGTCCAGCTGCAATTCTTGCCAGGGCTGAAGCGAGTTCCTCTCCTGGTGTCAGAGGACAGCTTGCTTATTGTTGTAAATTTTTTATTTTCTCATCAGAGGCTCCCAGCTGTCTCTCCAAATCTGAATACAAGAAGTCAAATGTGAGAGCAGCCAGGTGGAGTTATTAGCATTGCGGCAGACCTTCTCATCTCAGCAGCTGCATCAGTTATTCTCGTGTGTTGGCTTGAGATGCCCTGCACCAAACCATGGGCCCTTTACTCAATCGACCCCATGATTCGGAAGGCCCCGGCATCTCGGCAGGCAAATGACGTGATGAGGAAGGAGTCATGGAAGGGCATTGAGCCAGCACCTTACACAGCAGCTTCAGTTTCCACTGTCAGTGCGTGATATGTGAATGAAAATCCCTGCGTAGTCATTAATGCATAATGCCTCAGTCACTGCCTCAAAAATCAATCTTTTACTGCCTCAACGAGGAAAAAAAACAATCCCACTGCTCTCCCAGGCCCTGTAGTGTGAGTCTATCATGGCCACTTGGGCATCACTTGGGCTCAGCTCCCTGACATGACAGAGTGTAATAGCTTCATAAAAAAGCAAGAGTGGTGGTTTTTTCAAACACCATTTGCTGTGTTTGAACAAATGTGCTTCATCACAGCTCCGCCTGCCTGTGGGCTGCTCTGTAGCTGACAGATAGCCCCAGCCTAAGGAAGCTAAGGTAAAGATACATGAAGTTCACCTTCCTGCACACTCAAAATATTCAAATCTTCTCTAACCACAGCCACAGGGCTCGTGCCAAATAGGTGTGCCCCTTCCTTGAATTTGTATGTGTGAATATTTCAAGCAGTGATGGCCCTGTATACCTTCTAAGGAAAAATATGTCTCTCAAATCAGCTGTTGTTGTTACTTTTTGCCCTTGTGGTTTCCCGGCATGACCCCAGGCACCTGTTAGTAGCTGTTGTGCTCCAAGACCACAACCTCCTAAACAAAGGTATTTATATTTCAAAGGGGATGAGGCCTTATTCAGTTCCTTCCTTCCCCACCTCCTTTAAGAAAATTCCAGCATTTGGGCTGGGCGTGGTAGCTCACTCCGGTAGTCCCAGCACTTTGGGAGGCCGAGATGGGTGGATCTCTTGAGGACAGGAGTTCGAGACCAGCCTGGCCAACATGATGAAACCCCATCTCTACTAAAAACACAAAAATTAACTGGGCATGATGGTACATGCCTGTAGTCCTAGCTACTCAAGAGGCTGAGGCAGGAGAATTGCTTGAACCCAGGAGGCAGAGGTTGTAGTGAGCCAAGATCTTGCCATGCACTCCAGCCTGGGAGACAGAGTGAGACTCCATCTCAAAAAAGAAAAAAAGAAAAGAAAATTCCAGTGTTTGACTAGCGTGCACTGTGATAGCCTGTCAGGGAGAAATATTTGGCCAGAGGTGTAAGTGGCTGCTGTGCACTGTTGTGTTAAAATGACGGTGACTCTAGGAGTCAGGACACTGTGTAGGACATCACTGAGCATCATGTCTGGTACTTTCTCTCAGCCTCCTTTGGGAATCACCTGCATCAGTGGTTCTCAACCAGGGGTAGTTCAGGAGACATTGTCAATGACTGGGGATACTGCCAGTGTTTTTGATATCATAACTTGGGAGGAAGAGGAGGAGGAGGAGTGCTACTGGCATCCATTGGGGAGAGGCCAAGGATGCTGCTCAACATCCAGCAGGGCACAGGACAGCCCCCCACAACCAAGAATTATCCAGCCCAAATGTCAATGGTGCCAACGTTCAGAATCACTGGCTACATTGACTAAGTCACTGCCACTTTCGCACTACAGTCTGTTCCAATAATCTGTGGTAGAGATACACATCTGGATAGGAAAATTGTCATCCTTCTTCAATTCATTTAAATTTCATAAAAATGTATTGGATGTCTAACCTGTGTAAGGGCCATGGGAATGATGACAGAGAGCGTCTCGGCCTTCCAGAAACTTAAGTCCAGTGACAGAGACAGACAAGTGCGTACCAACCATGCAATGCCATATCAGGAGCGGGTGGCGAGTGCTGTCACAGCATACAAGGGGCTGGGAACCTGAGAAGCAGAGATGACCTCCAGCCGGCCCAGAGGGCAGGCAGGCTATGCAAAGTTTTCAGAAAAAAATAGATGTGAGCTGTGGGGGCTGCAGGGATGAGGAAACCTCACACAGGTGAAGCAGGACGGGGAGCTCTGAAGACTCAGGGAAGAATGTGAGCAAAGGCAGAGATGCTGCCTGGTGGGATGGTGGGAAAGGAAGTAAGGGGCTGACTTCTGTGGCTTGCCCTAGGCCGCCTGGTGCACTAGGGTGGAGGAGGCTGACTTTCTTCCTTTTGTTACATTTACTATTTTGGAATAGTGGGCCACATATTTACATTTCAGACTTTTATAGTCTCTTCCTTTGTTTGCTACGGTCACATTAATATTCAGTAGAGAATCTTGCCATTTTTATGCAGTATTTAGTGGAGAAGAGACTTTTCACCTAAAAGTAAATTACAAGTTTCTCCTGCAGAGAGTGGTAGCTCATGCCTGTAATCCCAACACTTTGGGAGGCTGAGGTGAGAGGACTGTTTGAGACCAGGGATTTGGGACCACTGGCAATATAGTGAGACCCCATCTCCACAAAAAATAAAACAATTAGCCTGGTGTGGTGGCGCACGCCTGTTGTCTCAGCTACTCCGGAGGCTAAGGTGGGAGAATCGCCTGAGGTGGGAGCATTGCCTGAGCCCAGGAGGTCGAGGGTGCAGTGAGCCATGATTGTGCCACTGCACTCCAGTCTGGGTGACAGAGCAAGACCCTGTTTCAAAAAAAAAGATTTCTCCTGAGGCCAGAACTAAATAAGCTGCTGTATTTGGTTCAGTCGTTAGTAATTCACATGAATCACAATTTGGTTTTAGAAAAACTCATTTTTAGTGCATATATTTGAAAATATCTCAGAATCATGGATTCCAGAGACGGAAGAGATCTTGAGAAATGCTCAGGTTCAGTTTTGTCTGGTCCAACCAGATAAGCTATTTTCGTCATCATTTCACAGATGAGACAATTAAACATCTGCACATTTTAGACAGAAAATAAGCCTACGTTAAGTGGCAGGATTTTTAAACCTGATGCATTTGCTAAGTGGTGCAGTACTCGAGATTTGGAGGTGAGAGAGTAACTATTGTCCAGACTCAATTGCCCAGAGATCAAGGAGGTAGACTTGGGGGTAGAGGGATACAGGCTTAAAGGGCAGTAGGAAGCCACCCAAGCTCAAGATTTATTGGAGGGCAGATTCTCATCTCTATACTGATTGAGTGACCCCAGCCAGTGAGATCTCCTGGAAGCAGATGTGGGGAACAGTTGTGATTGTTGTAAGTCAGAGGACAAAGTTCATCTGGAGAGAGCATCTGTCCAGGGAATCTCTGGAGACTGGAGCCACTGTAGGAAATTCGGGATTTCAACAGAGAAAAAGCTTCCCTTGGGTGTGGGCAGGCAGGGGATATCCCTGGGGATCTTGACCGTAAGTGACCACCAAGATGTGCTCCAACCCAGACTTCCCTGACTCTGGGCAGCCTGTGGACTCTCCTACCCTGGCTCAGAATCTCCGCCTTGGTTACAGTTCGAACTGAGATGACCTCTTGTTTCCCATCAAAAATGCACCCTTTTCCTCTCAACATCCCCAGTATGGGGCTCACTGCCACATCATTTGCCCCACTCCAGGGCAGGGCCCACCCGGGAAAAAGCCCTGGTTTTCTTTCTGAAGACCACCCTAGTTTATAATAGCAAATAAATATGGATTATTTTTCTCAGTACAAGTTCCTGGGTATGGGACTCAGAGAGTTGCTTTTGTCAGCTCATGAGATGGAGAAGGAAACAGTGTGGGGAAATCCCAAACCCTTGGCTACCCCATTTCCTAAAGTGAACTTTACCCCTGGCATCATTAAGTGACTTTAACAGCCTTGTACTTGCAAAGTGAACTAAAAAGGCAAATGTATAAAAATCAGGTCCTTTTGGGGGGATCACAGAAATGCTTTATGAGATCCTTTTACAGCTGCCAGTAATCATTTACTCACGTTTTGCTCAACACAGGGGAGGTCCTCTTCTGCTCAAAAGAAAGGCAACTTCCTATAAAACAGACTTGCGTAGAATCCTTGGCAGGGAGAAGAAAGCAGTGAGATCACTTCTAGGCATGGCTTCTGGGGACTGCTGATTTCCTTGACGATAATGCCAGTCAGGCCCATAGCAGTGCCTGGCAGCTGCTTCCCTCCCACACCAAAGAAGCCCAGGCCTCCTTAGGTTTACAGGCCCCTGGCCATGGGCTCTCTGTAGGAAGTTGGTTGTGTATTTGTTCTGGAAGTGAGCCCTTGGGGCCAATGCACCAGGCTATCACTGGTAATGTCTTCTTTGGAGCAAATTCAGGTAAACGACTCTGCTACATGTGGCCTTGTTAAAACAGACAGTTCTGCTCAGCACATTTCCCTGGACATTCTAACACTCGTCGTTACACAGGAGTGAGTAACCAAAGGCAAAAGGCATCCATGTTAGCACTTAAGGTCTGTTTCCACTTTGGGTTCCAGTCCCATGGCCTGTGTCCTTTTCCTCAGAAACTGTGGTCTCACGGGGTACCCTCTTCCTCAAGCTGATCCTGGCAAACAGATGTGGTGCCAACTCTGACCATTGCTCCTTGGAGTTGGAGGTACAGATTACTTGTCAGAATCTTGTGATGTCCTGAGTGGTCTGGGATGCCCCTGCTCAGAACTACCATTTCCTGAATGTTGACTCTTGCAAGGTGTTTACATATGTCATCTGACTTAGTCCTCGCAAGGATCCTGTGCTCATTTCACAAGAAAAAGTCTCCCTCTACCCAGGCAGTGTTCCCCCACATCTGGGCCAAGGAGCCTTACCCGAGGGTAAAACAAAGCTGAGGGGCAAGCAACCACACACCCCATGTTTGGTCTCAAGCACTGGCTGTTTCCTTACAAGTTTAATGTTTTTTAGGAAGATGCTACTTGAGGCCAGGAACAGTAGCTCATGCCTGTAATTCCAGCACTTTGGGAGGCCAAGGCAGGCAAATCAGTTGAGGCCAAGAGTTAGAGACCAGCCTGGCCAACATGGCAAAACCTCATCTCTACTAAAAATACAAAAATTAGCCGGGCGTGGTGGTGCACACCTGTAATCCCAGCTACCTGGGCAGCTGAAGCATAAGAATCAGTTGAACCTGGGAGGTGGAGGTTGCGGCGAGCTGAGATCACACCACTGCACTTCAGCCTGGGTGAGAGAGAGAGAGAGAGAGAGAGAAGAGAAGAGAGAAGAGAGAGGAGAGAGAGAGAGAAGAGAGAAGAGAGAGTAGAGAGAGAGAGAGAGATGACAGAGGAAAGAGAAAGAAGAGAGAAGAGACAGGACAGGAGAGAGAGAAGAGAGAGGAGAGAGAGAGAGGAGAGAGAGAGGAGTGAGAGAGACAGGAGTGAGAGAGAGAGGAGAGAGAGAGAAGAGAGAGGAGACAGAGAGAGAGAGGAGTGAGAGAGAGAGGAGAGAGAGAAAGAAAGAAAGAAAAGAAAAGAAAGAAAGGAAAAAAAGAGAGAAGAAGGGAGGGAGGAAGGGAAAGAAAGGAAGAAGGAAGAAAAAGAAAGAAAGAAAGAAAGAAAAGGAGGAGGAGGAAGGAAGGAAGGAGAGAAAGAAAGGAAGAAAGAGAGAGAGAGAAAGAAAAAGAAGGAAAGAAGGAAGGAAGGAAAGAAGGAAGGAAGGAAGGAAAGAAGGAAGGAAGGAGCTACTTGAAACTCTAGACCTCCTGGTGGGAAAGTGACACCAGGAGGTACCTTGGCTGTGGCTGGCCCAGGGTAGCAAACAGCCCAGGAGTGGGCACAGTGGGCTGTAGAAAACCCCACCAGTTGTGCTATGAATTCTGCTTTTATTTTTCTGAAAGAAACTGAAAATCCTGGGTTTTTGTTTTGGTTTGGGGTTTTTTGTTTTTGTTTTTGAGACAGGGTCTCACTCTCTTACCCAGGCTGGAGTGCAGTGGTGCAATCATGGCTCACTGCAGCCTTGAACTCCTGGGCTCAAACGATCCTCCCACCTCAGCCTCCCAAGTGGCTGGGACTACAGGTGTGCACCACACCTGGCTCAGGGTTTGTTTAATGGGAAAATCTTACAGTTTTAAATGTTGGCAATTTATTTAAAAAACAAACAAAACAAAGCTTGCTTAACACTCTGCAGATGAAACAACATACTTGTGGACTGGTTTGCAATTTCTAGGTTAGGCTTTCCCTCTAGACATAAAAATTCAAACACGGATAGAATAGGATCAAATCTTTCATTCTCTTGTTTTTTCATGAAATATATTTTTTATTACAATGTATTAAAATTCTCAAATTTTAGAACAAAGTTCTAAAAAATATAAATGCTTAAGTGTTTTTGTCACTAAGTTTATTTTTCGTATGAATGATACCGCTTTCTGTTCATTGACAGTTCACATGGTGATTTGAGATCTACATGTTATTTATTGCTCACAAGGCAGCTGTGAGGTGGGTGCTGTGACTTCTGCAGGCATTCATAGAGAAACTGAGGCTAAGAGAAGTTCACTCATGCTCACATGACCACATGTTTGAAAGAGCCTAAAACCCAGCCAGGCGTCCAGACTCTGATAGACCTTTTCATTCAGTAAACCGTGGTTTCTAGTTTCTCCCACTAATACTACTGTATCGATGATTATTCTTTGCTCCAGGCCACATGATTTTTTTTCTGAGATGCCTCTGGTGATTAAATAAAAGAGAAGTCATGGGCCGGGCACGGTGGCTCATGTCTGTAATCCCAGCACTTTGGGAGGCCGAGGCAGGCGGATCACGAGGTCAGGAGATCGAGACCATCCTTGCTAACATGGTGAAACCCTGTCTCTACTAAAAATACAAAAAAAAAAAAAATTAGCCGGGCATGGTGGTGGGTGCCTGTAGTCCCAGCTACTCGGGAGGCTGAGGCAGGAGAATGGCGTGAACCCGGCAGGCCGAGCTTGCAATGAACCAAGATCGCACCACTGCACTCCAGCCTAGGCGACAGAGCGATACTCTGTCTCAAAACAAAACAAAAACAAAAAATAAAAGAGAAGTCATAAAATGTCCTTTAAGCTAGGACTTAATTTTTTTTCTTTTTGTTTTGTTTTGTTTTGTTTTTGTTTTTTGAGGGAGGCCAATAAGGGAAATGTGGATGGTTTTTAACCTGGAGTTCAGGGACCTAAGAGTGAGTCGAAGGGAGCCTGGGAGAGGGGCTGAACCCCTGGTAATTATTTGAAACGTTTTGTAGAGACGTGTATTGGGGTATGTTTTGGAGAAGGAGATCTGTAGCTCTTTCCAGAGTGTGTCTGACTTCCTCAGGGTAGGCAGGATCCATGCAGGCTGGACTCCAGCCCTTGATCTTTATCGACACTGGAACATAACTTCAGCAACATTCCTGAATCTGCAAATTGATTTCTCCTCCGTGGCTTTTTTCTGTTAAAAAGATGTAATGCATGCATGCCACCTAGCATCTGGAATTAGTCACCACCAGTGGCTTTGCTTGAATCCCTTGTTTATTATGCCTCATTACCATGCAACCAGATTGTGTTCCTGCAGGACAGTCCTCTGCAGTTTTCACAACCTCCATCAACCCTCTGACTCTGATTCGTTCCTTCTTAAAAGATGCAAAACCTTTTTCCTATAAGAAACATTGCAAAACGCCTTTTAATAAAATATAAGTTTTCATGAGCCAATAATCAACTCATGCTAACAATTATGTGTCAAGAATATGTAAAAAATGAGAATGACATTGGGGCATTTATTTTGTTACAAAGGCTTTTGGGGTAGTGCAAGAACCTTTCAGGAGCAGGTGGTTTTCACTTAATGGTAGAAACTGCATCTGGGACCTAGAGATTGTCCTTTATAATTCTTTATAGGACACAATATGTGGGGAATTTTTATAATGGGGACATGAGGATCACCAAAGACTACATCAAGGGTAACCACAGAGCAGGTGTGGCATCAGGTGGCCTGGACTTGATATCCAGCCTTGCAGCGGCTCACGGTGTAACTGAGGACAAGGCATTTTACTTTTCCAGGCTCTGAGCTTTTCATCTCTTAGACAAATGCTCAGAAGGGAAAGGCAAGGTAAGAATAGCATCCATTGAGAACCCACCGGGTTGCCAGGTTCCATTCTTGGTGTTACTACATGCACCCTCCTGCTTATGCTCACAATAGGACATTTGGATTCATGCCCAAGGACACACAACTTGTAGGTGGCATGGCCAGAATCCAAAGCTGGCTCTCTGGACTCCAAAATTAAGCTCTTTCCATGACCCAGTTCAGTGTTCCTCAAGCTCTGTCAATAAAGCACCCTCAGCAAGAGAAGAGAATGGCCACATGTATTAGTTTGCCAGAACTGTCGTCACAAAGTACCACAAACTGAGTACCTTAAAACAAGAGAAATTTGTTGTCTCACAGTTCTGGGGGCCAAAAGTCTAAAATTTGGGGCTGTGAGTGAAGGATCTGTTCCAGGCCTCTTACCTACCTGGCGGTTTTCTGGCAATCTTTTGCATTCCTTGTTGGGCAGAAGCATCACCCTGATCTCTGCCTCCATCTTCCCATAGTGTTCTCCCTGTGCACATGGCTGTGTCCAAATTTCCCCTTTTCATAAGGGCACCAGTCATATTGGACTAGAGCCAACACTACTCCAGTGTAACCTCTTCTAAACTTAACTAATTTCAACTGCAATCACCCTATACCCAAATAAGTTCACATTCTGAAGTACTGAGGGATAGGATTAGCACTTCAACATATTCTGGGAGGACACAATTCGACTCATAATTCTACCCACTTCAGGAATCTGAGGGGATCACTTATGGCACCTGTTATAAGCATTGAATATTTTCGATGCATTGAACATTATCTTTAAAATTCATGCAAATTAAGCACTCAACTCCATTATTACACCACCACTTAATATAAAAACAACATTTCCCAAAAGTTTACGAGTAGAATTACTGATCCAGAAAGCTGCTCCATGCTGATCCTTGGGGTTCAAAACCGCATTGTCAAATCCCTGACCTGCATCTTTTCATGTCCTCTGAAGATGCGGAGACACCTTTAAGGAGGCACATTTAACTTAAATGAGTGCGAAGAACGTGGACCTATACAGGGCTGAACAAAAAGCAATGCAAATTAAATGCAAACAGAAAATCTGAACATCCCTGACCAAAATCAGTGACAAAACACACCAGTATGGAAACAACACTTGCAGAGAGCTCTGTTGGAACTGCACGGCTTCATTTCATTCTCCTCTCTTTCGTTTTTAGAGGAAATCAGCATTAGACAAGCACAGTTTGTCCTGCTTCCCCAACAACAATGGCTTTTGAAGAACATGCTTTTGAAGTGCAGGATCGTGGTGTTTGGGGACAAAGATGATGGTTGTGGTAGTAACAGACCTAACACACTGATCAGATTCATATTTTTCTATTACAGTAACTGTGTGTCAAGTAATAGAACTTACCAGCAAAACTAACCATGGCCATACACTGTTCTTTTATTTCCTAAGAAATAACATTTTCAAAAGTGACAAAGGACTCTCTGACAAAGGCCCAGCAATGGATGTGAGAATGACTCAAGGGGAGAAAAGGGCCTCTCCGTGTGGTTAGCTTAATGCCCCACTTGGTTCGTTGACACAAAAACAGGTCCAGCCAATGCATTTCCACATCCTGAGGATCTGCTGCCAGCCCAGCAGAGATGTGCTCTGGCCAGGACCCAGAAGATGGGCAGGGCTCAAAAGACAGAACCAGGCACCCTGACAGCGTAGAAAAAGAGATGGCTTTCTGCTTTCCACTTTCCTTGGTTGAAAACACGGAGACCACAATGTTCCTTTCTTTTTCCTGCCACTCTATTGGGAGAAATACAAACTTTCCAAAGGCATTCACCATCCACTTAGCAGAAACATCTGTCAGCTTTAGCTACAATCAAAGAGAAAACATCTCCAGAGAAGGAATATCCCACAGGGTAAAGCAAGGGACAAACCTAGAGAACACTCGTGACCCATTGCTCTAGCTCAGGGGCAGCAAAGAGGCTGCAGCTCTGTTCAGAAGTAAGCCCTGCTGGTCTCTACGTTCTGGGAGCTTTACTAAACAAACCCAGAATGCAGGAGGTCATTCACCGAGTTAGCAAATGCAGGTGACCAGACCCTTGAAATTAAAAAAAAAGAAAAGAAAAAGCACATGGGTCAGGCGTAGTGGCTCACGCCTGTAATTCCAGCACTTTGGGAGGCTGAGATGGGCAGATCACTTGAGGTTAGGAGTTCGAGACCAGCTTGGCCAACACAGTGAACCCCCATCTCTACTGAAAATACAAAAAAAAAAAAAAAGAAAAAAAGAAAAAAATAGCCAGGCATGGTGGTGTGTGCCTGTAATCCCAGCTACTCGGGAGGCTGAGGCAGGAGAATCTCTTGAATCCAGGAGGCAGAGGTTGCAGTGAGCCGAGATCGCACCACTGTACTCCAGCCTGGGTGACAGAGCGAGACTCCGTCCAAAATAATAAATAAATAAATAGGGCATGTGATGACAGAGTGTGATGACAAAGAAAGGTGGTCTACAAGGGAGGAAGGGCTGGGGGATCTGCAGAACCAGTGCCTGTGCCGGGGAGGCACAGCCCCTTTCAGCCAGAGAGCAGCTCCCCCTCAGGGCAGAAGTGAGTGTGCCCATCTCTAGGGAGATGAGCTCCGTACAGAAGCAGAGCATTTTCATCAGGTTTTCCCACAGCCTGGCGAGAATAGCTCCTGAAATCAACCAACGCCCTCTGTCCTGACTCCACCTCTGCCACAGCTACTGCAGTTCTTTGGTTATCCTGATAACCGAAGGCCACTCTGGAAAGGTGTCCACTGGGAACGACTGGCACTCTGCCTTGGGACACCAACATTCACTGAAGCAGACACCGCAAATTATTTCTAAAGATCGTGCACATCTTTAAGCTCTCACTCTTCTCTTAAATCCCAGCTTTTTCTCTGTCCCACCCTCTCCTGGCCACAAAGGTCATCCCCTTGGCAGCTGAGACAGAAAGGGCCAGACATCTGGGCCAGGGCTGGGGCCCACTGGCCTGGGGCCCTACATGCACTCTGGGCTACATTTCATGCTGCTTGCCCACGTTCCAACTCCAGGTGAGGGCTCTGGGGATACGCATTTTAAAGCAATACTGTAATAGTCTGGTGTGCAACCCAGTGTCTGGTGAGTCCAGTTTTGGTGAATTATTGCTCCCAGTGGCTTACTAATTCACAGGGAAAAGAAAAAAAAATCTAGTTCCCAGATCAGCAAAG
This sequence comes from Homo sapiens, assembly GCF_000001405.40. Classification (NCBI taxonomy): domain Eukaryota; kingdom Metazoa; phylum Chordata; class Mammalia; order Primates; family Hominidae; genus Homo; species Homo sapiens. The sequence continues at coordinate 157,077,837 of NC_000003.12, forward strand.
TGGAAAAGCAGAGTCCTAAACACAGTATCCTCATGAGGGCAGTGTCCGGGCCCTAGGACAGCAAAGCAGCCTGCTGGTGCCTCTCCCAGCAAGTCATCATGTGCCCGTCAGAGCTTCCAGAAAGCTATTCCTAAAACAAGATGGGATCAAGCCACAGAAAGCAGGTCCAACCTAGTGGTAATGGTGAAAAAAAATAGCCCCTAAGGGGAGAAAAAGGGCAAAGTGGTGAAATGCTGTATAATTTAAATGCATTTGCAAGACTCTCCTCTCCCAACTGTCAGAGCAGAACACCATGCTGCTTTCATTTTTAAAAAAACAAAACAAAAACCTCCAAAGAGAAGAAGAACACCTAGTTATGACTATCATTTCCTTTCCTCCATGGCTTCCCTCTTCCACCTTTATCCCTTAAAGCAGTAGCTCTCAACCAGGGGCTTTGCTCCCCCAGCACACCCTAGCGACTTCTGGCAATGTCTAAAAATGGTGGGGCATGCTACTGGCATCTATGGGTAGAGACCAGAAATGCTGCAAAATGTCCAGCAACGCTCACGACAGCCCCCACGACAGAATTATCCAACCCAAGATGTCAACATGCTGCTGTTGAGAAACCTGGCCTTTAGAAGCAGTCTTCTAATCTTATTTTCTAAGAATAAGAAAATATTATTCTTAGTTTATCCTGCAGCTAAACAAAATGCATAGGAAAAGATTCATCATGAGGAAGGGGGCAATGGTGACTAAGAACTTCACAAAGTCCTGAACCATTCAACCTTCATTCTGAGAGGATGGACGATCAGATTTAGTGATTCACTTCTCTGATTGTAAGTATCATCTTCTGAAGTCCATTAAGTGTTTAGTCATGCCCTGTGTTTTTGTCAAGTGGTAGGCAAAGGGAGTTAAGTGGAACCTCAGTCCCCTAAGAGTTTATCATCTAAGATGGGTAACAATGACTAGGCAGAGATATAAAGGTGAGATGGACAAATAACCAAACTACAGAGTAAGGCCAAACCAATTGCAGAAGCTGGGAGCTGAGCATAGTGTGAGGAATGCGGAGGGCAAGTTATCCAAGTGAGTAGGTGGCATTAAAGAGAAGAACTAGGGACGGCATCACTCTGCACCTCCATTTATCCATTTGCTTTCACTAAAATATGTACCACATGCTTCTGGGCATGCAGAAGTACATTTCACACTCCAAGCACTTGCAATCAAGCCAGTGTGATAAGATTCATACACAAATAAGCAAAACACAAAAATTCCATTCTGAGAGGTATAGCAAGTACATGTCACAGTGCTTAGAGAAAGAACTGATGCCTGCATGTGGTGGAACTGGCATTTGGCTGGGCCTTGGAGTGTGGGGGCTACTGGGGAGCAGAGCCTGCCTGAGAATCTAGGGCAGGGTGGCAGCAGGGGTGTTCGCTGTCCTACAGACAAGAATCTCCAAAAATGGAGTTCTGGCTTAAGGTGTTTGTCCTGGCTTATCTTTTGGCCACTCAACAAAACTTTCTGTGCCTCATTTTCTCTCTTCTTCCCATTTCCAAGCAACAAAACCATGTCCATCTACTCTTATTAAAAATCTCCAAGAGTGGTGTCTCATGCCTGTAATCGTAGCACTTTGGGAGGCCGAGGCTGGAAGATTGCTTGAGGCTAAGAGTTCAAGACCAGCCTGGACAACATAAGGAAACCCTTTTTCCGAACAAATAAAAATAAAAATTATTTTTTTTGTAGGTATGGCAGCACGCGCCCATAGTCCCAGTTGCTCAGGAGCCCAGGAGTTCAAGGCTGCAGTGAACCATGATTGTGCCACTGCACTCCAGCCTGGGCGACAGAGCAAGACTCCAGCTCAAAAAAAAAAAAAAAAAAAAAAAAAAAGAACCACAACATACCAAGTGAAGCCATATGGAGCTTCATGCAAGAAGATCAACATGCACCAGGTTCAAGGGAGATGCTAGCAGTTACAGCTCACAGGCTACCTCAGGTTTCTCTCTTTCATGTGCTTCTGGCCTTACCCAGTAACAGCAACTCTGAACACTATCCAAGCAAAACGTCATATGCTTTGAAGATGCACTAGTATTTCAACAGGCTGAACGTTTTCCAGAACAAAATCTTTACCAAAGCTGCTAACAAGCAGTCAGATAGACTGCCCTGTGAGTGTTCTCCTCCAACAATGAACCAGCAGAAAGGTCAGCAGCCGGAAACAGAAAGAGGAGAAGGGTCCTAAATAAACACAGTTTAATCAACCGTGAAGAAACCTAAAAGTTGCCCGAAAGTGCTTTGTTAATGGGAGAAGCAAGGCCCCTGCCCTCAGAGAAAGGCAAGGAAGGTTGAAGGTCACTTCAGCTGACCAGAGGATGCCATGGCGGCAGCGACATTCCCCGGTGGGAATCTCAATGGAAGACGCAAACGCAGAAGAGAAGGAAGGGAGAGGAGAAGCCAAAGGTGGACCTTTTCCAAGGACCTGGCAAGCAAATGTTCCCTAGAAAGAAGATGAAAATTTAGGTCAATAAGAAGGAAAGACACTGTTTTTAGAACCATTATGACGACTTCAGAGTTGGTTCTCCTTCAGGCTTTTGTCCATCAAGTCTGTCATGTCTGATTCCAGACTCCTCAGGATATTTGAAAAAAACTAATTTATTTGAATTACATCAATGTCCTTTACTTGCATCTAAAAAATCAAAGTCAAGCTATGCTGATATGTGAGAGAGAATTGAGATGAATGAGGGCTGACTCCCAGTCTCTGCCCCTGTAATTACTTTCTTTGTAAGCCTGAATACCCAATCAGATGGACGCCTTCTGAACACATTTTTTCATATTTATGAAATACCTTTGAACAATGAAATCTGGAAACTCTGGCAACATCTGTGTCCAAATATATCCAAGTGTGTTTATGTTTTTAATTGAAGATCAAACAATTTTAGATGAACTCATCTATGGTATCATAGAAACTGCATATTTTTAGGTAATTCTTGAGAGCATTTTGCAAACTATTAAAGTAACTTGATATCATGCTATATCTTTAAAAGATATTTCTCAGCTGTGAATACTATTGGAATGAAATCGGGACTTTTCAAAAAAGTCTGCAGCATGAAAAGGTTTGCATATGAATTCTGATTCCATTAGAAAACCATTTCTTTTAGGACTGTTTTATCATTCTCTATTGGTTCATGTAATATGATTGGTTTGTTCTTATTCTAATTAAAGATGCAATTTATTAAAGAGTCTTTAACTTCACTAAGGCAAAGTTTAAAAAGCTTCTAATCAGATATTCTTGGTAGGCAGGAGAACTATAACCTTCAAACTCTCTGATGTTGTATGAAGCAGCTCTCATCTCTACACAAAGATTTTCACTTCTGTGATCTGGCCTGGTAAAACATTTATTCCTTTATACTCAGTCCTAGTTTGTTTTAGATCTGGGCCTCTGGGCCCATTAATTTGTATAGGATGATAATTTGTATAGGAAGACAGGTGTGCTGTTTTTCTTCAATCCTTGAGGATATTAGGAAAAACTTTAACCAATTAAGGGATCCCATCACCTGACGTTTCTTTGGGGAAAATGACTTTTGAAGGCATGTGGGGATTGTCAAGGAAATAATTTTCCCTTTAAATTACATGTTTGTACGTAAGAGGAATGCTGAGCAGGATATCAAGAGGCAGTGGTCACTCATGGCACTATTTTCAAAGTTAGTTAAACAAGGAAACCAACTCACATTTCCCCAGTTTAGCTTTTCATTTTTAAAACTTGCTGAATTCAGGTACATCTCGATTGCTCGTGGTAATAAAGGAGACATTAGGCGTGGATAACAAGACCGCAAATGGTGAGTAAAGCAAGACACCAGGTATCATTTCTTTCCTGTTTATTAACATTCACTCCAGGCTGTATACTTTGGTTACCATGGTCGCGTGGTGTCTGATGTCACAGGCCAAACCATATAAAATCACAGAGGCCACAACAGGCAGGAGGAGCGGCCTGGCTTTGTCTGAGTCAGGCAGCCCAGCGTGTGGGATGCCAGGCTGGATGTGCTGGGCCTGACCAGCCGCCCGCTTTCCTCTTCTCTTGCCTCTGCCTGCCCCCTGGTGGACAGCTGGGGTAAAGCATGGGAGTGCGCCTTTGGGGTCTCAGTGGGGCTGAAATACGACTCCTCCCCTAGGACAGCCTGCCTTCCCCAGCCTTGTTCTCCGGCAAAGTCAATTTCCTGGAGAATCGAGGCTCTGCCTCAGATGTTCGGAGCCTCCGCAGGATGAACACCTCCATTTCAATTCCAGGGGCTTTGATCAACCTGTGCCTCCCTTGATCCCCAACTTGTGGGCACCTTCCCTTGAGCAGTGCCCCCACGAGGTACACCTTTCCCGGGAAACAAAAATCATTCCTTCTTTGGGTCCTGCAAGCTGTAAAGAACCAATACAGCACTGTGCTACTGAACATGTTGCCACTATAGAAGCCCCTTGTGTTTTGAAGAGTACATCTCTATAGCCATTCGTTTATTCATCAGAAACCAGCTAGAAGCCAGGCCCTGTGCTGGGCGCTGGAGACATGGAAGAAACTGGGCTGAGGCTCCCGCCTTGAAGAGCTTGTGGCCCAGGGAAGGGACAGTTCATCTGTCATTGATTGCCACGTGACAGTGTCTATGATGCTAAAAAGATGCCAGTGCTGTGCTGCAGGAGCAAAGGCCGTGGAGGAAGAGGCTTTGGCTTTGTTGCGAGTCCTTGCCAGAGCCAGGCAAAGCCAGTCACCGCTTTGTTCAGATGACTCAGGTAAATAAATGAGGCCGCACAGGCTGTCCTGACACCACACACCTCTAGAATACCCTGGCTGTGCTGGGAGCTATTGGTGTCAGCTGAGTATTTTCATCCCTGTCCAAGTCACAATGATCTGACTGTACCAGCCTGTGTGGATGTTGCTAAGAGGAGGCAGACAGCACCATGAGCTCCCTTAGATGACGATCGGCATGATGTTCCTGCTGTGGCAGCGCTCAGCTCTTGCCAATGCTCTTCTCTGCTTTGCTCACTTTAAGCCTCCCTTAATTTTTTTGAAGCCCAGTTTCCACATTGCTGATTCACAGATATGCAAGACTCAGGCAGGAAAAAAAAAAGGTAATTATTTCAAATGACTCAGGCGCCCTCCTTGACTCTGGGATCTCTGTACAGACTTGCACTTTAAAAGCTGAGGGTAATGATGTTGTCATTTGTATAGGAAAGGCTGGAAGAAAAACACATTAGTGTTCTTCCAAACTCTTGACTTTTGGAAAAAATTAGCATAGAGAGGATGGATGCTCAGCCATGGCCTGACATCGAATGCCTAATGCAGAGGTGAAGACACCTGCACAGTCCCATGCACTGGCGAGCTTCCTGGGGACAAGGGCAGTGCCTTGATCACCTCTCTTCCTCGTGCAGTAAATGTTTGTTGGATGAATGGTTGTCAACTCTAGTCCTGTCAGTCCTCCCTGAGCCCTGAAACAGAAATTAGGAAATAATAACAATTAGCAGGTCCTATACTCCTAGATTTAAGATTTTTGAACAAATAAGGGAAAATTATTTGCCTGCTACAAAACTGCTAAGAGAGATGACAATGAAGGAAGGGTGGGAATCATCTAAGGGAAAGAAGAGGGGAATCAATTGCTCCACCAGTGGCTTGCTGAAAAGCTTTCCACACTTGTAGAAAAAAATCCCCCACCGCCAAGAGTAGAGGCCCCAGCAAGGGCAGTCACAGCAATGGTGGCCGTCAGGTGCCCTATGCAGCAGAGTGGAGCCATGGGCAGCAAGTAGATCATGCTGGGATAAAGGCTGTGGGGGCTGTGCTAGGGATGGCAGTAACACATGGAGACTCTCAGTAAGGGGGCCTGAGGTGTCATCCACCCCCAACTCGACCATTCCTCCCCTCCCCAGAGAAAAGCCAGCATCAGCATCTAAGGGAGGGAGGGCTAGTGTGGCTGGATGGGGTGGCAGGGGTAGGAGGCACAGCCAAAGGCTCTGGAAATCAGCTTGAAATCTTAGGTTTTCCCTGAGGCTGCTATAGCTTGGGGGAATGGAGTTACATCTAACTGTAAATGTTGTTCACACTCAGTCTAAAGAAAGTCCAAAAGTCATTTTAGGATGGTGGTGTACTTCAAATTACTTTTCTATGCCCCAGTTTTGGGTTCCATTAAATTCTCATTCTTCCCGCATTTCTGTTTTTCCTCCAGGTACCCTCAAAGAGCACCCATAATTCATTCATTCATTCATTCATTCACTTATTCAACAAATACTGATTGAATCCCTGCTCTTTACCAGGCTATGCTAGGTACCAAGAATATAGGGTCAGCAAAGGCAGGCATGGTCCCTGCCTTCAAAAGGAGAGGACCTTGATCAAACACACACACAAGTTAACATCATTGCAATGTGTGGGGTCCTGGGTATATAATGAGGGGATTTGGTTAATAAGGGACGTCAGGGAAATCTCTGAGGAAATGATGAGTGAAATAAAATCTGAAGGAACAATAAGATTAACTAAGCCCAGTGGGTCCTGGGCAACCCCTAGAGTGGGGCTGCACATGTGTATTCAAGGCCATGAAAGATGGCAAGTGTGACCTGAGTGCAGACAGCAAGGAGGTGAGATTCTCAATCAGGCTGGGGAAGGCCATGCACGGGGAGCCACTGAAGTGTTGAAGTGGCCAGGTGATGTGATCCAATGTGCATTTCAGAAAGAGTTTGATCTCCCTGTGGAGAACAACTTGGAAAACGTCATAACTAAATGTCATTAGACCAGTTAGGAAGCTATTTGCTGCAGGTGAATTGGGGTCCAAGAGAGGAACAATGGAGGGGAAAATGATGATGGGGTAGATAGGCTTACAACATATTCCACTCCTGAAAGATCTTCCAACAGCCTTGCCCTGCAATGAGCCCTTCCCTTCATGGGCTAGATCACCATCTGAGAGAAAAGCACAACCTTCCTTTCCTTCAGCTTTGTCCCTAAGGATGTCTCTTTAACTTGTCCCTTGGGATGCCTTCATGGTTTCTTTCTAGCTTGCTCAAAAAATGAAGTAAAGCATGTCCATGATACCTGGGACATATCAACTTCAAGGTCATGGATTGAAATGATGATAACTCAAATTATAGGACTGTCAACTTTCAAGCCCCCCTGACCTTAAGTGATGGATCAAGGGGCTGGAATCAGATCAAGAGAGCTTCAAACCACTGCTGGCTGCTAGAGCATTCAATCTGCTGACTGGATGCTTAATATAATATATAATATAATATATAATATAATATTGGAATATATATATATGTGCATATATATGTGTGTGTGTGTGTGTGTGTGTGTGTGTGTGTATAGTCCAATTACCCAAAGTGGTCTTCTTCCAAACATTTTGAGGATGCTGTAATAAGATCCCTGCATCAGGTGAAAGTGGAACTAGTTACCAGATGTTCTCTTCTGCCTGGGATCCCTGCTCCTGCAAGACAGTCAGTAATCCGTTCCAAGAATGATGTTTTACCATGGTGCTGTGCTAGGCACCAGGGATTGGAAGATGAAGAAACATTTCCTGTGCTCCTGGAGCTGCAGCCTAGCAGGCCTACCAATAAGGACAGCGCCATGGGATATGCTGCAGCACAGGCGGAAGCAAAGCGCTGTGGAGACCCCAAGGCCAGATATAGGAGCTCTGCCTGGCTGAGTTAGGAAGGTTCTCCAGAGGTCACATCTGATCCAGGTGTCAAGGGATGAGCAGGAATTTATCTTGTGAAGAAGAGGTGGCTGGTTGTTTCAGCAAAAGAAATAGCTCCTAAAAAGACACCTGAGAGTAAGATGTGCCCCAAAAGTGTCCCCAGGGGTGATAGAGAGGCTGTAGCAGGAGGTAAGTCTGGAGACAGAATTCTGGTGGGGTTACTGGAGCAGGAGGGTCTGTCTGCTTTAGGGAATATACTGTGTTAGTTTTCTATTGCTGCATAGCAAATGACCCCAAAACTGAGACGCTTAAAACAGTCAACATGTGTTATCGTATAGTTTTCATGGGTCAGGAACACAGTTGTAACTTAGCAGTCCTCTGGCTCAGGGTCTCACAGGCTGTAATCAAGGTGTCAGCCAGGACCAAAGGCAACTCAAAGTTCTACCAAAGGAGGGTGAACTTCCAGGTTCACTCCTGTGGCTGCTGGCTGGAGACATCAGTTCCTTGCCACATAGGCCTCTCCACGGGGCAGGTCCCAACATGGCAGTTGGCTTAGAGAGAGACTTTTTGTAACCCAATCTTGGAAGTGACATCCCATCACTTTTGCTGTATTCAATTTGTTTAAAGCCAAGCACCAGGTCCATCCAGCCCACGCTGAAGAAGAGGTTACATGAGACAGAGAATACCAGGAAGTGATGATTACTGGGGGCTGTTTTAGAGGCTGCCTACGGCATATACCAAGAGCTATTTATGGCCTCATTGCAGCATTATCCCACTCTGCATAAATTATAGAGAAAGACATATAATTTTATTGCATATTAGTTTTTGTTGATGGGTACATTCTGGTCCCTAGGAGCCCTGAAGAACAATGTGCTTCATTTCACAGCTCTCCCTAAGGATTTTATACAACCCACTTGGCACTCACACTGTTATTATTAAATGGATTCAGCCAAAAGCTGCCTGTGGGGGTAGAGATCGGTGGGAAGGTAGGGCGGCAGAGAAAGGAAGTGCTCAGGACCCCAAATTGAATAAAGAAAAAGGTCACACGCCAACTGCAAGTTAGAAATGAATCTGAGTGAAAGTAAGTATCCTGGTTGACAGCTCACACATGATGCCAACTTGCCACAGCTTGGCAGCGCCTTTGGTTTTCCCACATGCAACTGAAAATAGCTAGCATTCATCCTGAGAGAGTGCTACTAAAATAAGTAACTACTTGGAGCTATACCTCACTGCTCATTCAAGCTGGAAGCTGTGTGCAATTATTTTGCTGAAATTAGATACAAATTAAGTTGCCACTTCCGGAACTCTTTCTCCTGTGCTATATTACAAAAAAGAAAGTGATTTTTGAACTCGGATAGCTTAGATGTTGCTTCTTAAAAATAAATGTAATCTCTTGACAGAATATCTAAAAAGACAGATTATTGATTTTAATCTCTCAGGAGACCTAACCTCTTCACGATCCAGGTTTCCTGATTTTCAGACCTGAGTTAAGTTGCTATGGATACAGAGTGACAGGCCAGTGAAGGAAACTGGGGACAGGGAGTGGCCTGCCCACAGGTGAGATATACTGTCTTTAAGCTTGTTAGGGATAGAAAAGGGGGCTAGCCTAGAATTGTCCTCTGGGACATAAGGTAATGGTCCTGCTCCCACTTTTTAAACAGTGGTTTGAAAGTTTTCTCAGGGTGTGCATACATTTGGACGTACAAGTTCTGCTACGTTTTAAAAAGCAAAACAGAATAAACAAACATATATGAAAACAAACAATAATAATGATAATCTGGGGCTTTCCTCAAACTTGGCTGGAAGTTACTGGCACACAAATAGTAGAGGTGTTTGGGGGTTTTCTGCTATGAAGGAGTCCTTGATTTGTACTATCTCAATAAAGCAACCTTCTTTTGACCTGCCTTTGGAAGAAGTAGGTGAATTTCTAAGAGCCCAGCTGTGCTGGACCCTAGGAGGCTGTCAAGACTCCCAGGGTAGGAATGTTCCTCCACAACTTTGAATTTCAATTTCCCTTTACAAAAGGCAAAATTTGTTTTATTCCCCATTGTTGGAGACATTAGTCATGGATGAAACAAATTTAAAACTCCCCCTATGCCCTGCTTCTTGCCCACCCCACACATTCCCACTCTATATCCTCATTCCAATCTAGTGAATCTTAGAAATGACACATTGAATGAAGAGCTTTGCAGGTAACCTTCCCTTCCTAATGAAGTTTCCTTTTTGCGGGGTTTTGGTGTGTGTGTGTGTGTGTGTTTGTAGTTCCATAATTCTCAAATGAAAAATTGCTAAAAGGTCATCTATACAAATCCTTAAGATGGTGAACCTCTACAACCTTACTTTAATTTTAGGAGATATTTCATTTCATGCCTTAAGTTTTGCAATTATTTTCAGTGTCTCCTTTTCCAGACTTCTTAGAGGACTTGGAAAGAAAATGAAATGACGTTGAACGAAATCAAAGTAAATTGAGTGATCTGAAACGATTTGATGTCAGCAAGAATTCCCCATACAGCTCACAGCCCTACCCCGAGCACGCCTCCCTCTTGGGTATGGTGAGTTCAGCTCCAAATTTATTCTGACAAGAAAGCACAGGCAATGGCTTCAGTGGGTCTAAATCAGGTGAAAATTCAAAGCAATCACCCTTCCTGGACAATCTTCTGCTTTCTCAGTGCTTATCATGGTCTGAAAATTCCTATTTAAAGAAGCAGAGCTTTCTTTTAAGTCCTAACAGAACAAAGTCACACTCAACAGTGCACAGGCACACGCCGGGATCGAGAATGCATTTTTGGCAAAAAGTCTCCTCTTTTCTCTGTCTCCTCCAGCTCTCTGCAGGCCCAAACCTTGCAGAAGCCATTCCATGTTTCCTGAGCAGGAAAAGACAAACTCAGACCGACAACCTTGGACTTCAAAAGACTGCACACAAGGGGAGGAAGGACTGAGAGTACCAAGGCGTGAGAATTCAGAATGCTGCTATCTCATTTATTTTTACCATTTAGGAAACGTTTTGATCTGCATTCCTTTTCCCTTCCCTGATTTCAAAAAATAAAAATAAAAATGCTTCGGTTCTGAGGAGTAACTCTCCAGATGGAAGGGGAAGATCAGGGGATGAATGGGGGAGGGCTGCTTGCGTCCTCTCCCCTGCCACACACACGCTCTCTGTTTCAGCCAGTGTAAAAATAGCCGCCCAGGTTTATGTATTCATCCCTAAGCTGCAATGAAGCGCCTGCCTCCCGGCCAGAGTCCGCTGCCTTTTAGTAGCTTATAACATCAGGTGACGCCTCCAGCCCTCCCATTCCCCGCCCCAGCCCGGATAAACGTCCTCCGTGACCTTAGAAGTTTTCAGTTTAATCAGCGGTATCGTTTTTGAGAGGAAAATCCTCCCAGCTTTGCGGGCTGGCAGGGCTCTGGGGCCCTCCCCTGCCTCCCAGCCCAGGCCGCAGAGCGAGAGCGTTTCCATCTGTGCTGCGAGCGGGAAGAGCCTCTCTGTGCTCCCCGGCACGTCCAGCGCGCGGGCGGGAACACGCTCTCCTGTGGGGGGCAGCTTTCCCAGGGACCTTGCCTAACGAGGGCCAGGCGGCTCCCCCGTGGGCCCCGAATGGCTCCTGGCAGGCAGACCCCTATCCCTGTCGAGAGCACTGATTTCCCCAGCGTCGGGGGAGGCAGCCGCGCCCTCCTGGAGCGAGGCAATCCAGCGGTCAGGCGGCGGCGAGGGCCTGCGCGTGCGCAGAAAAGAGCTGCCTCCGCGCCAGGCAAGGGGCGCGAGGGCGGAGGATGGAGGGCGAGGGCGCATGCGTCAGCCGTGCCGCTGGGGCCGCGTAGGAGAGCTGAGCTGCTGGGTCCTGCCGTCAGTGCAGTTTCTTGGCAGCACGTTGGGGACACTGCGCCATGAGAACAGAGCCACAGAATGTTAAAGGCACAGCCTCCTTCGAGGGCATTTGCATAATGCCTCCCGTTTACAGATGAGGAAATTGAGGCCCAAAGAGGTGATGGGAAAGGCCCAAAGCTGCATTTCTGGCTTCTGGCAGCTGGGACCAGATCCAGCTCGTATTGACATGGTTTAAGCACTTCTTCAATGAGCACTTATCAAAAGCCTAGATACTGTGTACTCAGTGTCTTGAGTGGCAGCGAAAGATAACCACGAATACGTCAGAAGCAGTGTAGCCACGGCTGCCCTGGATTTGGGCATAGAATCAGACAGACCTGGGTTTGATATGATGATTTCCAGAACCACACTACTAGTTGGATGGCCTTAGTGAAGCAGTTAACCGCTCCATGCCCTAGCTTTCTGGTCTGCAAAACGGAGATAAAAATAGGCTAGGGTCGTGGGATTTAAATGAGATAAGGTGCACATTGTTTAGCACAGTGCCTGCGCATGGAAGGCTCTCAAATAAATATTCGTGCAATGTTTTGAGAAGTAGAAAGTGCTAGGCACGTAGGCGTTCAGGAGACAGTCACGGTACTCGTTTCCAGACAGAAGTCATGAGGAACAAGAGGGAAGGTGCTTTCCCGTGTGCAGCGCTTGGGGAGACTCACACAGACAGAGGATCTGGCATGACAGGGAAAGGAGGAAATGGCTTCTGTTAATCTCTCCTTCAGCTTCTCCCGCCCTTCCCATGCACTCTTCCTGTTTCCCTTTCCAGTTCTCACGGTGACTCAAGGTAGGTGGCTGCAGAGAGACATTGGGACCTCTTACCAGGGAAAATATGTTCTGTAATCTGGCATAATTTAAGTTTTAAGTCCCATTTTATCATAGGGGTTCCCCTCCCCTTTACCTAGGTGTGATAGGCACAAGAAAAAGGAATGGAGTTAAGTGGATAAGTGACTAAGGTGTCACATTGGAGTAGTGTGGATCATAGATCTCAGAGCTGAAGATCATCTAGGTGGACTCCCTCATATTAAAGAAGAAGCAGTGAAAAACTGTGAAAGGCAAAATGACATCAAGTTTCAGACTCAAGTTGGAGCCATGGTGTTCTGTAGCACCATAGTTCATTCATCCACTCATACACACTACTCTGGGTGGATATCTGATATACTGCCAGGTACAAGGTTCTGCCTCAGTAGGCAGGGAAAGGGGAAAGGAAATAGAAATCCGGGAGGATTCTCGGGTTCTTTGTGCAGCTTCATGGATGTTGATACCATTTACTGTGATTGCAAGTAGAGGAACAGAAATGGACCTGAGAGGAAGATGGCATGTTTTGAACATGGGTTTGAGGTGGCTGTAGGACATCCAGGTGGAGACCTCCAGGAAGAGTTAGGAACATGAGTTCCAAGCACAGGAGAGAGGCCTGGAGGTGCCCACTGGGGAACAGTCAACTTAAAGATGGTCACTGAAGCCAAGGCAGGGCTGGGATGGCCCAGAAGAGCAGGCAGAATGAAAAGACTATGAAAGCATGAAACCCAAACCTGACAGATACCAGATCCTAAGGATCAAATAAGAGATCCTGAGGAACAGATGGAGAAATGGAAAGAAAACCAGAAAAAAGTGGCATCAAGCAGTTCACATCAAGACTCTCCAGGTTGAAGACGTAGTCAGGAGTGGGAAATGCCACCGAGATGTGAAGCAAATGAGCACCGGAATATGTCTGTTGTATTTGACAATGAGGAAGTCATTGATTACTTGTGAGACATTGGTTTTAGTGGGGATGTGAGGGCAGAAACAAAATCACACTAGGTTAGAAGCAAAATGGAGTCAAAGAAGAGAAGAGGCAGGGGTAGTGGGTATAAACCACTGCTTCAAGAGAGTTGGTTAGGCAGGGAGGGGGAAGTTACAGCTAAAAGGGGAGGCAGGGAGAGTTTCCTTTATTCATTGTCGTTTTGTTTTATTTGTTGTGTTTTGTTTTTGCAACTATGGGAAACTGGAACGAGCTTATAGGAAAGGGGAAGCAGGAGGGGTCAGCAAGGAGAAATAACTTGGAGTCTCAGTACAACCCCCAGCACCACCACAGGGTGAGTGACAGAAGAGGGGATTCTGGCCCCAGATAACCCAAAGGAAGGGATCCTCTTCCTTGGTTATTTTTTTTCTACCACTGGAAAGGAAGAAACGTACATGGGAGGTTTAGAAATGGACTTGGGGAGCTCTTTAAGCAAGGTTTATCTGTGTCAGGATCTAACCCTGGCAGTAATCTTACCATCAAATGCATTTAATCAGACCCATTTGCATGTGGAGCTGTGCCCAGTGCTATTCAAATAATGTGAAATGGATACTGTTATTACCATGTCAGTCAGGACTATGGGTAGCAAGTGACTGAAACCCAGCTCTAACCACGGGATCCATGGGTTTGCTAAAAACTGGGTAGACTGGCTTTAGGCCCAGTTAGATTTCAGGTGCTTTAAAGGTGTTGTCATGTATGATAGGCATAATGTTTTGAAATTATCAATGTAGTTTTCTCTTTTGCCTTTCAAAGCATATGAACTTAGTCTACTCTAGGCATTTATCTGCCTAGGAAGAAATGAAAGTTCTTTCCAGAAAGTATGCAAAGAGAAAGAAAACATAACACTCAGCTTCTGGCATTCAAAAATAAATTTTGTAGCAAGGCAATAGCCATGTAATTCAAGCCCTTACCTTGAGAAAATATCCTGTACATTCCATTACCTTCCTCTTCAGAGGGTCAAGAACTGAGCTTGGTAGACTAAACCTTAGGGTTTTATATTCGAAAGGTCTAGACCAGGAGAAAGTGGGGATTATCAGAGGACAGAAGTAGCAGAATAAACAAGAGGCCTGAGTGGAGAGATTGTATTGGAAAAGTAAAGCTTAACCACAAAGGCAGAGGGAGATCGTTCCCCCACGCCCCCTCCAGAATTATGAGAGGAAGAGCCCAGTGTTGGTCGGGTAGCAGCAGGCCCTGCTATGGACTTTTCAAGCTCTGTCAGGTCCCTGGGAAGGCTAGATTCTACCCAGACATAGCAGAAAGCCTGTAGCCAGCTTGCCAGAGGTGATCATTGTAGTGAGGTGACTCAGTGGTTTGGGCTGCCGAGGAGACCCCTGGGACCAGGGTTGATAGGAAGTCATGGACAGAAGTCGGAGTCTGTAGCAGCAGGAAAAGCAGAGAAGGAGCTAAGCCAGTCAGGAAACACCTTTGGGAGCACTGCTTCAGATCACCTCAGATGGACACAAGCTCCCCATCCACAGACCCCCACATCAGAGGCTTGCAGTGCACCCAGGACAGACAAAAAGTGGATGTTGTCTCAAAATAATCACATACAAGGCAGCTATGCTCAAGGACCAGTACAAGGACAAAAGTTCCCTTCCTCTCAACACCATGAGGACACAGAAAAGACACACACCACCATACTACCTCCACCCCAGCACACCCTACCTGGATGACGATCAAAACATTTAAAAATCCTTACAGGCTCAGGCGCTGAGGAGTATAAATGGAGATGTCTTACTATGTCCAGAGTTAACCCTTTAGTTGATGGATTATGAGGAGCAGGGACCTCAGGGCAGAACCTGTTTACCAACTGCTCCATGCATACTTTAGTATTTTATCAATGAGGGCAGCCATAATGCCATGTACCTGTTGAATATTGGCCATGCATCCAGATGGCATCTTTATAGGAGGGGAAGGAGAAAGAGGAAGCCATCTGAGAAAGCGAGCATGTTCTCAATGGGGATATTGAATTATTGGATTGAATCAAGATTTAAACCCTAACTAGTGAAGGACCAGACTGGTTATGGACAAACTAGAGAAATTACATTTTATTGGCACATCCAAGTTGCAGTATGAGTTGAATTTACCATCTGTCAGCTTTCTTTGTGTTAGTTTCACTCTCAGGTAGAAGCTCCAAGCATCAGCATACCAAAGGGCAAAGAATCTCTTTCTTAATAGTGCCTGCAAAATCCCAGTCAGGCTCACATTGGCTTAGCTTTGGTAATGTACCCATCTCTGAACCAAGCCCTGATTGGCCAAGCCCAGGTCACATAACTATTCCTAGCGTCATGAACTGAAAGTGGAGTGAGAGGTGGCTCCCCTAAAGAAAATCAAAAGGCTGTGAGCAGAAAAATGGGGTAATGAATGTTGGGTAGGCAGGCACAACAGATAGAACCACTATTGCCTTCTGGAGTTTAACTCTCTAAAACTCAGAAAGCACAGTATCTCCATGGCAGGAAATGAATTGGCACCTGAGCACTTATTCATACATCGATCAGTGTAGAAAACTAACTTTGAAAATCATAAAGCAGATTTATTTTTCCCTCTTAAATTTTCTTCCCACACTGATTAAATTAATTTTAATAATTAGAGTTGGGAAATATAATCAACTAAATATCTAGTATAGTTTAAAGCTTGGTATAAGCTATAAATAGTTCCACTTAGGAAATGCTCAGTCTCCCTTTTTATTGATGTGAAGACAATAACTGTTTTACTTTTTCTCTGTGTATTATTTTCTCTTTTTTAAGAATCACCTTCTTGTTGGGCATGGTAGCTCA
Organism: Homo sapiens; assembly: GCF_000001405.40. Lineage (NCBI taxonomy): Eukaryota > Metazoa > Chordata > Mammalia > Primates > Hominidae > Homo > Homo sapiens. Next base: position 157,093,893 of record NC_000003.12, read on the forward strand.
CACCTGTAATCCCAGCTACTTGAGAGGCTGAGGCAGGAGGATTGCTTGAGCCCAGGAGTTAGGGGCTGCAGTGAGCTATGATTGCACCACTGCAGTCCAGTGACAGAGAAAGACTCTGTCTCTACAAAAAGAAAGAAAAAAAAAACCATAGAATCAACTTCTCCTAAATCCAAGATGAACTGCACAATTAATTTATTGCCTATTTTTAAAAAAGGTTTTTGTAATAAACAAAAGTTAATTATTCCAGATACAAAGAGATCGTAATGGCAGCATCAGCTTTTCTTCACAGACTCTTATTTTCAATGTCACAAAACACTTCCACATAAATTTTTAAATCCACATGATTTTAAAATCAGCCCTAAGTAAAAGGAGATATTTAAAGTCTAGAAAAAGGAAACATAGTCATCAGTTTTACTCCAAAATTTATGCTGTCTTTTGGAAAGAATATTGTTTCATAAAGGATATCTTGATATTTACAATATATAAAACTTAAATCTCAGAATTGAAAAACTCTTTGGGAAAAAAAGTATTAATCATAATAAAGGAAATAAACTCATCATCCTCTAGTGTCTGAGTCACATAATTAATTCAGAAGGGGCTGGCTTTCTCTGCATGTGGGATCCCAGGTATTCATTTATGCATCAAATATTTATCACACCCTTCATAGCTTCTCCGCACTGTGCTGGGCACTGGGGATGTGAAGATGAGTGAGACAGGCTCATGTCTGGGAAGAATGGAGACAGATGGAGAACACAGAGCTCTATGCTGCGGGTATAAGGGCATAATGAGGGCTTGCAAGAGGAACAGTTCGTTTTCCGGGGGTGATGGCTCAGAGACAAGCTGGGATACTAAGCTGCCTGAAGGGTTTGCATTTCCCATGGTGCCCAGTGCAGTGCCGAGAATGAACTTGTAGACCCTTTATTGCTGTGGCTAAGATGGAGGAGGTTTGGAAATCTTTGACAGCTGAGCCCTGTGACAGAAGAGAACAAGAATTCCTGGTCCTCCCAACACCTCGGTATGTGTACTCTGGTGCTGATGTTCAAGGTCGTGGTCATTCCAGTCATGCATTCAGCAGGCAGTCACTGAGCACCTACCAGACACTGCTCAAGCAAAGCAGACTAAAACCTCAAGGAGCTTACTCCTAAAGTAAGCTATACGTTTTGCTATATATTGTGTATCAAAATGCTGATTAATGCTATGGAGAGAAAGGAAACAGGAAATGGGAAAGCAGGGATTATAGGTTGAGGGTTATGTAACATGAAATGGGGTCTTTAAGAAGTCTGAACTGAAGACAGCTCCCTCAGTTACCTAAGCACCAACAACTGTGGCTGGTGACACATTAGGAGCCCTGCAAAGAAAGTGGCCAGCCACCTAATCCCAGAGTTTCCAGGAAGTGGCCAGTTGGAGCCAAGACAGGGTGGTGTGCATCCTCCTTCATACCCCAAGAGTTTTATTATGTGGTGAGTGGAGCTGGTACAGCCAGAGTCTGAAGCAGTCGAGAGGGCATGCCTGGGAAGGTAACAGTCCTTTGTTCTGGAAATGATGAGAAGGTTTGTTTAGATGTAGTCAGGTCCCCAGGCAATGTCTTCTGGGGAAGAAGAGCATCCAGCTCCCTAAAGGAAAGATTTGGCAAGGCCAAGAGAGAAGGTCAAGGCCCTGACCAAGAGAATCAGAATGGAGCATAGATGCCACATCGCTGGAATGGGCTAGGAGGAGTGAGCACATGGGGTACAGGCCCCATCTTTCATGGGCATCAGGCTACAGCTGGGAGGGGAGAAAAGAGAACTTAGGGTCATGTGTAGACCTTTAGGCTGGAACAGAGGGTTGGTATAGGATGACCAGGTTACAGGGGCTTTGGAATCAAGTCAAGGAATATGTGTTTTTCTCAGATCTACTAACACTGGCTCAGGTGTATCTTTGCAGTAGCCAGGACTTGCTTGTTCTGTCATCTGTGTAAGCACCACAGTTCTTTTCTTTTCCTTTTTCTTTGGAGGGGGGGTGGGTGGGATGGAGTCTCACTCTGTCACCCAGGCTGGAATGCAGTGGCATGATCTCCACTCACTGCAACTTCCAGCTCCCTGGTTCAAGCGATTCTTCTGGCTCAGCCTCCCGAGTAGTTGGGACTACAGGCGTGCGCCATCACACCTGGCTAATTTTTGTATTTTTAGTAAAGATGGGGTTTCACCATATTGGCCAGGCTAGTCTCGAACTCCTGACCTTGTGATCTGCCCTCCCTGGCCTCCCAAAGTTCTGGGATTATAGGTATGAGCCACCCGTGCCTGGCCCCACCACAGTTCTTTTAACCATAAGCCAAATAACAATGAAATAAACTGTCAGTTCCCTGGGAGGGCAGCTAGGAATGGGAAGGAAGGTGAAATGGCAAGGAATCCCCGTTTTTCGTGCCCAGAGTATAATTCTCAGTGGAAACCAAGCAGAAACAGACTTAAACAAACCCCTGGGGAGGAGAAAAGCATGTCTAGTAAAGAGTGACCAGCGCAGTTTGCCCTCCTGTATGAATACCAGGGTCACAACAACGTGTCATGTTGCCACTTTGATCACAGGATTTTGGTCAGAAAGAATGTGGGATTTGGACTTTGAGTTTGGCTCTTGACTGTCACCTGTTCAGTGTGTGACCTTGGGTAAGTTTCTTTACCCTCTGAGCCTTCGTTTCCTCATCTGTATAGTGGGAATGTGCAATCTGGAGTCTGTGCTAGGATTCCGTCACATCTAGTGGACTAGCAGGGAAACCCTACAGGGATCTGGGAAAACTCCCTTCTTGAGGAAATGCAGGGAGCTGCGCACAGTGGGCTCACCAAAAGGTGAAGCATCATACTGGAGAAAGGAGTAGTTTTGAGTACACTGTGGTAACAGGGGCGGAACCCCATCCTTCACCCTACCCCATATCAGACCCATGTCTCATTCCTGGGCAGAGTTGTCACTAAAAGCTAAAGGGACTATTTGTTAGTGCTTCATAAGACACTGGAGTACAGGGTCACTGAGATGAAACTCCTATAAATGAACATAAGAGAGAAAAAGGCAACTTTTCCACCTGACAATCCACAGAGCAACTTTACCAGAGTGAGATGGCAGAGCAGAGTAAGGGACAGTGCCTGGGCATTGATTTGCTGATGAGCACATGTAAGACCTCCTACCCCAGGAACTCCCCAAAAGTGCAGGGTAGAAGGTGCTTTGCAGGGAGCTAGGTTCAAAGTGAGAAATGGTGGTAACAAACTAACATTTAGATTATTAGTCTTGATGTGACTTTATTTGTGCATGCGTAGTGTATCACACAGGGTTCTCTAGAGAAACAGAACCAATAGGACATATACAGATATGTAGAAGGGGATCTATTACGGGAATTGGCTCATGCAATTGGCTCGAGAAATTCCATGTTATGCAGTCTGCAAGCTGGAGAACCAGGACAGGTGGGGGTATAATTCAGTCTGATACTGAAAGCCCCAGAACCAGGGGAGCCGATGCTGTAACTCCCAGTCAGAGGCCCAAGGTCTGAGAACGCAGGTGACAGCTTATGTAGAGAATGCAGCTTATGTAAGTCCCAGAGTTGGAAGGCCCAAGAACCTTGAATTCTGGTGTTGGAAGCGAAAGAAGATAACGTCCTGGCTCCAGAAGGGAGAGCAAATTCACCTTTCCTCCACATTTTTGTGGAGGCTGAGGGCCAGTTGGATGCTGCCCACCTGCATTGGTGGGGGTGATCTATACTTAGTCCACTGATTCAAATGCTAATGTCTTCCAGAAACACCCTCACAGACAACCCAGAAATATTGTTTTATCATCTATCTGGATGCCCCTTAACCCAGTGTGGTCGACACAAAATTAACCATCACACCTGGTGGGGGAAACTTGGCTAATACCTACCTCATGGGAATCAAACAGGATGTTCCCAAGCATGAGCCTGGACATGGCAAATACACAGTAAATGGCAAATTCCCTCACAAACCATCCAGGGAACCCACTGGAACCATTGCAGAATGCTCAGAACATCTCCTGGTGTGTTTGGGGATTGGACAACATTCTTGTAGCAAATATCTTTAATCAAAAAGTAACTTAACACATATCTTTGAGCATGTATATGTTCCAGTAAAGTATACATGCTAAGAGGGGTTTGAAATTATCTTTTCTTCTCAGCACTTTACAGTTTACAAAATACTTCAATGTGAATTTTAGTCACGTTAGCTCTTGCAACAACTTAATAATGTAGGATCCCCACATATAAATCAGAAGATTGCATTTCAAAGAGGTGAAGTGACTTGTCCTTAATAACCCAGCTAATAAGGGGTGCAGCTGGACTCAAACCTGGTCTCTTTCCATTAAAGTCTGGTAGAAAACTAAGACCAAAACAAATACAATAATGACAGAAAAAAAAAAAAACCACAGCAAATACGAAAACCTGTGGTTCTGACTCAAAGTGCTGGAGACAAAGACAAATGTCTGTGGCTGGACATCCAGAAGGAGTCAGCTGGGACCTGAGCCGATCTAACTAGAAAATGAAAGGGTGCTGCTGAGGACAGGGAGGCAGGGATGGAGGAGGCAGGTTTCCAGTGGGACCTCACCTGGCACCCCTTGAGCTGGCACCCACCTTTTCACATTTCACAGAGCATTTCTACTGACCTTTCCAAAGGGCACTGCACCTCACTGCTCCCAAATCTCTGAAAGTCAAAACGGAGGCTTTGCTCCTGCATCACTGTCTGGACCATACAAATCACCTCTTGTGACTTTGGCAACTGCTGGTCTCAGGGTTTGTATCCTAGTCATTTCTACTTCTTGGAGAATCATTTATGACATTCTAAAAGTATAGAAAACCATCTACTGAAATGTGTCAACATTAAAACATTAGTTAGCTAGAAATGATGCTCATTTAAGTTACAGAAAAAAACAACAGACAGGAAAAGACATGAGCATTTATGGGCCAGCCTCTGTACTAGCATCTCTCACACTCATGATCTCTTGTTATATTCACTGCAATACAATTTGGGAAATGGTATCATTCCCACTTTGACAGCTGAGGAAATGGACACTCAGAGAGGCTAAGTAACGGCTAAAGTCACACAATTAATAAGCAGCAAATCTAGGATGTGAATCCACGTCTGACTTCAGGGTATTTTGCAATATACCACAGTTTATGGCCTGTGGAATTCAAATGGAATTAAGAGATGACCAGTAAACATAGTTTCATTGCCAGTAAAATTCTTGACTTTGCTTTTTTATTAATTCATATTTACTAACAATGCAATTTCCAAATTACCAGCTTCGGAAGAGTTCTTAAATCATTGAAGTACTCAGGATTCATGGAGTCCTAACAATTAGGATTTGACACTGAGAGAGATGCCACCAGAGGACCCACGTGGAGCTGAGTGACTCTAATGTGAACTTTCTTTTTTGACAGTTCTCTGTAAAAATGTGGCCTATCTTGCACTGGATGGAAGACAAGGAAGAGATTCTCAGTCAAACCTGCCTGGTTTCCTCAAACTCTGTTTAATACAAATGCCAAAGTTTGACACATTCTAACCACTTTGCTTTCTTTGGCAACTCCAACTTTGACAAGAGAGTAAGAATGTCTCCTCCTTGACAGGAACAACGTGTGAAATGAAAGACCTCAGGTGCTGTATTGGCTCTTGACAGCTCTTCAGAAGAAAATACCTCCTGCCTGTTCTGTTCAGTCCTGGTGCAGGTGAGTCACTGCCTTGCCAGCCAGGCAAGTATTTTAAGAAACAAAATCTAAGCCAGAACCAGCAGAGAAATACGAGGGATGGATTAGCGCCATTAGCTTTGATGGTGTCTTGTTGTCATGGTGCTAGGAAAATCACTATCATTTACAGTCCCACTCACCAGCTGTTTTGCTAGAATTTTTGACATGAGAGGCTGGTGGCCACCCTAACACAGGCGTGGGACATGGGTGTGCACACACACGTACACCTGCAGCAGACACCCACTCTAGAGGGCTCACGTTGGTTGTCTGGGACGTGATTCAAAGGCTGTACCCATGTGTATGACAATCCTGTTTCCCGTACATCAGCTTCCAGGAAGCCAAATGACCCACCGGCTTACCCACATCGCAGGAAGCTTTGGAGCAGAGTCAGTGACTATGTGAACCTGCCTCAACCTCTGCTCCCTGGTTCAGCATTTGGCTTGGGAAAAATGACACTATTTCCTGTCTCTTAAACATTATTTCAAGGCACAGGTCTTCCACCATTCTGAGAGGCAGGGGGATCTTTGAGTTCTGCCAGGAGCTGGGGGTTAGGGGTAGGGGAATCCCGCCCAAGGGAAATGACTAGAATCTTTGTCAGGCTGTGGAACACAGGCATTTCTGGATAGGTGGCCTCCCCTGTGGCCTCTCCTGGCATCTACACTGCAAAGTCCCCTGTATCTACTGAAAGGGGTGAGGGTGGGGGCATTCATTGGTACTGGGAGGCAAGCTTTGAGTGGAAAGGAGCTTCTCTCGTGGCCCTCCAGTGAGCCACACTAGAGGAGGCCTCAGATGCATGGTGCTCCCTGCTCAGACTCACACTTGCCTGACTCCCTCCTTCGTGCTCTTCCTTCGGCTGCCCTTACCTGGGGGACTACAGTGGCTGTGGGGGTGCAGCGGGGGTTGGGGGGGGCGGCATACCTCACTACCTGGCTTTTCCCAAGTCCCTTTAATTAAGCCAAATCTTTGTATGAATGTAAAATACAAGTAGGCTTTATCCCTGGGCCCTGTGCTCCTCTGCCCCAGATTCTGACTCAAGGGCTTGGAGCAGACTTATTTTTACTAAAAGCCCAAGTGATTCGATTGCAGGTGGTCCTGGACAACACTTTGAAAAATGCTGGGGCAGAAACAAGCCAGCAAGCATATGGGATTCATCTGCTGTGAGTGATAATTTATCTAGTTTCTAAAAATAGTGTTATAGGCTGGACTGTGTCCCCTTCCTGTGCCCCGCCGCCATGCATATATGGACGCCTAGTACCTCAGAATGTGACTGTATTTGGAAACAGGGCCTTTGAAGAAGTAATTAAGTTAAAATGAGGTCATTAGGGTGGGCAGTAATACAGTATAACTGGTGTCCTTATAAGAAGAGATTAGGACACAGATGCACACAGAGGGAAGACCATATGAACACAGAGGGAGAAGACAGCCACCTGCAAGCCACAGAGAGAGCCCTTCAAAGAAACCAACCCTGCAGACAATTTGATCTCAGGTTTCTGGCCTCCAGAATTGTGAGAAAATAAATTTCTGTTGTTTAAGTCACCCAGTCTGTGGTATTTTGTTATGGCGGCGAAGCTAACGAACACAAACAGAAGGCTGATTTCACTTAATAATCATCTCAGAAGGCAGAGATTGCTTCAAACTATTGCATAAACAAGGCTGGTTTGTGAACCAAAGGACATGAGCCCCAAACCTGGAGTCGCAGAGGCAGCATGACAGCACAGACAGCACAGCTTCTGGTGTCAGGCATTCCTGCACTCAAAGTCTCAAAGAACCTTCCTCCCTAGCCTTCCACCTGAGTTACTTTAGACAAGGCAGCTGTTATTTTATTTAACAAATATATGTATACAGTGCTTACTATGTGCCAGATAATAGTCTATGCACTGTACAAATACTAAGTAATCTAATCCTCATTATAACCCTGTGATAGATACACTGAAGAGCCACAGTCCCTTATTCAAACCCTTGTTTGGAACCAGCAGTGCTTGGCATGTCAGAACTTGGGGATTTGAGAAAGATATACAGTATATGTACCATAGGCTTTATAACACCTCATGGCATCTGCAACAGCATCCTGTTATGAAACATACTAATGGTTCTAGTTTCTGTAGTGACACATATATATGTTGCATAAGTAAAGACTGTAAGTATCCTTGCGTCAACTCAAGATACAAGGATACTTTTAGTCAATGTGCTTGTTTCAGGTCAGGTTTTGCTGCCAAATGAATTATAAATCCATTTTTTCATATTTTGGAGCTTTTAACGTTTCAAAATTGTGGGCCTGTGTTATCCCCATCTTACAGATGAAGAAACTGAGGCACAAGGAGGTTAAACAACTTACCCACATTCATTAGCTCATGGGAGGTGGGACTGGGCCACCAACCCCCCGGGTTTTGCAGCCTTGCCGTGAGGACCCAATACAAGGTAGACTTCTGGGTTGAATTTTGTCCTCCAGAATTCATATGTTGAGGTCTTAACCTTAGTACCTCAGAATAGAACCTTATATGGAAATAGAGTCATTTGAAATATAATTAGTTAAGATGAAGTCATTAGGGTGGACCCTAATCCCAAGTGACTGGTGTCCTTATAACAAGGAGAAATTTGGGCGCAGAGGCAGGCATGCACACAGGGAGAGCACCATGTGAAGATGAAGGCGGAGCTCAGGGTGACACTTCTACAAGCTCAACAATACCAAAGGTTGTTAGCAAACTGCTAGAAGCTGGGAGGGAGGGGCATGGAACAGATCCTTCCCTGCCAGCCCTCAGAAGGAGCCAACCCTGCCGACACCTTGATCTTGAATATGTGAGACAATACATTTCTGTTGTTTAAGCCACACAGTTTGCAGTGCTTTGTTACAGCAGCCCTGGCAAACCATTACATGATCCTTACCCAGTGCTGGATTCTGAGTGGGAGATCAATAAGTGGTAGCTAGTCATACTTACTATCAGTATGACTGAGGCCTCAGACTGTTCATTGAAACATAAAGTCAGTAAATTATTTCTAAGACCTCTTTCAAGTTCTGGGTCTAATTTTTTATGTTTATAACATGAAGATAATTCAACTTCACTTGTACCCCCAATGGCCTGGCTCTTATAGCATTTCTTTGCTGTTTTAAAAATGGGAGCCAACCCAAATGTCCATCAATGATAGAGTGTATAAAGAAAATGTGGCCCATATACACCATGGAATACTATACAGCCATAAAAAAGAATGAGTTCATGTTCTTTGCAGGGACATGGATGAAGCTGGAAACCATCATTCTCAACAAACTAACACAGGAACAGAAAACCAAACATCGCATGTTTTCACTCATAAGTGGGAGCTGAACCATGAGAACACATGGACACAGGGCAGGGAACATCACACACTGGGGCCTGTCAGGGGGTGGGGGACAAGGGGAGGGAGGGCATTAGGACCAGTACCTAATACGTGTGGGACTTACAATCTAGATGACGGGTTAATGGGTGCAGCAAACCACCATGGCACATGTATACCTATGTAACGAATCTGCACGTTCTGCACATGTATCCCAGAACTTAAAGTAAAATTTAAAAACAACAACAACAAAAAAAAGATGGGCTAAGCTGGACACAGTGGCACACACCTGTACTCCCAGCTACTTGGGAGGGTGAAGTGGAAGGATCCCTTCATCCCAGAAGTTTGAGACCAGCTTGGGCAACATAGCAAGACTCTGAACAATAGATGGGCTAATGTAAATGTGGTCTTAGAAAGCAAAACAACAAGCCAGGTTCAGTGGCACATACCTGTAGTCCCAGCTATTCAGGAGGCTGAGGCAAGAGGACTGCTTGAGCCTAGGAGCTCAAGGCTGCAGTGAGCTATGATCAAGCCACTGCACTCTAACCTGGGCAACAGAGCAGTACGCCATCTGTAAAGAAAAATGCAAAACAAAACAAAGAACATTAAAACCGAAACCATGTGGGCCCTAATTTGCCTGCTGATGTTTCTGCTTGCATTGTGAATTCACTCAGTCCTTGGCTTTTCTGAGTCTCTTCTGCTTGTGTCTTCAGGCCTGTGGAGTTAAAACCAGTGTGTTCAGGCTACAGATTCTGCAAAGGAAAGCAGAAATCTAAGTTAGAGGCTCTTTTCTGTGAGTTAAGAGTGTGTTGCTAGAACCCTATTTAGGCTTGGAACATTTTGATTCTTCATGTGGAAATTTGTCCCAAAATTGCCACTTCACTGAGGAGATAAAAGCTGCTTTAAGAGAGCAGCTTGAATACTTTTTCTGTTCATAGGACAAGGCATGGTTGGGCCCAGTCTAGGGAAAGAGGTAAAATGATAAAAAGTGTTTTTTTGAGATTTAGTGACAGGAATGCCCATTGTCAAGCTAGCTTGGAGCTTTAAGCCTCTGCCCTTAACACTCTACCACATCAATTCAGAAAAGGATTTGCTATGGGTGGGGTGTGGCCCCAAACTCTCATCTGTGGAAACAGGACCTCAATGACTTTGTGTGTTCAAAGAATGGACTTTGGGTTTCCTTCCAGCATCTGATTGTGGCATGTAGTAGTGGTTCTTGGGGCTGCCTCTCTGACTCCCTGTCAGTCCCTCAGCCTTTGTCCAGGAAGCGGCTCCCAGCTTCTTTCCTGGAAGCACTTTTGCACCAAGTCAAGGGGCCTCTCTCATCTCCCCGCAGCCCAAGCCCCTCCCAGAGCCAGGGGTGGTTTTAGCATTTGCTTACGGTTTTTCATCTTTGCTCCTTGTTCCTGGATACCCTCTCCTAATTTTAGAAGTGTGTCTTCTCCTATCAGTGGATGCAGCCCAGTGGAATTCCGTGGGGATACAAAAATAGTTGCAGGATGGGGAGTATCACTTTTTGGTTGGTGTTTCTATGCAATAACAAATGAGAAATTTAAATAAGCAAAAAAAACCTGCCTAATCAATTGAACTGCTGGGGAGTAGAGATCACATATTGCTCATTTTTGAATCCCAGGTGCTTGGCACAAAGTACGTGCTCAGCACATTATTTGTTGAATGAATCCATCTTAGTTTTCTTCCTTCTTCAGAGAGGTGCTCTGACATGCATTAAGTTTAAACGTGGTTGCACAAACAAAGTTGGAAGATGTTTCTGCTTCATAATAGCTGTCATGAGTCATGTCCAATAAAAACGTCCTGGGATCAGGAGGAAAAGGACACACAGTCCAGATCCAGCTCAGCCATCACCCAGGCAGCCCCAGGGTCTTCAGCCTCCCTGTGCCTCGGTGTCCTCCACTGCAACAAGAAGGTCATAATTTCTGTTCTGCCTCCCTCACAGCTGGTTATGAGAATGTGGCAAGAACAGACATGAAGAGATCATACTGGAGGTCCTACTTTTATTGTCATTATTATTACTACATGTAATTGTAGAGTTGAAGTGCTCATAATTATTTTTTACTACCTCAATCTCTTTTCTTCTCCATGAGCCTTCAAGGACCAAAGCCAGGTTTACCTCCTACCTCAGCTGAAGAAATGTCCATCCTGGTGAGGACTTCTTGCAGCTCGACCATCTGCTTGCTCAGCAAACATTTTCTGCATCACAGGTGGAGACTGAAAAGTTAAGTTGTGGAAGACTAGCTAAAAAACAGTTGTTTGCTGACACAGTTCCTGTGCTTGAAGCTACTCAGAGCAGAAACAGTAGGGTCTTCTCACCCAGAGACTATGCTCCCCAACAGAAACCTTGAACCAGCTAGAGAGCTCTCAGCCCCAGTTCTGCCCAGAACAGGCCCAGGAGGTGAGGAGATTTGTTAGGGGCAGCCAGCCAGGGGCCAGCAGAGAGGCCAGGAACCGAAGCCTCCTGATTCCAGGCCGGTTTTTACTTTACTCCCCATGCCTCTCAGTGGGGGCATTGGTAGGTGGTGCTTTGCTTCCTCTTGTGTCTCGGTGCAGATGCTGTTGCTAAGGTAACCGGGTAAGCATAAAACAGAAACAGCCCATAGGGTCTTGCTGCCTCCACCTGTGTGTCCAGACAGTTTCCCATCCCGGCCAGAGAGACACAGTCAGGCTTATTGATCCAGGCTGAGCATGTGTGTTGGAGCCTGGAGAGAAACGCCTGATCTGTGTGGCAGCCTGTATTCTCTGAACATTCTTCCTGGGCATGGTTTTAGACAAGATGTTAAAGATGGAGACAGATGATGAGGAATTGAAATTGCTTTAGTATACCAGTTGTCAGTGTGACATGGCTAAAACTGTCCAGGGCCTGGGTTCTTGACATATCCTTGGTTTATTCAGGGCATCTGTAGAATAAGAGGGCTGAAAGTACGGCCTCAACTCTGAATTCTGTGTCTAGCTTTCCTGTTGTACCCCAAGATGGAACCCTCCAACTTTCAGACAAGGGACTTTCTTAAAGAGCTATGTGATACTGTGTGGCTGATTTTCTCTTGTTCCTGGGAAGGGTTAGCTAATTAGTGTGTTAACCAGGGTCTTCCTTACCTCTTTTTCTTAACCCTTCCCTTAGTAGGCCCACCAGGGTTGGTCCCAAAGGAGAGAGGAGAGAACATAAATGAGCCAGTTTGGCTGCAGTGACAGCTCACAAGATGGTCAGATCATGGAGAGGGACTGAAATTCAGTCTAAGCTGCAGAAAAGGAGGAGAAGCGAGTACAATTCCTTCATTTCCAACTTTAAGTGGCCCCTGGGAGAAGCAAAGCATGTCCACATTAAGGCTGGACCTCACTTAGGGACTCCCTGGCTTAGGATCTCACTGTGACTACATCCCCAGTTTCTTTGGGGTGCACGTTGGAAGAGGCAGATCGGTCCTGGTAGCTGGTCATAGAACGGTGGCCTTTTGAGATCTGAGAGAAGCATGAGATGCTGCAGGGGGCTAGAAACCCAAACCTTGAAATATGAAATCTGCCACCCTTACAGGGGACCACACACACTAACTCAGCCCCTCTCAACAGACACACAAACTTACCACCCACTTTCCAGGCAAATGCAACAGCCAGCTGCTCCCTACATGTCCTTTGCTTTTCTACCACTGTCCATTGCCACCTCTCTCCACTTAGCAACATCTATCTTAGACAGGATACATTGGTTGCAAGTTCAGAACCCAACTCATATGAGCTAGGGAAAAGGAGGGCACAGCTGATATTTGGGAATATCTGGAGTCAGGGGCTCAGAGTTCACGACAACTCTCCCACTCCCACTCTCACCTCTTCTCTCCACTTCTCTCCAGGTGCCTATTTCATTCTCTCTCATGGCATACTGATTTCGTCCACATTGCAGGAAACACGGCTGCCCAAATCCCTCCCTGCCACACCCACATACAGGAACCTCCTGAATTTAACCTCTTTAGGCTTTCACTAAAGATATTGCCAGCTTTAAATCTGAAAATCCCAGGTAAGACTAATGAGTGGCTGGCCTTGGTCAGGCGCCCACCACTGGACTGTCAGGCAAAGCAGGGCGAGGGCAAGCTCATAGCATGCAGTTCCTATGGGCTGTGGGGAGAGGGCTGTGGGGAGAGGATACTTTCATATGAGAGAAGAGTGGTAGGCAGACAGCCCCACAGACATCCACAGCAAGGCCTCCCTCCAACTTTAAGGCCCAATTCAACAAAGTTTCTCCAGAATCCTCTTCAGCTCCACCTGGACTGGAAATAGCCTTCTCCTCTTCTCCACCCTTCCAGTGTCTTCACCTGTACCTCCCCGTGCACTGAACACCTGTTGACCACGTGGTCACTATTTGAATAACTTTTCCTATACAAATACTAATGTGTGTCACTGAAGAAAAAAATTGGAAACATAAATAAATAAAGAGAATAAAATAAAAACCACTCATAACTGCCATCTGGAGATAATCACTTAGCATTTGGGGGTGTTAGCAGCTGTTAGATTGATGTCTTTTTTTCTCTGCCTACATTCAGCCCTTCAACATCTCACCTCTCTGTGCTCCCCCAGAATCACCACAGTGCTTCCCATTCAGCGTGGGCTCCCTTTGAGCATGTTAAATAAGCAGTGAATAAAGGAATAAACAAACGGATGAGTAAATAGAAAGTCGGAGAAAAAGCTCTCCTACCCAAAAGTTGCCCCAGAGAAGGTATCAGGAAGGCAAAAGAAAGGTACCAGTCCTCAGAGGGCACAGACACCCCACCCTCCCCATTCCTTCCCAGCCTTCTCTGCTCCTATTGGGGCAGAATCAGTGCCAGAAAGTGAGTGGTGCATAGTGAACAGGCCGGGCCTGGGCCATAAACATTAGTGAAAATACTGTTAGGGACGGAAGCCCTATCCCTGCCATGTGACTTAGAAATGTTGCCCGTGGCTTCAGGGAAAAGAGGATTCATGGAAACAACCAAGTCAAGGTCACCACATGCATGCAATATTTTAGGCCCAGCAAGCAATGTGGCATATTCAAAGCTTCTGATGAATGGGTTCCAAGAAATCTGATTTTTAGCAGTGCTGTTGACACAGGAGTTGCAACAGCAACCCCCATGACTTGCCCCTCGCTGGGTTGAAGATTATCATTGATTTATCTGGAGCAGAAACAGCAGGAATCCACATCACGCCTTGGAAGGCAGCCTGGGCAAAGGCAGAGAATTAACAGATCTTTGTTATTAATTCCAATACCACAACTCCTCATGGGTCCGTGCAGTAAAATCACAGGCTCTCTTGACAGGAGTTTCTCTGTGTTTAAGAGGGCTAGTGTTTGTTTTGTTTTGTTTTGTTTTATGGGGCAGGTCCTTATTCTTAATTACAAAGACAATCCCAAATCACAAATATTCATTAATCACACACCAGCTCAAAACATGTTAGGTGCTACAGGAGGTGCAAAATAAGTAGCACAATCTCTATATTTCATTCATTTGAGCATCAAACATTTATTGAGGCCGTTCTATGTGCCAAACATTGTGCTAGTCACTGGACTTTATAGCACGGTTATTTTCCCTTTTAAAAGCGAAAAGATGAGGTTCAGGGAGGTTAAGCAACTTACCGAGCTTGCCTATAGTCACACAGTTTGTAAGAGACTTGGGATGAGAATAAAGGGAAATAATCTGACAGTTTGTTATTATTTTTATTATCATTGTAGTGCCATTCATGTAGCCTTAGAAAAACTCAACCTCATGCATTTGCATGAGCCTCCTTTTCACTAACACACAACAAGCCACAATTCATGTTGGGGAGTAGGAAAGTGGTTTGTGCCCATTTACTCTTCCTCCGGTGAACCTCCCAGGAGCAGCTGGTGTGTGCAAAACCAAGAGCCCATGGCCTTTGCTCTGTTCTTATGCACAGTGGTCTGTTGATAGCTGCCCTCCAAACAGCCCTGGCACAGGGGTCAATCACAGGCCCACAGCCAGCACAGATGAGCAGAAGGAATGCAAGTTTTGGTCTCCCAGCAGTGCTTTGCTTTTGACCCATATGTTTTTCCTTCTTGACCTGGAAGCAGCATTTGGGTGCTAAAGGAAAGGACCCTGAATGCTGGAGTCTTGCAGGCCAGGGTTTAAATCTCAGCTCAACCTCTTGGAAGTTGTGTGAACTTGGGCACAGCTCTTAGCTTCTCTGAGACTTCATTTTCTCCCCACTAAATGAAGGCAATACCCACCCTGCAGAGACGTTTAATAGAGGCAATAACTACCCTGCAGAGAGGTTCAATTGGGTAACATATGCACGATGTCTGGCACGCACTAATTGCTCATCAATAGTAGCTATTATTATTGTCCAAACTAGATTTCACTAGAAGTGAAGTCACAATTATTAAGCCATAAACTAATATGCATTTATTAAAGATCTATTTTTAAGTAGGATTGATAATGGTTGTGAGAAAAACCTTGCCCACCCCCTCCAGCAGTTAGGGACCCAGACAGGGAGTAAATAAAACCCATGGCAATGAACAAGTCACCAACAACTCAAGCATCTGAGACACAAGAGGCGAGAGATAAAATTTTCCTAGGTGTCTGCAACTTTGGAGATAAGGGCAGTGAGTGTGGGCAGATGGAGGCCCCAGGGAACCCTCTGTCTAGGCCCCCCTGCACTACATCACAGGTACCCTTCACAGGCCTAGTATCCATGCACTGTTCTTTTCCCCCCTTCTCCAGAGTTTGCTTTTTGGCTCATTCAGGTATTTTCCTTTCTGAGAGTCACTGGGGACTCAGAGCATCCTCAGGTTATCTGTCCTCAGGCCTAGCCGGCTCCTTGCTGGGTTCTGACCTCACCTCTGGCGTCAGTCTTATCAGGTGTGGACAGAATCGTCTCCCCAGCTCCTGGAGCTGCAAGCCCAGGATACTCCCCACACCCAGGCCTCATCCGGTATGATGGAGGAGGGCCAGGCACCTCTGGGACTAAACACAGTGGTCACCTGCCAAATCAAAATGACCACAGGGGTCTGCAAGCGAAGCCATGAGGCCCAGAATCAGGGAGGAAGGGTGGGGTTTACATAAGTGTTGACAAAGAACAGAGCAGATGCCATGCTCCGCCAAGCAGGAAAGAGGGAGGAGGATGCTGGGGAGAAACAGCAACCCTCTGCAGCCCAGGTCTTCATAGGGACACTAGCAAAGGGACAACAGGTCATGATGGGGATTTAGTGTCCTCTGGGAATTTTTTCCTCCCAGGGAACATGAAGATCCAGCTGAGCTCAGTCTTAAGAAATAAGTCTTAGGGTGACTGAATAGGAAGCGAGTGAGCTCACTGGGAACCAGAGAGGTAGACATATTGGGTACCTGGGCAGAGGTACCAGCTGCTCTGTGTAAACTCATATTCCATAATCAGAAAGCACACTTCATTTCTTTTCTTTCTTTCTTCTTTTCTTTTCTTTCTTTTTTTTTTTTTTTTTTTTTTTTTTTTTTTTGAGACAGAGCTTTGCTCTTGTTGCCCAGGCTGGAGTGCAATGGTGCGATCTCGGCTCACTTCAACCTCCACTTCCTGGATTCAAGCGATTCTTCTGCCTCAGCCTCCCAAAGTAGCTGGGATTGCAGGCTCCTGCCACCACGCCCAGCTAACTTTTTTGTATTTTTAGTACATACACGGTTTCACCATGTTGGCCAGGCTGGTCTTGAACTCCTGACCTCAGGGGATCCACCGGCCTCAGCCTCCCAAAGTGCTGGGATTACAGGCATGAGCCACTGAGCGCAGCCAGTACATTTCATTTCTATGGCACCTCTGGTTTGTTTAAATTTGTCGGCTGGCTTAAGTACTCCTTGGGGTTAATGGCTCAGGGGGGGTGGGAGTGGGTGAGTATTTAATTAGAATTCATTCCATAGGGGCCTCTTTGTCCTGTTAGGGTCAGCTCCGACCACTTGTTTCTCTGCACCGGGACTGCTGCCTTTATTGGACTTGTTAGTGTCTGTCAGTAAATGATAACTCATTTGAACTGTCTCCAGAATCACAGTGGTGCAGGGCGCAGAAGCTTCTCACATTGGTGTTTCACATTCTAGGGCTTAGAAGGGAGGCAGGGGTCAGGCCACTCCTCCAAACCATGGAGACTGCAAGCCAGAGAGCTGGCAGGCACCCAAGGAGCCAGGCCTCATCCTGGGGTGACAGAGAACCAAGGGAGCTGCAGACCCCCAAGGGGGCAAGCCTGGGACTGGCACCCTGTCAGCAAGAAACTAGTAGGGAACTGTGGGAATAGGCAGGTGGACAGCTGGGGTCCACAGAAATGGAAAGCCAGAGGAACAGAAAGCATTTCCTTCCCTGCAGGCTACATTCCACGTGCAGCCCCACTGTACTCGGACCTGTGAGCCACAGCCACGAATCTAGCCTTCAGAAATACTCACATCTGTGCAGAATGACAGGGTGCCACTTTGTTCATTGTACCATTGCTTGAAATAGCAGAAGACTTGGATCAATCTAAATCTCATCAATAAAAGTCTGATTAAATAATTCACAGTCTGTGCAGACAGTGGCATACTTCAAACGAAGCGCCTCACACTGTGATGGGGGATGACCTCCGAAATACATTGCTACATCAAACAAATACAACTAGGTTCAGAACTGTGTATTATCACTTGTTATTTCTTAAAAGGGGGCAAGTAGAGTGGGGAAGGGAAGAGAATATATATTTATGCACTTATTTATGCATAAACTATCTTTGGAAGGATTCCCAGACTGGTAATATGGTAATATTTTATTCCTCCAGGAAGGAGGGTGCCGGGATTGGGTGTGAGGGATGGGAGGGGACTGTATCCCAGCCCAGCCCAAACTTAGTAGCTTAAAGCAACCCCCATTCATCCAGCTCAATCTCTGTGGTTTGGCTGTGGTGGCTGGGGCCTCTCTGCACATGAGGACCAGGAGGCTGGTCCTGCCTTCACAAGGCAGCGTCAGAGTTCCCAGGAGCCAGAGACTCCTGAGCAGAGCAAGCCCAGTGCACAAACACTTTCAGACTCTTATTTGCATGATGTTTGCTGACATCCTTTTGGCGAAAGCAATTCACATGACCAAGCCCAAATTCAAGGCAGAGAAATAGACTCCATTTCTTAATGGGAGGAGCCACCAAATATTATGGTCACTTGTTTAAATCTACCTCAAGGTAGGGCAGGGATGATGACGGAGGGAGAGACTTTTCTCTTTTTAGCCTTTTGAACTTTTTGAATTTGAGTCATGTCAATATTACCTAATCAAAAATAACTAAAAGCTTAAAATTTAAAATAGATTCCCTGAGATTAGCTTCAAAATAATTCAGCTGTTGAAGGAGATGAGGCAGGGAGAGGGGAGAGTTGAGACATAGGCAAAATGAGATTGGCAGTGAGTTGGGAACTGCGGAAGCTGGGTGATGAACACAGGAAGGCTTGTAATAATCTACTTTGTGGATGCTCAAATTTCTTGCAGCAGGAATTTTTTTAAATAATAAAAAAGAAAGAACTAATAGCAAAAACTCACACTTACTAGACTTACATGGTAAGTGCATTGCCTGCGTCATCCCCTACAAGGTGGTCGGGACTCTTGTGGCCTTAACAACAGCTTTCTTGAGTGGCAGCTGCAGAGTGAGGCCACAGGGCAGCCTAAAACAGAGAGGAGAGCAGGGAAGAAAGGAACGTAGGAAGCTGCCTGCCAGTGTGGGCAGGACTTGTAGCTGAAAATCCAAGGATTGGGATGGTATTTGGTGGTGGCATGGAAGGTGAAAAATACTTGATTGTCTCAGAAACACACACAGAGCTTATGAGGGTTGGAAACAAGACGGGAGCCTTTCCAAGGATTCCAGACAAACACTATGGGGCATGTGAGCACATTTGAAGGAAAATGACTCAGTAGGAAATTTTCTCAATAGGTAGATTTTCTTGCCTCTTATCACTCAAAATGGCCACATGTGTGATCCTGGGCCTCCAGTCACCCACATAGCCTGGGCCTGGCGCTGAAAGGCTGGTCATGGAGCAGTTCTGAGAATGCTATTCTATGGCAGAGGAGGAAATCCTTCACCGTATCTTCTGAGTCCCTGGCCTCCCTAGCTAACCCTTAGAACTCTCTCCCTGTTCCAAATGTCTGCTAAGAGTTTTCCCAGAGGCTGTGGCTTCTGAAGCCATGTTCAGCCTCTGTGGAAAGCTCAGCTTTTAGGTGTGTTCCTGTGAATGCCAGTGCGTGCACCTGCAGATGCTCCTCCTGTGGCGGCTACAAGGTGGACACCTCTGTAGGGGAAGTGACTGTGGTACTTTCTAGGAATTTAGGGGTGTCCCCCACCCCAACTCTAGGCTAGGGTAGGTGACACCTATATCATGCCTTATTCCTGTCTTTATTGCTGAATCTCCACATTGTTTAAAATTGTTCATCACTATTCAAAGACTTAGTATTAAAGAATTACTGTTAAGTTTTTAGGTGTGATACTGGTATTGTTAAATTTTGCTTCATCCTTTTATTAAGGTATAATGTATATACTGAAAAGTGAACAAATTATATGTGTACAGCTGAAGAGATTTTTAAAAGAGAAAACACCTGTGTTGCCAGCCCGCAAGTCAAAAAAAGAGATCATCGCAAGCAAGATATTCATGTTGGTTAAAAAAGAATCTTTGTAGTAATATGTCCTTAAGGATCTACAGAGGAAATATTGATGTCTTGGGTTTGCTTCAAAATAACCTGGAGTTGAGGGAAGGCACAGACTAAACAACGTTGCTCACCAATTGATAACTATGGAAGCTGGTAAGGTTTCCATAGGCCTTCTATGTATTCTCTGTCTTGCTCTCTGTCTCACATATTTAAAATTTCTCCGATAAGATTTTTAAAACAATCATTAGAAGCCTTGGCTTTAACTGAAGCAGAGGTGGCTCTGAGGCATGAGGTAAAAGCTTAGAGGTGAAATTAAAATGTCCCTTTAGGATATTACTTGGTAATTAAGAATCTTTGAGTCTACTGGATTAAATATGTAAATAATCTATCTTTTTAAGTGGGTTTTTATGTGCCTATCTTCTCTGTGTCACTGAGAGCTTCCTGCAGGTGCTGGGTTTTATTCCTATCTGTATCCCTGCTGCTTATGTAGTACCATTCTTGGCACACAGGAGGTGCTCAGAAGTGCTTGCTGAGCAAATGAATGCTTGAATGTTATATCATATCCTATGACAAGGTCTAACAGAGCACCAAGGTGGTGTAGGTGCCCAAAACTGCTATATCACTTAAATTGAAATCAACACCACCAACTTCTTTTCTCTTTTGTAGTTGCTTCCAAACAATAAGTTGCTTAAATCCTAAAATATCAGAATTGAGAGGGACTTAAAGGTCACTTTGTATAACCTGCTTATGTTCTAGATGAGGAAACCAAGGTCCAGAGAACTAAGTGAACTTTTCAAGGTCACACAGCTGTTAGGGACAGAGCCAGAGCTAGAGCTCAGCCTTGTTGAGCCCCATCGGGCCTGTTGTTATTATATCATCCAGCTCCATGGCTGTTAATTTGACACACCCAAAATCCTATTTTCACAGGTAAAGAGAATTTCAAAGAGGTGAATATAATTTTCCCAAGGTCTTCGGTCATCGTGACTCCATAGCTCTATCAAAAACAGTGTTTGCCACCTTGGGTTATGGCCTTTACTTTGAGAAAATTTAAAATTCAGAAACTTTAATTTTAAGAACAGAGAGGTGATTATTCTCATTAGAAAGGACTTTGATGCACATTTTTATGCAAGAGGTGAATTCTTCTTTCAAATGTCTTTGAAATATGGGCAGATTTTTTAAACTTCCATCTACATCTAGCTTGTTAGGAACAAAGCAACTGTATAAAATCAGGCACAGCCCAAGCCATGTCCTGTCCTGTCAAGTGTCACAAGGGTACTTTCAACATTCCCAAGCCAAAAAATAAACCAATCAAAGATAACACACCAAGACTGGAAATAAATGAAAAACCCCAACAACAAACAAACAAAAAAAGTCAACCATTTCATAACGTGGTATCTTTTTAAAAAAACATATTCGTTTAAAAAAAGTTGTTAAATTAAAATGTTAAGATAACCATGCCTTATAATTTAATTTTGTTGTCTCTCAAAGCAGCATAACTATAGTGGTCTTTTGTGCCATTCATTTTCTGGGCTTTTCCATGCAAAAGTATGTTGCAGCTTTGTCCAGTGCCTTTTTCAAGCATCTTGTGACATTTCCATCCCCCTACCTAACAGGGTGGTCGGATTTCTTTGCTGTTAAGAGGATTACTGAGACGTTCCCCTTTATATAACTCAGAAGACTCCGTAAATAACAAGAAAGAGCAAACAAGAGATGTCAAGGAGAGAGGTTACAAGCAAGGGCTGCATTTCAGAGAAGCTGGCTAAGCAAAAAGAGGTCAAAGAACTTTCTTAATTGACACTGATAAAGCTGGGGATTGAGAAGCAGTGTCCTGGGCGCCATTTTCATGGGCAAGCAGAGGGGTTAGCTTACATTCATCCATCAAGTGTTAAGCTTTAAACCCAAGAACTTCGGGTGAGTCAGGGCCAATGACCGGTAAAGGAATGAGACACCTTATCTCTAATCAACCCTGCCTCAAAATAGCTCTCTTCCTTTGGGCAGAGACTCCCAGCACACTATAGTTCAGGGAAGTGCCTGAGCCACACTTAGTCAGAAAGTCAATGAGTACGCTTTGTGTACAAAGTTAAGTTAGACCTCTCTGCGTGGAGCAAGGCATAATTTAACAACC
The DNA here is from genome assembly GCF_000001405.40 of Homo sapiens. Classification (NCBI taxonomy): domain Eukaryota; kingdom Metazoa; phylum Chordata; class Mammalia; order Primates; family Hominidae; genus Homo; species Homo sapiens. Next base: position 157,115,612 of record NC_000003.12, read on the forward strand.
CTCACTATGGCTTGCATCAAATCAAGATGTTCCAGCCAGGAAGGAACTTACAGTTTACCTGGACCAGCTCCTCATTTTACAGATGAATAAACTGAGACCCAGGGAGATGGATGATTTGCAAAAGAACACCAAGGGAGTCAGTGGCTGGGCTGAGGGCTGAAACCCTGCGCTAGAGCAGACATTCTCTTTCTCTTGGCAATTCTGCTATACTCATCTGAAAAATGAATGAAACACTCATGCCCCTGGTCAATTTTCCTTCCGTTGTTAAGGAAATCATTGCCAATGCTCCAATAGTTTCTAAGTCAACACATTCACAGGCAGTTTTTGTTAAACCCTTTCATTGTGAGTCTCCCAAACTTCCTCTTCTATCTTCATACTTCAGAGAGCTTTACTTTTGAGGTTCACTGTGTGGGCTGCCACTGTTGTTCCTTTCTCCACTGCTGGGAGAATGTTACAAATGGGTAATTGAAGTACTTGGGGTGTTGCTCTTAGGATGGGGTCAGACAAAAATTGACACCAGCCTCATCAGCTGTTCACCCCTAACAAGGGTTGTGACTCACAGCTCAGGGACTGCTGTTTCAGAAATGATCTGTGACATGGCACAGCTCAAACATTCCTGCCTCGATGCTTCCTACACCGCCATTTGCATACTGTGTCCCCTTTGTGCGTCCGCCACACAGTATGGGCTCTGTCCAGAGCTATCAGAGGCACATGAGGTCTAAATAGGAGTGGGGGAAAGCCTGGAGCTTGCAAAAGACTGCTGAAAACTGGGCAAAATAATAAGGATTTAGGACATGGACAGACAAAGTTCTGGAATGTGCTGTTAGAAAAATGCCTGGCCCTATCTAACTTGAAGGAGTTTTGTGTCATGTTATTACTATCCAAGACTTTGTGTCAGAGACTGAAGAGAAATAAAGCACTAAGGGACAGGACATTCAATTTTGACACCCCTTCGTTTCTCCATGATTGTCATTTCTTAAATGTTCCACTTATTTCCTCCATGAGTCAACTGGGCTGGACTTATTGCAGCTCTCAGGTGGAAACTGGTCCTAGTTGTTCTTCATGCATGAGATTTATCTCTTCTAGCTAGACTCCAAGTTACTCTATAAAAGTCTCAGGGCTTTATAATTCCCGCAAGGTTTCCTACTGAGGGCTGGACATACAGGAGGTGCTTAATAAGTGTTAAATAACCATGTCCTGCTTGGTCAGCATCACAGTTTTAAACTCACTTCATGCTAAAGTCAGGTCATGCTATTCAGGTGCTCATTGCATTCATGAGAAGGCACAAGGGCAAAGAAGAATGATCGCCCGAGGTTTATACCCAGTGAATGACAGAGCCAAGCCTCAATCCCAGGTCTTCTGAAATCAAATCCAGTTCTCACTAACTCTTCTGTCTATCATAGGATGGATAAAGAAAATAGGCTAAAGGCATTTAGGTTAAAGCTGGTGAAAAGTGAAATCGTTCATTGCTGGGGGTGGAGGGTGGGGCAGGTCTTAAAATTTTTAAAGGACAATTTAACTGTTATATCCTCAGCTTACTACATAAGTTACACAAAGACTTCCATACATTTATGTAATTGTAACAGTGTTTAACTTTTTTCTTGCAAGAGTTCCATCATAATCAATTGGTTTAGCAGAATAAAAATTGGTTTCTTTTTAGCTGAAGAACTAAAAATAGGAGGCAAATTAATATTCAGCAAATGAGATGAATCTCTATGAGGTATGGCTTTATTGTTCTGATGAACACCAACTCAATGTGGTGTTCGAAATGTCTCAGTAACACCCATATTCATGTTCAAAGATGATGTCACCAAGGAACATCCACAGGCATTCACTGAGTGCACAGCACGGTTCTGGATGGCTTTCCAGAACCATCAGCTAGCTATAGGACCTTAGGTACATACTAAAGGACCCAACGTTTTTTTAACACCAACCATGTTCCAGAAACCTTGAAAAACACTTTGCATGTTATTACATTTAACCCTTGTGACAACTTTATGATTTAAAATGAGGACCCTTAGCAGAGAGTAGTCATTAATTTACTCAAAATGACATGGCCAATAAATGGCAAAGCTGGGAGCTGTATCAGATATTAGTGACTCCAAAGCCCATATTTTTCCCACTATACCAGAGCTTCTCAATCCTAATTCATATTAGTATCACCCAAGGAGCTTTCATATTGTAATGATGCCTGGGTCTCACCTCAGACCAATTACATCAGAATATCTGAGGATCTATCCTGGATGTTTTTTTCTGGATGTCTTTTCATCACCCTAAGTGATTATACTATGCAACCAGAGTTAACAACCACTGAACTGGGTGTGCTGAGACTCAGTGCCTTCAACTGTAAAGTAGATGGAGATCTCTACTTTCTACTTCTGTAGTCACCAGAAGGCTAATTACCCTGGGGCCAATAGCTGCCTGAGAAGCCCCAATCTGCACCTAGAGTAAGCAGTTGTCACCCATACTGTCAGATATTCTCCCAACTTTCTACTTAAGTGTGGGCTATGAGTACAGCTGTTTAAACTTCCAGGAATGGGACTCTAAGATATACAATTATTTCATATATTCATATATATGTGAACCCCAAATATCTGAGACAGATCTCAGTTAATTTAGAAAGTTTATTTTGCCAAGGTTGAGGATGCATGCCCATGACACAGCCTCAGGAGGTCCTGATGACATGTGTCCAAGTTGGTCAGAACACAGCTTGGTTTTATACATTTTAGGAAGACATGAGACGTCAATCAATATATATAAGCTGTACATTGGTTCTGTCTGGAAAGGCGGCACAACTTGAAGCTGGGAGGGAGCTTCCAGGTCACAGATACTTGAGAGACAAACGGTTCATTCTTGTGAGTTTCTGATTAGCCTTTCCAAAGGAGGCAATCAGATATGCATTTATCTCAGTGAGCAGAGGGGTGACTTTGAATAGAATGGGAAGCAGGTTTGCCCTAAGCAGTTCCCAGCTTGATTATTCCCTTAGTGATTTGGGGGCCCGAAGATTTATTTTCCTTTCATATATATATATATATATATATATATATATTTTTTTTTTTTTAAATCAGAACAAGGCCCTAAAACTCTAGAAAGATTCCCATGCCATTATTTTCTCTGTCTTTCTTTCCAGATATCAATCATAGCTATTTTGGTGAAATCCCTATTGCTCCAAACTATTTTAGTGCTGCCTCTCTGCCATCATGACAACAAAGGTCTTTTGAAAAATGTTCATAACCTTTGACCCAGAATTCTTTTAAGGAGGTAAACCAAAAGCAAGGAAAAAAAAGAACAAAAAAAGCTTTGGGAAGAAAGATGTTCACTGCAGTATTATTTATTATAGTGGAAAACTGGAGAAAACTCTTATGTGTAACAGTAGAAAAACAATTTAATAAAATATGAGGTAGCTTACTAAATGGAAAAATGCTTATTGCAAATGGTTTTTACATAGAGAGTTAACATGGAAAAATATTAATATTAATTCATGTTAAAATGCTGAATGAATGCAGGTACAAAATTACATAGTGATCTATGAGTTACATTACATAGTGTCATATCAACTATGTACGTCTTTTTATACACAGAAAAAAGAAGAAAAAATTATATTATTCCAAGGTTAAAATACCTAAAATTTAGAATATTTAGAATTGGGTTAAAGTACCTGAAATTGTTTCCACTATCAACCCAATTCTATATGTTTGAAGAACAGCATGTGAAGGTGGTTATGGAGCAGGCCCTGTCCAGAGAAATTTTATATCCGGCCCTGGGACCTCTAGGCCTGTATACACAGATAGAGGACTTATAAACAGCAGAGTTGAAACATGAGTGAATCTGAAAGAGCCAGTCCCTCAAGATGAATCCTGAGTGGCTACATAAATTTAATATAGAGCCAAACGGCCATTTACTGACTAGAGATTACACACTACTCTGAGTTCCTGGAAAACCCACAGTCGGCTTAACACTGGGGCTTTGACAGCTGACTGTTACCGCTCATGTGGCCTGAAGCAACGGAATAGGCTGTGCTCCCCATCAACCAATCAGGACTCAGCTGCATTGATCAATCAGAACCAAGCCAGTTTGAATTGTTCATTTGCATAAATGGACCTGATTGGGAACCCAGGTAGGAATTTTCTCTGTAAACGCCAAACTGTCTCTTTGTTCTCTTCATTTTACACTTAGGGCTATGTTTCCTCGTCTGTAAACTGTTCATTGTAATAAAGTCTGTTTCCTCTAAATTCCTTTTCAGAGAACTTTTGTTCACACATAAAACCACAGGTCACGTGATTTTTTTGTTTGTTTTTGGAATGGTATGCACAGATAAATTTAAAATTACAGTCAAGGGAGGGGTAGCTAAGACAGCCCAGTGACGATGATCAATTCTACGTCAGGAAGAAATCAAGAAGAAAATGGGGTTCACAAATGAGTTAGTAACAACCGAGATTTCCACTTTGAAAGTATCTTCACACCGTTATTTCACGGGATCCTCAAAACCCCCTGAGGTGGTAGGAAGGTGATTGTTGGTGTCAGTCCCATTTTGCAGAAGAGAAAAATGAGTGTCAGGCAGAGTGGCTCGCTCGGTGCCCTGGCGGCGGCAGCGCGCCAAGGCCCAAGGCCCCTCTGGTCTCTGGGCTTAGACCTACGGCAGGAGGCGGGGGAAGCCTGCAGCGCAGCTCAGCAGCAGGTGGCAAGCCCTCTACCCGCTGGGAACGTTCAGGGTTATCAGCCCGTGGGAAGCAAGGTAGGACCCGCAGCTTGCAAGAATCTGCAAGGTGGGAACGGCGTTCGGGATGTGTTTGGCCCCCCAAGGCCAAGGCACGAAGGGGTCCCAGGCGGGTCGCCAGCGGCGCGGCTTACAATGGCCGGTTCGACCCAGAACGGTCGCCGCCGCAAGGCGGGTGAACTTTCCCGCCCTATGCGCCTGTTTCCGCGGGCCAGGCCGTCCGCCCGCGCCGCGTGGCCTGCCTAGCTGCACCTTAGCCCCCATGCGCCGGGTAGGCCCGGGCCCCGCCGCCGCGCTCTGAGCCCGCGTGGGTCTCACAACCATGGCCCTCTTATCTGCTCCTGTGCTTCGGTGTTTGGTTTTCCCTGTTTGACAGACTGAACCTTGTACTTTCGCAAATAACAAGTGTTTGCTCAGCAATCCAAGCAGCACCGGCAAGATTGCAGGTGCTGCGGCGGGCATGAGAGGTCATGCATTCGGGATGCCAGGAGGTCCTGGAGTCAGGAGCCCTGCAGCCCCTTCAGGGATGCCAGTGGCTTGGGCTGAACCCCAGACTCTGCCCTCGAACTTGAAGGGAACTTGAAGCTTCTTTAGGCCAAGTTTTATTGAAGGGTGTCCTGGGACACAATTCAGTGACTAGTAAATTTTGGCCATCGGAAAGCTCTCTTTACCCTAAAGAAAGACGAATACACTTAATGACAATTATGATAATAATAAATTTAGAAAGGCAATGGTAATTCTTTTTTTCCTAACTTGTCTCACTCTACTTCTTTTAAATTCAAAACAGGTCCCCTTTTTGCTGTTGTTAAAAAGGATTTTTTAACTTCTGAAATTAAAGCAGAGTATTTCACTTTTGTTAAAAAATAGAACTTAATCCACAGTTGAGATTTTTGTTTTTCTAGACTTGAAAATCTGCTTGTAATTTGCACAAATGCCTTTCACTTCAAAACCTTTTATCCAAATAGAAGCACAAAGTTGTACTTGCCTTTCCTTCCACAGAAGGCGTTTCCAGTATCTTGCATACACAACAACTTGCTCAGGTTAAACATAGTTTCATTAAAGAGCTATTAAATGGTGCTCTTAAAGTTTATCTTTGCATTTTAAAAGGGGTATAGATGTTGCCAAAACAGCAAGGATAGCATGTAGGGTACTTTGCAGTTCTCTAAACTTTTTCCTCCCTGGAGTCACTGAAGTCCCTTCCTGGCTTAAGTCACTTTGGTACTCAATACAGTGTTTGTTTACATCATTTAGCATTATGCCCCTTAGCTTTACCCAGTGTCATTTTAAGAAATGATCGGGTGAAAAACAGCTTTAAATTATCTGTAAAATTGCCATAGATATTCATTATGTTGCTTCACATAAAAAATTCCTTGCAACTAATTTCCACTTGGACTTTAGTACTAGAATGAAGTTTGCCTATGTTTTCTTTTTTCAGTTAATGAAAGCTGTGGAATGCATGGGACTATTCTTTTTGCCTAGGAATCTCAGAACTTAATTTTGAGGATCCTCCTTAGCCTACATTTTCTGACATAGTTCTTACCCTACATCTCCCTTTCCCCCAACCACCATCAGATATTTCTTTCTCTAAGTTATTCATCCCATCTTTGTTTTAAGGTACCTATATATTCTTTTATGATTCCCTTTAAAAAATCGCAGAAGTAGGAAGATATAAAAATTAGTTATTCTAGACTTCCTCAAAATGTTCTTTCAATCTGCTTTTAAATGGCATATACAATCATTCTCGGCTTTGGCATTTGGTTCAGGTGACACCTGCAAGTTACCTTACCAAAGGCCTACCCAGAATTGTGTACAATCCCAGCAAACAAGGCTCTGCCCCTCTCAAGAGTACTCTCAAACAGCAATGCATATCTCATCTAATGCATTACTATTTTGTGAGTCACTAACAAGCTTCAGTACTTTGTTTTATTAGTAACAACTGACTCACAGCACACCTTGTAGCTGTGGAAGCCCCATCTGATACCCAGACCCCTGATGCAATGCAGCTGCTCTGAGATATGCCGGGAAACCACAGCTCAGGAATCAGTTCTTATTTTCCTTCAAGTAGCAGCACAGATTTCCTTACTTTCAACTGTCATGAGCTGAACTCATTTTTCAACGAAGCCTAACATCTGTGCTTCCTTCCATCCAGCAGGAAAACTTTATTTCCCCAGAACTTATTTCTTCAGTCAAAGGTGTCTGCCAGTTCTCAAGAGAGCTGTACTTACAAAGATGCCCAAGAAGCAACTGGGAAAAACTCTTTGGGGTTCTGAGGACCCTTAGAGGAAAAGCTGATGGAAAAGAGGAAGGGAGTGAATGTCTCCTGAACCCCGGCTCTGTGCTAGGCACTCCTTGGCAAATTTCTTTTAGCCTTACCAGCAGGCCTCTGATTTAGACACATTTATATGCATTTTCCCCATGAGAAAACAGGCTCAGAAGGGCTAAAGAGCTTGATCAAATTGCATCACTGTTGTCTTAGTCCATTTTGTCCTGCTATAACTGAATTCCAAAAACTAGGTAATTTATAAACAACAGAAATGTATTTCTCACAGTTCAGAAGGCTGGAAAGTTCAAGGTCATGGTGCTGGTAGGTTTGGTGTCCGGTAAAGGTTGTCTCCATTCATAGATGATGCCCTGGACACTGCATCCTCTGTAGGAGAGAAACACTGTTCTTCACATAGCAGAAGCATGAGGGAAGAGCTCTAATGACATGAACACCTCCCGTTAGGCCCCACCTCCCAACACTGTTGCCTTGGGAATTAAGTTCCAACATGAGTTTTGGAGGGGACAAAAATGTTTAAACCATAGCAACTTATTAAGTGGTGAATCCTGGATAATAGCCCAGTTGGCTGGATGATGGGGCCCATTCAGTGTTCACTATAGAAACTGCCCAGAGAGAGTGAGGCTGTTAATATGCTCCCTCAGACTGGTTACACAGAGTACCCTATAGTTCAGGCCACGTGCAGGGACTCTGAGGCTGCAGGGCCTGGGTTCAAATTCCAGCTCTGTTACTTGTGCATGACCTTGGACAAGTTACTTAATTTCATGGGATGCCTGTTTCATCACCTTTAAGATGGGGATAGTTGTTTGGAGCAAATTATTTAATCCTGGCACAATATAAGTATTCAACAACTGTTAGCTATCGTTATCCATTCATATCCCACTGTTATTTTATTGCAGGGTAAAAAAAATGATGCTTTCTTGCCCAAATGGTGGTGTTTTTATGTTGCCTATCATTTGGAAATCATTCACTTGGAATGGTAGACCTGGTAGTGGGGTCATCTTTGGAATCACCTAGACAGTTTTTTAAAATACTGATGCTTGTGTCCTACTCCTAGAGATTCTGATTCAGTTGGTCTCCTAGGCATGTAGGAGAAGGAAATTTTTAAATGCTATGAAATGCTCTTAGTGGTTCCCAAAGTCTATCCCTGGACCAGCAGGCTTAGTATCACCTAGGAGCTTGTTTGCTGGAAACACAAATTCCCAGGCCCCACCCCAGACCTAGTGAATCAGTTACTTTGGGAATACAGCCCAACAAAATAAGCCCTCTGCATCATTTGATGTCCATGAAAGTCTGAAAACCATTGCTCTAAGGGAAGGCAGTGCCCTGCAAGACTGCTTCATCCTAAACACAAGGCCCAAAGACTGATGCCAACCTACAGGGCTTATCTGTTCATTTACATGAGGCAATGTAGCTCTAGTATACTAGTCTCCCCTAGGGCCATAATATGCTGTGACTTTATCAGTGCATCCTCTCCTAGGCCCAAGGAAAGCCGGGTCCTCATCAGAAGTTTCTTTATTAAATGTTAAAAGATATCAGCTGTCCTTTGCCTTGGTTATGCTCCTTTTTCTCTGTTCCCACTATTCTGCCTATTTTCCCATAATCAACATAATCTTTCTCTGGTATTAATATACTTAAGGAGGTTTTAATTGATTTTTCCAGGCTATAGAGACACTCTGCACCTTCTAGGTGACTTTGTGTAACTCTGTTCTGATCCCTAATGTGAGGCTGTGGCACTCTCAGAGGGAGGGGTATTTCTTTTCCCCTCTTTCTTATAGAGGAACTCTCCATAGTGTCACATGCTTCAGCACCTGAGTCTTGCTCCTTGCTTCTGCTTCCTTATCCATCATTATTTTCTTTTGAAAATAAAGAAATTTTGCATTAAACATTTGCCTTCCATGTTTATCCAAATTATGTGGAACTTTTGATCAGAAGATGCTTCCCTAAGCTTACACAATCTATCTTTCATCTGATTAAAGAGAAACACTATTGTAGCTCCTAGTGGAACAAATGCCATCTCTATGTCTATGCATTTTAACTTCTCACAGAAAAAACACTGATGTTTTCCTCATTGGGTTGCATGTAACTACCCTCTAGGAAATCTAAACTAAAATTTTACAAATTCTTTTTATAATGTACTTATAAATAACTCCGCATCAGCTTTCAGCACTGAACAAGCAACAGAATCATCAAAACAAGGGCAAAAGAACAACAGCAGAGCATGAATGTGGGAGATGAAGCAGAAGAGAGATGATGTAAGTGAGTTAGCAAGGAGGGAAGGTAGGTTCTGAAATCTAGGCTAAGGAGAAGCTATGCAGGCAAGTGTTACACTCAGTCTTGGTGATCAAGGCAAAAAGGGAAACACAACAAATTCCACTGCCCTATAGCAGGCTGTTAAGGGGGGCTTTTCCTATTGCTGCAGAGTTTCAGTTGATTCCTCAAAACCAAAAACAAGGGGTGTTATGTGCCCACTACACATTTTATGCAGGGTTGCTAGATCATCAACACTGACCTTGCTAAGCAGTGACCCTGAGCCCATCACCTACCTCAGGGGTGTGCAGCAGAGGGGAGGAGGTGAATGAGGAGGACTAGAGAGGGGGAATTTATTTCAAGAGAGTTGTCAGTATGCTGAGAACATGAATCATCCACTTCAAGTGAAGAGAGCCACTCAGAGAAGGTAGGATGTCTCCCAGGAGGAGAGACTGACAGCTTGCTTCCTGGCTGGATTTTTCAGAGCCCTAGAAATGGTTCAGCCTTAAGCCATCACAGGACTGAGACAGAATGTGAGGAGAGCAAGGGCTGAAAAACAACCTATTGTGTACTATGTTCATTGCCTGGGTGACAGATTCATTCCTACTTCAAACCTCAGGAGTGTATCATACAATATACCTTTGTAACAAGGCCGGGCGCGGTGCAATCCCAGCACTTTGGGAGGCTGAGGCAGGGGGATCATGAGCTCAGGAATTAGAGACCAGCCTGACCAACATGGTGAAACCCCGTCTCTACTAAAAATACAAAAATTAGCCGGGCGTGGTGGCACGTGACTATAATCCCAGCTACTCAGGAGGCTGAGGCAGGAGTAATCACTTGAACCCGGGAGGCGGAGGTTGCAGTGAGCGGAGATTGCGCCACTGTACTCCAGTCTGGGTGACAGAGTGAGACTCTGTCTCAAAAAAAGAAAAAAAAATCTGCACATGCACCCCTGATTCTAAAATAAAAGTTGGAAAAAAAAAAGAATGTGGGCAGAAGGTTTTTAGGAGGACTAAGAACTCTCTGTCTTAAACGACCTGTGTCCCAAGAGTTTAGGAAAACAAAGACTGGAGGCTGAGTTTTATGATGCCTGTGATGTAATCTGATATGCTTCGACATAGGCAGGGTGATACTGTGTGTGTTTGCTAAGCTGTACTCTTACCCACACTCCAGAGGCAGCTACCATGAGGATATATAAGATTATCTTTACCTTTGAGCAACACCAGAGGCTTTGCTAATCAGCATAATGAATACTTAAAATGGATTTCATGTTGTGAAATTAGCAGTATTCAAAATATTTGAAAGACTCTCCTCACACTTGCATGAATTGGGTATAGATTTAGGGGAGACTGCGGCATAAGCCCTTAAAGTCACCTAAAGCTTGATGCTTAAGTGATCCTATAACCAGCAACTGGTTCAAAGGAATCTGGCTGTCTGATGCTCACCCTCTAGTTTATTTGAATCTTGCCTCTACAATATCATCATATTCGCCCTCAATTAACCTTTCATGCAAAGGAAAGGATCTTTCATGATAACCCAATAGCAGAATTATGGAGGAATAACCAACCCTCATCTTCCCTCTACATAGTAGCGGCTACTATTATCTACCACAAAAAAATCCAATGGTCACAGCTGGCCAAAATGGCTTAGGACAGTTCATCACACTGAAGCTAACCTGAAAAAAATCTAAGTTGAGTGACAGCAGGAGCTGCCTGGGATTGAAGAGTGAAGGGGGGGCTGATTAAGTGAGCTGAGCACAGCAGAGAAAGGAGCTTAGCTTTGGGGTGTCATCTCAAAGGAGACCCCACCCAAGGAGATAGCTGCAGGAGTGAGATGGCACCAACAGAAAACTGGGTTCTTGCAGGGGTAGTATTGATGTAGGAACTGAGGGGAGAGTTGTTAGGGGAACCGCCAGTGATTAGTTTGCCTTGCCAGAGAACTTTGTGGTTGGATGTCTCTGAAAGGCTCGCTGAGTGAAGAGCCACACACTGAGTCAATGAAGTCTTAGCTACCCCTTACCTCTCCTCCCTCCCATTTACCCTCTCCCACCCTCGAAGGAGCCAGAGGCAGCAGAGTGAGTGGCAGAGCAGTGGAAGAATAAGGAGGGAAACTAGTTAGGAAACTGACCATCTTGCTCCCCAGCACCTGCTCTTCATTTCTGTAGGCCTTGGGGCCTCATCAGGCCCAAATTAGGGCAGAAAAAAAGCTTTATATTGGATGAGACATTGAAGCTTTGATGGGAGACTGGACTGAACTTCCCAGACCAAAAATTAGATGTTTAGTAAAACCTGAAAGCGACCAGGAAAGCTTTGGAATATGCCTGGCATTTCATCCAGGAAAGTTGAAGAATAATTCAACAGAGTGAGCTTAAAAAGATGGCAATGAAAGAGAATTAAGTTGGTTACTTTTTGTATCCAACCGGGTCCAACTTGATCGATCTTCTACAGGTTTCATTATTGAATGAAAGGGACTTAGTGTCTTTCCTGTAGTTTTTCAAATTATTTATTCTTATATCTCATTAAGTAAAAATCAGGGGGAGGGGGATGACTTAGTTTTCAAGCATGTTCTTTAAAACCACAAACTAGAGAGCAGTGGGGTGGGGAGGTGCAGGGACATGTATGGGTTCCCATTGGTGCTATAACAAATCACATAACAAAGCTTGGCAGGTCAGGATGGGTTTCACCGGGCTAACATCAAGGTGTAGGCCGGGCTGCATTCCTTCTGGAGGCTCTAGGGCAGAATCTGTTTCCTTACTTTCCAGCTTCCAAAGGCCACCTGCATTTCTCAGCTCATGGCCCCTTCCCCGCCAGCAGCAGGGTAGCATCTTCAAATTCCTCTCTGACCCTGGCTCCCCTGCCTCCTCCTTTCACGTAGAAGGACCCTTGTGATGACATTGGACTCCCCCAGTAATCCAGATAATCCAGAATAATCTTTTCATCTCAAGATACTTAATCACATTTGCAAAGTCCTTTTTGCTATATAGAGTAACACTGTATATTCACAAGTTTCAGAGATTGGGGAATGGACGTCTTTGGGGGACCAGTCCTCTGCCTATTACAGAAGAGGCCCAGGTGCATGAGCTGGGCCTGTGATTCACCTCTCAGAGAACACCCTCCCCCTTGCCTGTGGGTCAGCCAGGAATAATGGTGACGGAGAGGAAAGAGGCTCTGTGTAATCTTGGGGAAAGTACACAATCTGCCAGTACTTCAGTTTCTTCATCTGTGAAATTATAGCCTTAGCTGTCCCTAAAGTCCCTTCCAAATCTAAGCCCTTTGCTCCTTTTATCTTTTGGCAAAATAAGCATTTGAAGAAATCTGGCTATCTCAAGAACCCCAGCTGATCTTCTAATGCACACTGCCAGGCCTCCACCACCCCCGGGCCAAGAGGGAGTCTCTGACAGCTGAATTGTGGAAACCTCTGGGTGAGGCAAGCAGCCCTTTGCTTTCTCCAAGGAACAAAGAGGCACGAGGAAGGCACTGGTGGGAGGCTTGGGGTGAGAGGCCTCTCCACCAGGGCAATGAGTTATCCTGTCCCTTTCTACTGACTCACCACTGAAGGCCTTGGGCAATTGTGCCAGCCAGAATCACAGAAGTGGCTGCGAACTCAGAGATAACAGAGTGGTCCAGGGAAGCCCCAGTGGACTGAGTCATGGCCAGGCTCTCACAGCCCTCTTCTCGAGTCAGCATCGACTCCCTGTGATCTCCCTGGAGCCTCAGACTCTCAGAAGAGCAGGTCTCAGAACACTGGAGATGAAAGGAACCTGAGACACCATGTCATAAGCCCTGCCCACCAACCTCCCTATCATGTGACTTCTCGGGCTGGTTGTGTTTTTTTTTTCCCCAGCTACTCTGATAAATCACATTGTTTGGATGGCTGAGCTCTGTCTCTGGTCTGACTTTAAAATTAAGGTTCACTTTGCCCCTCAACGCCATGGGTCCAGCTCTCAGGACTCCTCCAGGCTACCTTTACCTTCCATTTTTGAGGTAGTGTCATCTACCAGCAAGAGCTCTGAGCCATAAATCAGGAAACCAGGGCTTCCTGCTTCTGTCCTCTGACCAGACAGAAATGGAGCATTCACCAAGTCACATCATCTCTTTGGGACTCATCAGGGTTTGACTGTGTTTTCCCCAGAGTCCCTTCTAGTACCAACAGGAGAGGATCAGATCATCCTAAAAGCCCTCTTCAATTCTGAAGTCAGTCATCCTCTATCAGAGTTCCTGAACACAGCCAGGCTGGTTCTGCCGGGGATAGCCGTGGCTTGTGACTGCCATGCCTCTCCTCCTCCCAGGAAGGTACAGAATCCACAGCCTCAGGAATGCCAGGCATTCTGCCAAGGGCGCCCTTCCTTTTCTCGGTCTGGTTTCTCAGTCTCTCTCTTCCCAATCTAGACTAGACTGTCACCTCCACTCACCAATCCCGTGGAGGGGTCAGGGGTGGGACGGAGGAGAGCCAGAAACGATGAACTGCGACTCTACTCCTCATCTGTGTGGCAGGCCTGTCATTCCTCCTCCAGTCGGGCCTGCCTAACTAGACCAGCACTGGGGTCACTCTGCGTGTGAGTGGGGAGGGATTCCTGCCTATCCAGTGACCCTGCTTAGTGGGTGGATGCCACCTCTGTCCCTGGAGCACCCGAAGCACCCAGGGGCCCCCACCTACCTGTTTCACTTCTCCAGGGCTTCCGTGTAAGGCCACCTCCCCCACCTCAGGCCTGGCCCCTCTTTGCTAAGGACTGCTTATCCCCAGGATGTTTTTGGCACCTTCTGGGCCACAAAGGTGCTTCCTGTAAAAGAACAAACCGCCCCAGGTTGCCTTTTGACACATCTATTTCAGGGTCAGTTGGCATCTTATGTTTCGCCTAAAAAACTGAACAATCTTTTTTCTCTCATCCAGTAAGAAAAGTCTTTTTTTTATTTTCACATGGGTTTATGCACCCCCTGCCCCCCACCTTTTCAGAAGGAGGCTCAATGCAAGTATCTGTGTTATAAACTAGCTTCCTACACTGGCCCTGCCCCTGCGCGGACTTAGCCTTCCTAAGAAGGGGCTCCTTTTCTCCTGGCATGTGCTCGGCTGCTGGAGAGAAAGGCCTATTGTTCTTCATGTGCCCAGTACACTCAGCCAGGCAACACGCTGGGTGTTCCTCCCAGGAGGTAGAAAACCGCCTCCCCAAGATCGGATCATTTTATACCTTGTGTTTTGTTTGGTTTTGTTTCTGGCCTTTCCTTCTTTGCTGTACCTCCTTCCCGAGCGCTCAGAGCCCATAGAGCACTTATTTCTTTCCGTTCCCTTTGCACAGTGAATTGCCTTTTGTATGCCTTTGATGTGATTGCTCAGCTTCCAAGGGAGGGGAACGAGTGTCTCGTCTCTCCCACCTAGAGGCTCGTGCTGCCTGTGGTCAGGAAGAGAGCGAACAAAGGCGTGCTTGGCCCCGAGGGAGGCTGGGGTAGGGCCCACGCGTGGAATGTAGGGTCTCTTCTGCCCAGAGGTGGAAAGTCGAGCAGTGCTTTGGGGTCTGCGGGGCTCTCCAGCGATGATTTGGGGTGCTCATGGCAGGGCTGAGCTGGGCAACAATATGAGGAGAGGTTTTGCTTCTTGGTCCCTGTCCCATCTGCTTAGAGTATCCGGGTTGTCTGGGGCTCCGAGGGAGGAGCACTACAGCAGGAGCCAGGAATTCGCCTGCCTCTGCCACCGTGTGACCCCGCATGACACTGACCCTCCCAGGGGGAGCCTCCCTTTCCTGGCCCTTGAGTGGGGCAATAACTCCTGCCCCACCCGCTGGCTTTCTGGGTCTCATGTGGTGAGGAGCAAACACGACACTCTCTGAGGAAACGCGGTGAGAAGCAAGAGCCCTTTGTGAGTCAGAGGTGGTGGCTGTTGCTGTCTTTCCCACTGTTTACCAGGCGCCCCCCACCCAATTTCCCGTGAGCATCTAGTGACCCCATGCTACCCCCTTGTGGCCAAAATGCGACTCATCATTCATTGCTGTGAAATTACCTTGCTATTAAAATCGTAAGGAAAAATAAATAATGAAAGTAATTAATAATAATGAATATATAGTAATTAACCCAGACTGGAATACCTTTACTTTTCATCAATAAATCCATAAAATATAATTTTTAATACTTTTTGATGGAGGAAATGGCGCATGAAGAAAAAAGTGCTTAATGTGGGCCCAGACCCAAGGTGAGCGTGGGACTGAGGGCGCCCTTCCCGGCTACTACCCAGCTGCTGGCGGCGCCAGGGAGGCCTGCCCGAGGCCAGACGGTGGCCACTTGCCGAGGCTCCCCTAAAAGGTCCTATATGTCCCCAAGATGATGGGGCCAGGATGAGGAACAGGTGAGAAAGCACTTGGCCGCTCTTCCTCAGCTCTTTAAAATCTTTTCAGGTCCCTCAAGATTACAAAACACTTTAATAGCTATCTTTTTCTTTACTGAGATAGAACCGGTTGTCTGGAGGCAAATTAGAGCTCCTGCATGTTGAAAAATAAGTGACCAATAACTGCGTGTTTCCTCGTTACAATCTCCTTCCTCAGACACAATCTCACCTTCCACTCACCACAGCCCTGAAGCAGAACTATCCTCGTTTTCAGACGAGGAACTTGGGGTCTGAGAGATCATATGCTGGTCAGATGGAGCAACAGCCTGAACCCAGGGATTCTGATATCAAACCCCTCACTTTTTTCTTTTCTTTTTCTGTTGGGGGGGGTGGTTGGGGGGACAGGGTCTCTCACTCTGTCACCCAGGCTGGAGAGCAGTGGTGTGATCACAGCTCACTGCAGCCTCACACATGTGGGCTCAAGCAATCCTACCACCTCAGCCTCCAGAGTAGCTGGGACCACAGGCATGCACCACCACACCCAGCTAATTTTTGTATTTTTAGTAGAGACAGGGTTTCACCATGTTGCCCAGGTTGGGGTCGAACTCCTGAGCTCAATGAATCTGCCTGCTTTGCCCTCCCAAAGTGCTGGGTTTACAGGTGTAAGCCACCATGCCTGGCTCCCCTTACTTCTTTTACTATGTGAAGGGCTTGGAGTTGAATACTGGGTGAACCCCAGCCCTGCAGAATGAGAACAGTCTATATGGAGAGGAGGAAATGCTGCAAAAAATGTACCAAGACTTTTCCTTCCATACCTGTGGAATAAATCTAGTCAACAGTCATCCTCTAGTCACGATGAATAATCTCCTGGAAACTCATGCCTTTGACCTGGATAAGTGCTTTCCTTTTCCCTTCTCCTCTGGCAGAGATTCCTTCAGAATATTCGCCTCTCCAGATGTCTTCTTTACTTTCCCGATAGCCTATGCCCAGGTTTCTGAGGAGTTTCCTTTCAGACGTGGCTTCCTGGTGTTGTAACTGGGATGCAGTCTTGCCCTCTGTGTCCCTCCAGCCGCATGTCCTCCCTCTTTTCCTGAGAAGGCAGGGTCATGGACATCTAGAGACCCACTGCAGAAGTGAGAATTTTGTCGACTTAGTGCCAAGTATTGTCCTGCTTTGATGAAACCAATGAGCACAACACTGAAGAGCTTGTGAGGGTCTGACAGTGGAGGAAGGCGCAGGTGGACAGGCACAGAAGAGCACCCCAGAAGACACCCCTAGAGCACCCCAGAAGACAGTTGGACACCCCCTCTAAAATGCTGCTGGTTGCAGTACCAGGCATCCACAGAAGGGTTTCCAACACTCACAGTGCAGTGAAGTGACACACAGGCTCACTTTCTTACCAATGAGGACCTGAGCCAGAGTGCAGAAAGCCTTCTTGCAGATCTTCCATGTCTGGGGTACACTAAGTGAGATCATATTTGTGTTCTTACACTGTCTAGGAAAGCTCATAGTTCATAAACATCTCTTGTGTACCAGTCTCTGGCATTTTTTAATACATCATCTCATAAACATCAGGAAAACCCTCTGAGGTAAGGATTATTTGCCCTGTTTTGCATATTATTAAATTGAGGTTCAGAGAGGTTAATAGACTTGCCCAAGATAACAAAGCTATTTAGGAGAGTCAGGGCATGATGTGAGCTCCAGAAAATGTTACACCCTTGAAACTATGGTTTGCCTGACCAAGGACACCTCTGGCCACTTTTCTGCTTTGGGGTGGGAGTCCCTTGCATCACATTAGATGAGTGCATATGATCTTTCCATTGATTGCATTTATACATTGAGTGATCAGGTAACTTGGTTACACATGGATATGCCTGCACCCAGAATTGGCCATTGTGCCAGTTTCCTGCCCCCTTCTTCCACCACACACAAAGGCCAAGTCATGATTGTGTCAGTCCCTGTGGCCTCATTCGTCTGTCTGCCACAGATGTCTGAGCAGCTGTGGGGCAACTGACCAAGAACAGAGAGAACGTGGGCTTTGGAGCCAGGCAGGCTTGGATTTAAATTCTAACTGCCATATTTTCAGGAAAAACTACCCAGATTCTAAGATGGGGATGGGGACAAGGAAAGGTGGAGAGGAAGTTAGAGTCAGAATCATGGGACCTCATCCTAGTTCTGAGAAGAGGAGGGGGCAGGTGCCAGGGCCACTGCCCTATGCCACCAGCCCTCTCCAGAACAATTGGGGCCCACTGCTGGTCACTGGCAACCCTCTGCTCAGAGGACACAATTTCAGGGGTCCAAAGAAGACTCCAGTGGTCTCCCAAATTCTCTCTTATACACTGATTTAAAACTCTTTTAAGGCCCTGGCCATAAGCTAAATGTAAACATCCCTGGAAAGTTTACAATGTGAGAGAAGCAGCATGGAGTTTGGGGGAGCACTTGCTGTGGAGCACAGTGGAATCCAATCTTTATACATGAGCAATAAGCCTCTGTCTTCTCATCTCTGACATATAATAGCTAATACTACAATAAGAATGGTTAACATTTCCCTCTAGCTATTCTAAATGCTTTTTATACATAAGTTAACTTCTTTAATGCTCACAATAGCCCAATTCCCATTTTGCTGGTGCAGTGGGCACATAGGTCCAATCCTCTGCCCAGGGTCACAACAGCTGGACTTTGAAGTGACGCAGTCAGGCAGCAGTGTCC
Source organism: Homo sapiens (assembly GCF_000001405.40). NCBI lineage: Eukaryota > Metazoa > Chordata > Mammalia > Primates > Hominidae > Homo > Homo sapiens. The sequence continues at coordinate 157,133,878 of NC_000003.12, forward strand.
CTGAGTGTCACCTCCACACCATTCTGGTACTTAGGAGAATAATGAGGCCTTCCTCTTAGGTATGAAGGCAGGATTAAGTGAGACATGAATCTAAAGCTTCTGGCACAAAGCAAGGACTCAATTAATGCTCCTTTCTTTCCCTGGCTTTTTTCATTTGTGAGGAGACAGCTCCAGCCCACCTCTCTCAGCAAAGGTCTGCCTTGCATATATAAGTGCTCAGTCAATGTCTGAAGAATGGACGAAAGGGCAAACTTTGATAAGGTGAGTGGCAGGAGGTGAGGGGAGCATGAGAATAAGAGGTGTTGATAGGAGGCTGTCGGAGGGCTGTGGCTAAGTGCGGTGGTTTTCCTGGTGCCATTATGCTGCCTGGGGCCTTTCAGTCCATGATATGGGCTTTGGTGCCTTCCTGCCCCTTATAACATGGTGTAAACCTCAGAGCTCACCCAAAGTCCTGGAGTCCCAGGTGAAGACCAGCGCCAAACTCAGCAGAGTGGTTCATGGCGTGTGTGTGTGTGTGTGTGTGTGTATTTGTGTGTCATGAGAAACAGCACAGAGGTGACAGAAGCATTACTCTGACAGCCCCCTCTAGTGCAGAGAAAGGTTTGAGGCTACTCCTTGGTGGTGGCAGTGGTGTGGGGGTGGAGGGTGGGATGTAGGGGCCTAGTGTGGAGAAATAGGGCTGTTCTGTTCCAGGCCTAAGATAGCCCAGAGCCACAACCAAGTAGTGGCTGTCCCACCCCTACCCTGGCCTGTGTCAACCACTGGCAAATGGAAAGTGTCTCTTAGAATCCAGAAAGAGGTCTCTGTAGGGCCAGATATAGCCCAGGCCTCTGATGGAAGGTCTCCAAGCCATACTGGCCCAATTCAGCCATAATCTGGCTTCACCAACACAGGCTGTACAGGCAATGATTACTGAGGTGCATTCCTTTCTGTTTATCAAGATTCCATGGGCCAAGGCCAGGTGTACCCAGGCCAAAACAAGCAGACCTTGACCAGGCAACAAAGCAGTGCATTGGTTTCACCATGTTCTCTCTGAATGTCCCTCAGCTCAACTGATGCAGCATGATAGGGATGGTCTAGGGTGACAAACACGGACTGCCACACCCTGCTTATGCTTTAACTATTTCTGTTTATATGCACAGCCTTCATATCCAATGCAAAGTGAAACAAGGTGGTTTTTGCCCACAGAGTGGAGTTGCTGAATGTCAGTTGCTTGTATGTCTGGGGAGTGGTTATTTAAAAATCCTACCCACTGCTTCAGTTTGCTCTGCTCTTTATAAGTACAGTCACAACCCAAGACTCCAGGAGAGATTAATCCGGTGTCCTTGTTCTGTTTCATTCCATGTGAACAGCTGAACTGGGCCTTTCTTGTTCGAGATTTGCAAAGGATAGTCAAGATCCTTCTTCAATCACTAGCATTTCAAAAGGGTTCTTGAAATGACAAAATGGTTCCTTTGCACTGTCGACATTTTCATCATCAATGAATATTTATGAAGTGCCCACATGGAGGTTGCTTGCCAGTTCCGAACCCAGATAAGAGGGAAGGTTCTTTATTCTGTTGCAGAGGGGCGTTTAGTCAGTAAACTGCATTTCTTTTAACTTCTGAAAGCCTTCCTTTTTTCTGGGGAAAAAAATGTCATTTTGCTTTTGCAAATGAGAGAGTAAAGCTTTTGGCTATTGCGTAGTATTTCTTCAATTATTATTTGGGTTTCCAGACAGCACTTGTTTTCTGAAACCCTCAAATTGCCTCAAAGATATAATATCTTTGTGCTAAAAATACTTGTTAGTCAAACATTGGTTGAACTCATGACTTGTGGCACTCATGAATTCAAAAGATGGTTTCATTTTTTCCAAATCATTCTCTCCTTTTCATCCACTCCATCCCAGAACAAATCATTCCGATAATGTATTGCTAGAATGACTCACAAGGGGAATCCATCACTGACCGGGTTTGTCCAAGGTCTTGCACTGACCTCTCATGGTGAGGAGAGCAGCAAGCTGTCCCCCACACTTGCAGGCTGTTATCTTGATGGGAATGAGAGCTGTTGGGCTGCTCTTCAGGAGCAGGAGGTAAGAACAGCCTGTGGGGTCCTGAATGGCCCCAGCGTCCTTGGGTACTAAATGCAATGCTATGTACTCCCCAGTGTAAAAAGCTTCCTGGTTGCATACTTGGCTTTTGCCTTCTGTTTGAGACACAGTGAGCCAGATTACTTCAACAAAGTCATTCCCTGGGAATTAGATGCTCAGAAAAGTACATTAACTTTTCATGTCTTGGCAAAGCTTTTAGCCACAGCAGGAGCTCCCTGAGTGAGGGGCTGGGTTTCTTTTACCTCAGTATTCTTGGAATCTGGCCCACTGCCTGACACATAGTAAATACTCCATAAATACTTGTTAACTGACTTCAGTTAATAATTGTCATCGACAGTCATTGAGAGCACCTACCGTTTTGGGTCCCTGATTAAGACTAAGGATACAATGAAGTATAACAAACAGTCCTGGCTCTGATTGGAGTCTAGTTGGCGAATCAGGCCAAACACGATAAATGACACTTGCCAGCATAGAGTGATGTGTTTTAATTGCTCAAGGAATAACACAGGCCATAAGGGGCACTAATGTTTAGGAAAAACAAGAGATCCACCTAGGACAAGATACCAGGGTCAGCCTTTCTGCTTGCTAGGAATTGGGCTATGCCTTTAAGGAAGAGATAATAGCAAGATGTATCAAGTACCTCCTACTCTGTGCTAATGTCTCTTTACATACATTACTGAATCTCACAACAATCACACAAGGGAAATGTTTATCATTGTCAACCCACAGATGAAGAAACTCAGGCTCAGAGAGGTTAAGCAATTCTGTCCAAGGCCACATGGCCACTGAGTAGGAGGACTAGACTTCTAATGCAGGCCAGTTGAACTCCAGAACCCATGCCTCTTTCACCACCTCGGCCAAGGAGGAAAGACCTCAAACTTTATCAGCTACCTTGGGGCTTAATTTGAAGCAGCTTCCAAAGCAAGCTGACACTGCTTCTAGGAAGCAATAGCAAAGCAAGGAAAAGCTGACACCCTCAGGTTCTCTGAGCACCACACTGAATGGGGTGGCAGGTGGAGCCACAGGGTTACTGGAGTTGATCTCTGGACCTGGACAGCTTGCAACCACAAGCAACGGGCTGGGTGCAGGTGTGGGTATGTGCATGACTCTGCTGGACAATTTCCCAGTAGCACACACGTGGCAAGCAGCGTCTACTGCTGAGCTCTAAAAGACTTTTGATGAGTTCAAACCTCATTATGTGGATGCTTTGTAATGAGACCAGTCAGCCCGGGCTTGGTAGAGTGGTTAAGTATACAGACTCTGCAACAAACTAAATCCTGGCTCAATCACTTACTAGCTGGGTGAAATCACCAACTCATGGGTTCCTCTCCCACCACACGGTTTTAGAAAGAGGTCAAATGAGTTAATATATGTGAAGCAGAATGGCATCTGGCACATAGTGCTTATATAAATAAGGGTTGCTATCTATTCTTCTGCCAGCAGAATCTAGCAAAGGTATGTACCTTTAGAGTTATTGCCAAAGGTTCAAGTCTGGATTAAAGGCCTAAATGAGGCTTAAATGGATGTAGCTAAAGACATTAGTGTTCCTTTGTAAACAGACAAGCCTTTATTGTGTTCAGAATAAGGCTTGCCAGTCAGCTGAAGTAAAACTTAGAGCAAGATCTTGTATCACAGACAGCCAAAGAGTGACCTCTAGTGGCGTAGGTTCTTATTACTGACTATGCAAACTGAAAGGCGTTCAAGGAACCACAGATTGTAGGACTATGGAAACCGATCGTGCATGGGTGTCTTTGTCCGTTTGTGTAACTATAAAGGAATACATGAAGCTGGGTAATTTTTATTTTATTTTATTTTTGAGACGGAGTCTTGCTCTGTCACCCAAGCTGGAGTGCAGTGGCGCGATCTCAGCTCACTGCAAGCTCCGCCTCCTGGGTTCACACCATTCTCCTGCCTCAGCCTCTCGACTAGCTGGGACTACAGGCGCCTGCCACCACGCCCAGCTAATTTTTTTGTATTTTTAGTAGAGACGGGGTTTCCCTGTGTTAGCCAGGATGGTCTCCATCTCCTAACTTCGTGAATGGCCCGCCTTGGCCTCCCAGAGTGCTGTGATTACAGGCGTGAGCCACCACACCCGGCCCCAAAGCTAGGTAATTTATAAAGAAAAAGAGGTTTATTTGGTTCACGGTTCTTCAGGCTATACAAGAAGCATGGTACCCATCATCTGCTTCTGATGAGGGCCTCAGGAATCTTCCACTCATGGCAGAAGGCAAAGGGGAATCAGTGTGTACAGAGATCACATGGCAAGAGCAAAAGCAAGAAGACAGGAGGAGGTGCCAGTCTCTTTTTAACAAGTAGCTCTCACAGGAACTAATAGAGCGAGAACTCACTTACTACCTTGAGCATGGCACCAAGCCATGAGGGATCCACCCCATGGCCCAAACACCTTCCACCAGGCCCTGCCACCAACATGTTGGGTATCAAATGTTAACATGAGACTTGGCAGGGCCAAACAAACCATATCCAAACCACAGCAATGGGGAAGATCGTCCTGGACCAAAAGAAAAGTTGTTCTGGAAACTGCAGCCATGAGAAGCCCTATACATTGGCAAGGTAGTTATCCTGATCTTTGAAAGTTATTTCATCCCCTCTGACGCCAGTGCTGATATTCTCAAGAACTCATGTTCCCAAGAGCTTCTGGTTATACAGGTCTAGAGAAAGCACAAATGGTGTGAACCTTCTGGAAAGGTACACATGTGGGAAAAAGTCTTTAAAATATTCATCTTAAAGGTCACAGGAGGCCGAGTGTGGTGGCTCATGCCTGTAATCCCAGCACTTTGGGAGTCCAGGGCGGGCAAATCACGAGATCAAGATATTGAGACCATCCTGGCCAACATGGTGAAACCCCGTCTCTACTAAAAATACAAAAATTAGCTGGGCGTGGTGGTGCGCACCTGTAGTCCCAGCTACTCGGGAGGCCGAGGCAGGAGAATCACTTGAACCCAGGAGGTGGAGGTTGCAGTGAGCCAAGATCGCGCCACTGCACTCCAGCCTGGTGACAGAGCAAGACTCCATCTAAATAAATAAATAAATAATAAAGGACACAGGAACTATCTTAAAGGGGTTTCCATTGGCCACATCGGAATTTGAGTAACGAAATAATGATAGTAATGGATTATAACTTCATAGAATGAGTCCATACTGAAACATATAAACAAATGAATAAATGAAGGAGAAAAGAAAGCTCTTTCTTACAGTGGCATTCCAACTAATAAATGTCGAGCGAATGCTGAAATTTAAAAATCATTTTCAATAGTTATTTCAGGTAAAAATCATCAATGGATGCTAGAATTAGTAGGCAGAAGTTAATTAAGAAGCACTATTGATATTATCTAGGCTGAGTGCAGTGGCTCCCGCCTATAATCCCAGCACTCTGGGAGGCCAAGGTGGGTGGATCACCTGAGTTCAGGAGTTTGAGGCCAGCCTGGCCAACATGGCGAAATCCCATCTCCACTAAAAATACAAAAAAAAAAAAAAAAAAAAAGCTGGGTGTGGTGGCAGGCGTGTGTAATCCCAGCTACTTGGGAGGCTGAGGCAGGAGAATCACTTGAACCCAGGAGGTAGAGGTTGCAGTGAGCCCAGATCATGCCACTGCACTCCAGCCTGGGAGATGGAGCAAGACTCTGTCTCAAAAAAATAAATAAAAAACAAAAGAAACAATATTTATATGATCTAAAGTATCTCCCCCAAAAGCTACTTGTTAATTACAAAGTGTAAAATAGTAACTTTTTAATAGAGAACACTGGCAGACAGCACCTTAACCAATGATCATAGTTAACACCATTGGTTACTGGGGCAAATTAACACTGTGCCTCCTAATGAGGCACTGAGGACACAACCTGGCTTCTGTTGTATTTCTCCTGCCAAAAACACAGAACCCAAATCTAATCACAAAAAAAAAAAAATAGGGCAAACTCAAATTAAAAAATATTCGACAGAACCATCAGTTTACAACAGGGGTGTCCAATCTTCTGGCTTCCCTGGGCCACATTGGAAGGATTGTCTTGGGCCACACATAAAATACACTAATACTAACAATAGCTGATGAGCAAAAAAAAGAAAAGAAAAGAAAAATCGCAAAAAAGTATCATGTTTTAAGAAAGTTTGCGAATTTGTGTTGGGCCACATTCAAAGCCATCCTGGGCTGCATGCGACCCATGGGCCGTGGATTGGGCAAGTTTGGTTTTCACTCTTTAAAAATGTCAAGGTTATGAAAGCAAAGACAGACTGAGGAACAATTACAATGAAAAGAGACTAAAAAGATTACGACTAAAGACAATGTATGATTCTAGGTTGGATTCTGGACCAGAAAATAGGGCACTAGTAGGAAAATTGGCAATATTTGATCAATAGATCAATATTTGCAATATTGGCAATGTCTGGTCGATAGATTACAGTATTGGTCAATATGTTAAATTCTCTGACTTTGGTAATTATATTGTGGATATGTAAGATAACGTCCTTGTTTTTAAGTAATATATACTGAAGTACTTACAGGTAAAGAAACAATGACTGCAACTTACTCTCGAGCAGAGCAGAAAAGACACCACAAAAAGTGAAAAAGCAAGTGTGGTGAAATGTTAACATTTGGTGAATCTGGGTGAAGGATATATAAAATTTCTTCACACAATTTTTGCAACTTTTTTGTAAATCTGAAATTATTTCAAAATGAAAATTTCTTTAAAAGTCCACTTCAGGTTCTTTATTATTTTTCTTATGTCACTGAAAAGGGTTGACTAGTGTCTCCCCAAAATTGATGTCCACCTAGAACCTCAGAATGTAATCTTATTTGGAAATAGGGTCTTTGCAGATGTACTTTGTTAAGATGAGGACATACTGGGTTAGGGCAGGCCCTGGTATCCTTAGAAGACATACACATACAGAGAAAAAGGCCATGTGAAGATGGAGGCAGAGACAAGTGATGCAGCTACAGGCCAAAGAAAACCAAGGATTGCCGGGAACCACCAGAAACTACAAAGAAACAAGGGTGGACTTAGAGAAAGCATGGCCCTGCTGTCATCTGGATTTCAGACTTCTAGATTCCAGAAATGTGAAGGAGTAATTATTTGTTGTTTTAAGCTACCAAGTTTGTGGTAATTTGTGACAGCAGCCCTAGGAAACCCTAGGAATTACAGTCACCCACTTTTAAAACAATGGCGCTCTGGTCTACAAGACGCCATAGTCTGGCATCCTCAAGTGTCTGAAGATGCTAATAATGATAACGTTTATTGGACATTTACACACCTAACACTGTGTTAAGTGTATTATATACATTATTTCCTTTAACCTTCATATCTGAATACACTAGGCTTAATTACTAACTCATTACAGAAGGGAACATGGAAGCTTAGAGTGGTTAAGTAAGATGTGTAAGATTGCACAGCTAATAGAGGATGTCAGCATTGAACACCATCTCTTGGGCCTCTTCCTCTTTGTCTTTCTTTTTTTCTTTTACCCTGAAACAGGGTCTTGCTGCTGTTGCCCAGGTTGGAATGCAGTGGAACAATCATAGCATACTACAGTCTTGAACTCCCGGGCTCAAGCGATCCTCCTGTATCAGCCTCCCAAGTAGTTGGGTCTACAGGTGCACCACTATGCCAGGCTTCCTCTTTGTCCTTTAAAACCTTCTCCCATCCAAAGTGCAGCCCACATTCCCTGTCCTCTAAAAATTTTCCAGGGCCTTCTAGGCCACAGTGGTCCATCTTTCTTCTTTAAACTTGGCACTCATTGTACTGTTGCTTGGCTCTAAAATATACTGAGGATTATTCTGGATGTCATTTGGCTTTTTAAAACATTGTCTTTGCCTCCAACTGAATATTAATTACATGCAGGTATGTGCCACGTATCTAAGCATTGAGACTTCACCTACCCTTATTTCTCTAGGTAGAAACCTATCATTATAGTCCTCATCAGATTATATGCAAGTAGATGCTTGACATTTGCAATTTGACTGTTTTCAAATAAGTTGGAAGTTTATCTGAGACTCTTGATTTCAATTGCGTGTGTAAAAGAAGTCAGCTAGGGGCTGAGAGCCCGGCTAATCAATTTAAATGTGGCTTTATTTGTTCATTGTTGGTCTATGTTGTATTAATTTTTGTTAAATGACTAAAATTTGGTTTGAAAGGTCCATGAAAATAACACATCTGGGGCAGAAAATCATTTTGGGCAAGAAATTAAATTTTGTAATTTAGGGTGGAAAACTGAGCCTCACAGTGAGATTTATGTGCCGGGCCCTCTGTACAAAGATATGATGTGTCATGTGCTCTGTTAAGTGCTCTAGCAGTGTAAAAGTCACTGAAGTGAGAAATTCGTTTGAAAAGGTTTAGCTATATGGTGGTTCACTACTGATTTGGGGCACAGAAAACAATCTGATTTAACTGACCCAGGAGCCTAGTCAAACAATGCCACATTCACAGATTTGGTGATTCACATTGTCTTGGAATATTCCGTGAGATATCAGGTGTCAAGAGCCAAGTAAGTAACATCAATGAGCAAAAGGGCAGAATTCAAGAAAATAGCATCAGCACACTGATACCTGCCAACTGACACCTGCACCTGGCTTCAGTGTTACACAATTAACAGGGGGTGGAGGGAATCGTCACGCACTGCAGCATGCAGCCTCACCCGGATGGCTACTGGATGCTAGTTAACTGTGGCCTGGAGTATTGTGGATCTCATGTTTTTTTTGTTGTTGTTGTTGTTGTTGTTTTAAGTCTCGCTCTGTAGCCCAAGTTGAAGTGCAATGGCACGATCTTGGCTCTATGCAACCTCCGCCTCCTGGGTTCAAGTGATTCTCCTGACTCAGCCTCCCGAGTAGCTGGGATTACAGGCATGTGCCACCACGCCCGGCTTTTTTTTTTTTTTTCAACAGTCTTGCTCTGTCACCCAGACTGGAGTGCAGTGGCACGATCTCGGCTTACTGCAACCTCCACCTCCTGGGTTCAAGCAATTCTCCTGCCTCAGCCTCCTGAGTAGCTGGGATTATAGGCACCCGCCACCATGCCTGGCTAATTTTTTGGTATTTTTAGTAGAGATGAGGTTTCGCCATGTTGACCAGGCTAGTTTGGAACTCCTGACCTCAAGTGATCCGCCCACCTCAGCCTCCCAAAGTGTTAGGATTACAGGCATAAGCCACAGTGCCCAGCCGTATTTTTATTTTTTAAGAGCAGCTAGAAGTCTAGGTTTTTAATGTAAACATTTCCAATTAAAAAATATTATCAGCCAGTTCATTTATAACAAACATTGTACAACTCAAACAAAATACATGTGCAGGCCAGGATTTGGCTCAGGGCCCACCAGTTTGCTACCCCTAGGATGTTGTTTACATCTATGAACTCCAGGAACCTAGTCCTCTCTTTGTAACAGGTACAGATATTCATGGAAGGGTGATTGGACATGCCCATATGAAAGACAAGAAAGTGTGAATGATGATGAAGGCTTTAAAAAGAGTCACTCAGAGAATTGGTAGTATGTTAAATTCATTCATTCCTCAAGTAATATTTATTACATACCCTAATATGGGCCAGACACTCATAGGATTAGGTGAGGGACATACAATAATGAATAAACTACAGAGCTGCCCCTCCCTTACGAGCTTACATTCTAATGAGGAAGAGATTAAATGATAAAGTAAATTTCAGTTAGTGGTAAGCATTATGAAAAAATTAGTGCTGGCTAAGGGATAGAATATGATAGAGGTGTTTAGAGAGGCTTACTTAGAAGGGGTGGTGAAAGCAGCCCCTCTGGAGAGGACTGCAGAGTGGGACCTGAATAAAGACTATCTCTGAGACAGAAACATCCCCACATGAGGATGGCAATAAAGGCTCAGGAAGAGATGTGCATATACAAGAACAGAAAAAGCGAGGTTGATGGGAGAGGCTGGCAAGGGGCATTTTACAGAGTGATATGGGAAACCACTGGAGGCTTTATATATTAGAGCAATGTGATTAACACTTTAAATAGATCATTTTACCTACTCTTCAAAGAAAGGATTGTGGCAAAGGCATGACAGACAGAAATCAGACTACACCTACCAGAAAAGTGATAGCTGATACAGGGAAATTTGATGAGCTATAAAAGCAGGCAGGGTAGGAATTTTCTCCATACTTAGACTGGGTTAGAATTATATTGAACATAGATGGCAAAAGCAGAAGGGAGAAGAGGACACCTGGAATCAAAGAGCCCAAGCAGTTTTGCATGCCTTAATTATGAAAATCTTGTACTGTTCAAGATTTTCTATAAGGTACATACATTATTGAAGATATTGTACTAGTATTAGTTAAGAAGCATTCTCAAACAGCTATCTTTTGAACTGTGTTTGAGAGTGGTAGAATTCAAACTTCTGAATATTTGAGTGCGTTCCAATATGAAGTCTGGATTGCAATGGTAAAAATAAATCCTATTTGCCCAACACATATACTACACAAAATGTTGTAAGGGCCAGTAGACAAGAGGTAAAATAACTTGTCAAGTCACTGTGGAGGAATGATTTAAAATGCAGAGCTGACATGAAGTCCATGTTCCTTCCATGTAATGGAATGTTCAAATGATTACAAAGCCAGGCTTTGAACAAATGTTAAGTGTTCAAATGGTTAGAACATCAGGCTGTGGCTTCCAGCCTTAGAGTGAAAGGGATGAGGGGCTCAAGGCCCACACAATGAACGCTGCTCCGTTCCTATTTCCACATAGGGAAGTGATGCTCCCCTTCTCAAACCTCATGCACATTCTGTCTCTCCAAACCCTTCAGTATGCCCATGCATAAGACCCTCAATATGTCCATGCTTTTAACTTCATTTTAAAAAATCTGGTATGTAAATTTTGAAACTTATCTTCATAATCTATTACAGTTCATGATGAGTTAAGAAATGGCTCTTAGAACAAATGATTGTTATGATATTATTTTTGGAAACTCTCATGAAAACTAAATGTTTTAAGTAAGCTTTTGATGCAGACTGTGGTGTTAATAATGGGGTTATAAGTGGCAATACTTAAAAGCTATTAAAGCAAAACCTAGAACTTCAGTTCTAAGAATTAGTCATTTTTATGTTCGCTTTGTTTTAAAATGGGAACATGGTTAAGAATTTCACTGGTCTTTAAACTAAAGATACCAGCTGCAAAGGACAAATGTAATGTTCTATAACATGAAAGGACTTGTACTAAAAATCAGGATTTTGCCGGGCGCGGTGGCTCATGCCTGTAATCCCAGCCCTTTGGGAGGCAAGGCAGGTGGATCACAAGGTAAGGAGATCGAGGCCATCCTGGCTAACATAGGTGAAACCCCGTCTCTACTAAAAACACAAAAAAATTAGCCAGGGCGTGGTGGCAGGCGCCTGTATTCCCAGCTACTCAGGAGGCTGAGGCAGGAGAATGGCATGAACCTGGGAGTGGGAGCTTGCAGTAACCCGAGATCGTGCCACTGCACTCCAGCCTGGGAGACAGAGCGAGACTTCATCTCAAAAAAAAAAAAAAAAAAAAAAAAAAACCAAAACGGGATTTAATTTGTGGGTCATTTAAAGAAAAAAAGTATCAGGATCATTAGGACAAATAACATTTTCATTGCTGTAATGGGCCAACCAAAACATGAGACAGAGAACAGAGGGAAAAACAGATACAAAAGCCAGTGAGGTACAAGCACCAATGGATAAGAACTGAGAACTCAGTAAAATACCTGGTGGATGAGGCAGCAACCTAGTTTTCAGTTCTAAAATAACAGTCTGGGTGTCCAGGCTTCTAATTCCAGACAAGTAAAAAAATTAAACCTAAATCTGATCAAGCCTCAAGATCTACCACTTTACCACACAGTGGACAGAAAAATGTGTTCAGTGACAGCACAGAGTTACAATGAACAAACCCAGGAGACAAAAAATTCTTCAGGACATGACCCAATTTCTTCAAGTAAGAAATATGGAGAGGCCTGTGGTTAAAGCCGATGCAACATATTTGGACTTTGAACAAATCAGTTAAAACAAATTAGAGATGAGGGCTCTCTGGATACTGACAGGGGTAGTATGGCATTACTTTTAACTCTTACAATAAAGCTATATGGTTATGTTTTAAAAATCCTCAACCTTGTGGACTGAGACACTTGGGAACAAACTTTACTTGTATGGGATTTTCTTCCCAATAGCAAGGGTGGGAGGTGGAGTGGTGAACTGGTGGGGTACAGATTAAGTTTTGCTATTTTGGAGTTAATAAACAGGTATTATTGGTATTGCACAACTTTGTTTCTCAAAATAAGTTTGAAAATGAGTATTACTTCTAGAGAAAGTGTTTAAATAGCCATAGAGTGGCATGAGGTTAACATCCTGACAACTTAGAAAACGGATTCAGTAACAGACAATAAGATAAAAATCAAGACCCTGAAAAAGATCTTTGCCTAGCCCACAAAGCCACCTCTAAAAACACCTTTAACATACAAACCTCATTCCACATGCAGGTGTATCCTCCACAACTCCCCATCTTCACAAACAACCCTCACCCACAGCACTCCTATTTCCAAGCAAAGATTAGGGACATAAGTAATTTCAACACTATTAAGAATTTAATACTTGGGAGGCTGAGGTGGGAGGATCACTTGAGGCCAGGAGTTCGTGACCGACCTGGGCAACGTAGCAAGACCTCGTCTCTAAAAAAAAAAAAAAAAAAGTTAAAAAAAAAAATCAACATTAATTTGCTAACAGGGCCTTTGCTGACATTTGCCTTTGCCTTTCTTCAATGTCTATCTTGTAGGGGAAGCAAACTGTTCAGCATTTAGAAGCAGTTAGCTTTTCAGAAATATCTATTTATAATTCAGCAATGTGTATTACAAATCAGGCAGAAAGAAGTCTTAATGAACTATCTACCCTCTTTCAAGCATGAAGTGGCTAACTTTTGCTGGGTCTTGTTAGTTTCTGGTTAGTCTTTATAGTTAGAACTATAACTGATTTAAGTAGCACACCCAACACTTTTATATCCTAATGAATCTTAATCTCCTTCAAAGTAGTTGCCTTGTGAAGCTATTTTTTCCAGCCTCCACCACCTGCCATTGGTGAACACATTTTAAGTCTTTGGAATCTCCTCTTCAGAAGCTGTAACTTTATTTTTAAAAATATCCTTAGCAGTAATACATCTTCCTCTTTGTGGGTGTATTTTATTTCTTGAAACAGCAACAAATCACTTGGAGCCAAGTCTAGTGGACAATTAAAGTAGGTAAAATAAATGTAATGGAGACCTTAGTGTAATTATAAAGCGATGCAACATTTTGACTCTGTAAACTGATTTCCAAAATGTTGAAAAAAATAGTAAATGTGAGTAACTTGAAAACATTCATCTGGATAGAAATTCCGGCTTTTTCATCAAAACTTCACTTCTTTGTGATCAGCTTGTATTCTATCAACCACTCAAGTTCAGGGGCCTCACATTTTCTCCTAGCCTACGTAAAAATCGTAACATTAAATGCCTAAATTATACAGAACTGTTAAAGCTCAATAGTTACTAAGTTTTGGTTCATTCAATAGGGTACCTCATTTCAGAAATAGTACTTAAATCTGACTCAAAATTACCTTATGACACCATTCAAAAGCAAATCAGGTTTTTTGGTTTAGTGCTAAAATATAACATTTAATGTCACATTGTTGGGCGACTCCCATTTACTTTTTCCATATATACAGTGAAGACTTACAATAGCTCACAATGCAGTTAAGAATTGCATTTTAATAATCTCAAACTACCATCTAATGGAGGAAAGAATAAGTTTGTCAGAAAACCAGTACAGCCATTTTGCTATTAAAATTTTCCTTTTTAATAATTTATTTAAATAAGGTATTTGAAGCAGTTTAGAAAAAACAAGATTTGTATTTTATTTCCTTGTAAAAATCTTTACACATGCAGACAAACCAGTGTTAAGAAAGTATTCACCATCATTTAAACAAATAACCACTTAAATAGAACAGTGTCTGCAATTTTATCTGTATAAAAATAAGATACATTTTTACAGAATTCACGCTCCAGTTCTTATAGCAATAAACAATACACAACTATAATAAAGTACAATTGAACCTGACCATGGTTTTTAATTAGATACTGCTAGGGCATTTTAATGTGCAAAAAAATTAACATAGTTCTTTTCAAAAGAAACTGTCCTCAGTGTTCTAGAGACCTAGAGGGTTTCAAGAAATCAAATCCTAATCAGTTTGCGTTTAATGTTTTTGATTGAGTCCATACATCACACTGTAGATAGGCAAAACCAAGAACTGATGCAGGCTCAAAGGAAGAGAAAGTCAGCGCCTGTGCCTGCCATGTCCTGAGCGACTGCCACCATGGTGCTTGCTTTTATGGGACCTCTCAAAGGAGCGAGATCGTTCACGCCTGTCCCTATGATGTCCCCTTTCATGCCTGTGTTTCTTGGCTGCATCTGAGTGATCCCGAGACTTGCTCTGAGATCGAGAACGAGATTTTTTCCTTTTATGACCATGTCTGTTTGAACTTTTTAAATCATCTCTGGTATGCTTGGCCTTAAGGTGAGGAGAACCATGATTATGATGTCTTCGAGGGCTTTCACTGTGACTGCGGGACCTGCTTCTTGATCTCGAGCTGTATGTTCCAGATCGACTCCGCCTATTATTATAGCTTAGATAATAAAAATTTGAAGTTTAGGTTCAGTTTCTATGGGGAACAGATTATTCCGGTGGTTGCTCATAACAGGTTCAAAACAAAACTACCAGCTACATAAATGACAAACCAGAACTTTTCAAAATCTCCCCACCCCTCACTGCTGTATGCCCAAGCCTATATATAACATATTAAATCTTAAGCAAATGTTCTTATGTCTTTATTCCAAGGGGAGTAATTAGCAATTTTTATAGTGTCCTAGAGCTATGCTTTTTATTAAGTATCTCCCACATGTTCAAAAGACATTGAAGAGCCACGAAGAGCTAACAATCTAATTACAGGCCTAACTAAAGAAGATTCATTGACTGGTTAATTTGATTATTGGTTATTAATAAGGGGTTAATGAAACACATTTTCTAACTGAAATTAAAAAAAAAAAAAGAAGTTTTCACATTATGAACAATACTATGGCCCTCAAGCACTTTGTGGGTAGCTCCTACACTTCTCCAAAAAACATGGGAGAAAATATAACAGAATGCCATTAAGATACTGTATGTCCAGAACATCTCCAAACTCATTTCTCATAATTTGCCTCATACTAAAAGCCTAATTCTAACCTAACTTTGAAAATAATCTATGTTCAATTTTTAAAGAAAAAGCAATAACCTTTAAAAACTCCAAATAAGACTGCTTCCCTAAGAAAACATTTACTTACTGTCTTCTTGGAGTATGTGATCTAGAACGTGATCGTGTTCTTGACCTCGATCGACTTGCACTTCTGCTATTTCTACTTCTCTTGCTGTCTTTTCTTACACTTCAAAAAATCATGACATATTAGTTACAAACTTAGTGTGTTAAAAAGTAAACACATAAAAGATTCCTCAAGCCAGTTTTCCAGCCCAAGTATACTCACCCATTGTAAGGGCTTTTGGAAGCCTGTTGTCTATCCTCAGGTTCTTTTTTGACTGTCTTCACATTAATGGAGATTGGTGATTTCTCTTCAGCTTTTACTTCTCTTGGTGATGCTTTTAAAAGATATAATAACAACATGTTAACTACTGGATTTAACAGAGGGCCAAAAGTTGTTTCTAAATGTAACTCAAAGTACCATGCTTCCGCTTCCATGTTGGTTGACTGCCATGAGAGAACATAGCAGCAGTTTCCTAACATCATTTTTCTCTATGCAACTTTCAAATGTAAAAGCTCTCTAATAAAGACACACTTTCAGTGCCCCCAAGTCATTTTAATTCTAAATACATCTTACATGGCTTGGAGGCTGGAGAAAATCCACCCAGGGTTGAAAGGGCTGGAGTTCCATCCGGATTCAATCCCTTTGCTTTTAATTTGGCTTCTTGTAAGGCTACTTTTCTTTTTTCTACTTCTTTTTCCAGTAATTCATAGTTTGGCTGTTGGAGGAAAAAAAAGTTAGTATTTCTTCCTTAGAGTAGCTTGGACTCTTAGCATGTTGGCACAAACGAGTAAATAGAGAATACCTTTTTTCTGGTATAAAGCCTAAGTGTTTCTATGCAGATTTCCTGGATTTCCTCTTCTGTAGTACCAAAAAGAAGAAACCAATGGGGACGAGTTGGCAACGGAATCTAAACCATAAGAACAGAATGTTTTAAATTAAATTTTTGCTAAATCTGTATTGGAACCACCGAAAATTTGTGTGATTTATCCTACAGAACAAAATGGGAAATATACACCTACCTGAAGTGCTCTAGCTGCAAGGTAGATGCAAGCACATGCTATAGTCTCTGGTTGAAATCGAACAAACACATTGGTTCGAAGACTGTCATTCATGTAATTCCTGAAAAATATTTCAACTATAAGCTTGCATGTAAACAAACCAGTTCTTCTGAAGCTTACATAAAATTGGAGACTCAATCTACTTTATTCTTTTTTCTTCTCTTATTTATATTCACATCCTCATATTCTAGCATATAACAACTCTTAACTCAAAAAAATCAGTAAGCAATAAGAATTTAATACTAGGACCATATGCGATTTTCCTATATATGAGCGAAGCCCTTTTAAATTATTTCATATTACAATCCAAACTAGAAATTACTCCTAAAAAGTTAATATATTTCTGTAAAAAGCAATGCTTTTCAAAGTCAATTCTGACACGATTAGTTTCAGAAATGATAAACCACTCCAATAATACTTCAAGCCATTAATTACTGACCATCTCTCCTTTATCCACAATAAAAGCAGTGTCAACCAAGTTCTTTTCAAAAGCTCAAAATACCGTTAACAGGGGTAAAAAGGCATTTTCAGTAAGTACCAAGTTAAACTTATATTAAGAAAGCTAAGATACTTAGAAAATCTAGATAGGGAAATAAAGAGCAATAAACACATATAATGGCCTTGTTTACATACCTTTTTTGTGACTAGGTAAAAGAGATAAACTATTTCAGTTAAAAAATTGCTGAACTTTTATTAATGAACCCTCCCCACAACATTCCTAAACTATCAAAGAAATTTTACAGATCATTTAAAAGGTTAAGCTGAAATTAAATGGACTATTTCTTAAAAATCCTAAACCATGAGAACTGCTATAATCCATTTTATGCAACACATACTTAAAATGTCATGCATTTTATAAAAATAATGAGACTTTTCTAACATTACAAATATTTACTGAGTCCAAAAGAAGCATGGCAGTCATAAAAAGGACATCTTGCTGGGAAGCCCAGAATATAAAAATTACTTCACTAAGTCCTTCACATCAATAGTCTTAGGAAACAGTAGTTGTGGCTGAACCACAAACTCCTTGGCTTGACCTTTAAATAAGCCAGCACTCCAAATCACACATCTGCATCTCAAGAAGTCCAAGTGCTAAAGCATTTAAGCAATATTATAGTAACATCTCTTTTAAAAATGAAGTGCTTCTTGCTTCTAATATTATTACCCGCAATACAGCCAAGCAGTTATATAAATTAAGCCAGTGTGGGAACTGGTGCCCATTTTAAGCTGCAAGTTTGTCGTCTCCTTTGGTAGTATTCATGCTATACACACTAAAAATAAAAATTTAGTCAAACTCCTAATAAACCATTTAATTCATAATGGCTGCACAACAAATCTATCAAAAATGAACTATTCATTTTGATAGTTACAAGTATACATTAAATACATAGGCATGTCAAATAGTTACTTCTAGAAGCAAATATACAAATCCTTTTGACACCCCGACAGAACTAGAAGATGCTGCCAGATGGATATGGACCACTTCAGTGAATCTCGGATGAGAGCTTGCACTGGATTGGCTGGAGAGCAGGGTAGCCAATCAGGCCATCCTGAGGTCATGGGCTGAAGTGCAGAGGGCAGAGTTCTATGACTTACCATCATGGACTACCCTTTAATTAAAGAGTAGAAAAAAGAACAAAGTTAAATTGAGTTCTCCATTAAAAGTAATTAGTCAAGCCAAGAAAACAGGAAGCAGAAATAAGCATTATTTACCTTTTGGTTAAAAAAACAAAACAAAAAAACAACGAAAAGCCCCAAACAAACTTATCTCATTATTTTGGAAAGGGAAAACGAAACTTACTTTATTTCTGCTTCTGTTTTCCTGGCTAGGAAAGAAATCTAAAAAAGTGACTTACCAGGCAGTTTGAACCAGGGTTTGATTACGTTCACATTCTAAGACTTGTAAATACATAACAATGATCTGAAGGACAAGGGAAAAAAACTCAATTCAGTATACTGGTAGTTCTTTCGGAGTAGAGTTCAATGAAAAAAGTAATTGAAAATGTTAGACTCAAGTTCTAATTGTGCATCGATAATACAGACCAATTTAAATGTACATAAGATTCTAATGTGAACTGCTACATGACTAGATTTTATATAAATTATGTTTAGAAGCATATTTCAAAATTGTACAGGAAAAAAGGCAATTAAAAGAATATTTTTCATTGGCACTTTACTATGTGATGGGCACCGTGCTAGATTATTTCACCTAATTTCCCAAGGTACATTTCTAACCCAGGTAGTCCTGACCCGGGTAACTCACTCTATGGCTTATATTGATAATGAAAGCTAAGAGATGTTGGGAGAAACAAATTTCCAATAATGGTAACAGTGAGCAGCCAACACACTTAGAACATTCTACTATGATGATAAGTGTGCCAGATACTTTTGTAGCTACACATTTATTCCTTGGAATGAGGAACTTTACATCTCTGTTTTCTAGGTGGAAAAACTGGGACTTTAACCACAGAAACAAAAATAACTTCTCTATGAGCACACAATTAAGATTTAAGATTTGAACCTACATTTTTGACTGTCATTTTACTGATAAATCTCAACATCCAAAAGAATGTTTTTCGATGAAGCCTGAACCTTTAAAAGAATGCTTTTTAAAACCAAGGTTAACACTCAGATAGAAACATAAATTCATATAAAATAAAATTTTTAGAAAAGTCCTAATACTTACGAACCCAATTTCTGTACTCTACAACTCACCTTATGAGGATGCTTGACATGAACACAAAATCCCAACTCCTTTAGCACCCTCCTCTCTGCTTTGATAACTTGATTTTTGGTGTTAATGTAGTTCTGATCAAGGATCAGGGGGCTTGGAGTCCTATAGTTTGTAAGAAATAAAATCAAAACTGTTTTGCACATCCAAAAAATTTTATTTGTGGCATCTCCATTTTCCCTTCCAACCAACTATTGGCAACAGAAACCAGCTTTTTAAACTCCTGCAAACAAGTTAAAGCATTAATCTTGTGCTGTCCAAGTTATGCTAATTAAATATATACATCTACGAGACTAAGTTCCTAAAGGAACTAACAATTCTGTAATGAAAAAAATTCACTCTAATGTTCTTGAATTCATCCCTGCCAACTTTTCCATTCTGCTTATATTCTAGGTGTGTATATATATGTATTTAACTTTAACGATAGCATGATTTGTCATCACAAACCTCAAAGTCTCTCCAAGAGACTTTCCACTGGCCAAAGTAATGTGCTCCAGGCTGGTCCGATGGTAGTGGGTTATCAGAACTTACTAATATCAGTGTCACTAAAGTTGGTATACAATCTCCCACTGCTATTTGACTGGTAAAACAAACAAACAAACAAAACAACTAAAGTGCTCCTAAGATTTACAGTACTATAAAGTCCTCATAAGATCATACTGATTTTTCATGCATTCTATATGGCCAAAATTTTTCAAAAGTTGGGGGGGGTGGGAACAGTGGGTAGTTAATCCAGATTCCCCTCCAATGGGGTATTATGTTTTTAATAATTTGTTCTAAGAGCCTATCTGTTTAAAAAAGTAATCTGAAAACTAAAGATTCAGCTCAATTACCCAAGTAAATTAAAAATCGTATTTAAAACTCCACGTGACCCATGAGATCCAGGCCCAAATTTGGTCAGGGTTGTAGTTATTAGGCAACATGCTTTACTATTAACACAGAAGGGAATGAAGGGCCATAATGAGGGAACCACAACATATTCAAGGGCTCTGTACCAGACTAAATTTTGGTAACTCAGAAGTTTCTATAATACAGAAGGCTTATGTCAGTGGTTTAATGCTTTAAAAGTAGCACATTCAACTGATGTTATCCCCAAATGTTTTATTACATAGTTTAAAAACTTATAATAAAAGACAATCTTATTTATGTCATACAATTCAAAACTGGTTTCTTCCTGAGAAGTTTCAGTCAGGAAAGGTTAAGGAATTGGGCTTTTGTTTTTTGTTGTTGGTCATGTCTGAAATTTACCCAAGTCCAACACATTCTTAGATTCAACCAACAAAAACTACTATTTTATCAAGACACTGATTATACGGTAAGTTTACAAGTAGAATACTTCAATATTTTTGTCCATACTCAGTTCATTTTCAGCCAAAAGACTTAAGAGTCTTTGCTCTAGGCAGAATACACGATCTATTTTTAAGACAGTCATCCTCTCTACCCCAATGCACACCAGATCCAGAAAAATGTAATCTCATATTTTTAAAACAAAAATCTATTTCAATACATGCACCGAAGGTTAGAAAACAATCTGCGATGAACTTCATTACCCCTATGGTAACATCAGAGTAAAAAGTCAGTTATCATACATTTTCCTTACTTTCTTCCATTTAAAATTATTACAGAAACTGGAATGCTTACTAAACAAAAACTGGCAGCGCTGACAAGATAAAAGACAGCTGTTACTTAAAATGGCCTTCCCTCGGTTTCATTCCTCACACCTATGAGGAATGAGGCCACCAGCTGGCCTCATTGAGCTGCTTTCTAATATTAACGTGTAATGATGAATCCATTTTATCAGGACAGTAGGCTACAAATTGCTCTTTGGAAAATAAGTCAAACTTAATTCTCATGAAAACAACCTATCTCTCTCTCCATATATATACATACATACATACATACATACATACATACATACATATAAACATATTCCAAAGATCTTAAGGTCTATGATCAGGTTTTATCATCACAGGAAATTTGGAAAAAAGTAAAACCAACTTCAGACTCTTTTTAACTTATGGCTGTGTTATCTAATGGCTCTCCTTAACTGTCATTAAGAGATAAAATAGCTCCAGTGTTACAGCTGCACACACCATTTTAACTCTTAACCCCTTGCAATCCAGACAGAAGACGGTATCATCAAAATCCCTAGTAAAATGTAATTTTATGAAAACATAGTTGTCTCATTTTTCTCCATTTGTTAATAAAAATTATCTATACCTCTTAAGATAACCTGCTTTAAGAACTGCCTTCAAATGGTGATATAATTCATTTGTTCTTGCAATTACACTAAAGAAGCTAAATATGTTTGAATTATAGCTACTATTTAGTCCCAAATCAGACTTAATGATGCCATTTTCTTTGTTTTTGTGTCAAAATGCCAATGACATCAAAATAGATTTAAGAAAACCAAACCCATTATTTACTATAATTCAATATATACTTAACTTCTTGCTTAATCCTGCTATTTATTACCTGCAATTTTCAAAGTTAACTTTGTGGGTATATAACCTAAAACCAGATACCTTTATTTTGTTCAGAATTGGTTCTACCTCACAAATCAACGGTGCACACGTAATTTACAACTACCTGGTAGAGATTACTTTGTATCATAAATTTAAAAAATATATCTCCATCAATCAGCAGTAAACAAAGTCTCAAAGTATACATTAGTACCTTCTGTTGCAACAAGCACATTAAATTAAGGCCTGCTAGAATTTCTTCCTCCCCAATCAGGTAAACTTTCTTTGCCAATAAAGTTTGAGGAGGTGGCATTTGAAAATCTCTTTAAAAAAGAAGTCTTCATCTATTCAGAGAAAACTCAAAAATAATTTTCATTATCAACACACAAACTAACTCAATCTCTGCTTTAAGTTTCTATTGTCCAATTTTTCTGATTTATACGAGAATTATTTTCAGCTTTAGAAAATCCTGGTCTTTGGTCATTAGAAGTTTATTATTATGGTTTGTTAGAGGAGCTATTTTCCTTTAGCATGATTATGTAATTGACATATAACTCAACAACAACAAAAATTACAAAGTCCAAACATGGTTAGTTTCATTTATGTGTTACAAAGACTGAGAAATATTGGAACCAAGTCTTCAAGAGACTATAACAGATTGGTAGTTTACAAAGAGGCATACTGCCAAGCAATATACAAAAATTTGTAATGCCTACTTAAAAGTAGAAACATCCTTTATAGGTATTTAAACAAACTGAAGGCCACCTTGTAGAGCCACAGAATTATACTGTAGAAAGGTGGTAGACTAAATGACATCACTTAACACCCTTCCAATTCTTACCTATCCAACTTTTATTATCTATGGATACACTGAAAATACATTGTATTTACTAATGAGAATGGTTAAACCAGTCTTTGAAAATTTTAATACGCTGCATCTCAAAAGTAAATATTTGGAAACTAGAACAATGAAAAAGCAATCCCCCCTCTAAATTTAGCTGTTTATTGTCAACTTAAAAGATAATTATCGAACCACAAAAAACTGAAGGAGGAATAGGCCAAACAATCCAGGTTGGGGACTAAGCACTGGTACTTTTTAAAAAGCTCCTCTGCTAATTCTCAATGTGTAGCCAGGCTGAAGAGACCAATGACCTACAAGCAACATGAATAATGTATCTCCACTGTAATTGTCAAAGTCACACTACAATTTAAAGTTATGAATAAACTAGATTAAAACAAATAGCATCATTAAGACAAGTGATATGCTTTACCTAACCAATGTATAATACTGATAGTACTTTCTAATGACATTAACCTATGCAAAAATAAATACAAAGCTATAGTTCTAATAACTTGGACAGCAAAGACAAAAGCTTATAACAAGAAACAGGAGTTTTTCTAAATGGTTCACCAGTGGCCAACCTGTTAGTCCCCGATTCCAGTGACCTATTCTCAGAGCACTGGCTTCTCCTTGGGGATTTTCGATACTTCACTCACTGTTGCCATGACGACAGCTTCATCTCTATGTACCACTCCACATCACCCAGGCTTTGGTAAATGTAGCTGGTCGCTGTATAGTCGGTTGCAAGGGAAAAAAGAGTTGAAGTTAATAACATATACAAGTTACGTGCTTGAGTAAACTTGTAATATGCATAGAAACACTTTTACATCCTGCTTTAAAAAAAGGCTTCCATGCAATTAACAACTCCTTTTAAATTTTGCTATAATCAGACTTCTAAGATTGAAACAAAATCAGTTTCTCTGTAATAATGACCCAAAAAACAAAGTTACATCAGACACAACAATCAGGTGAGATTATATTATTTTAAATTCCATGGTTTTTACAGTTAAGACCTATTCTAACATCAACGAAGTAAACTAGTCTCACAGGAAAATTCCACAGAAGATAATCATGTGATTACATAATAGTTGGCTCAATGGTTCAAAGAATACTAGAAAACCATTTCCTTTAAGCAAAGAGAAACCTTTGACTAAAGATAGAGCCTTGTATTAGTGTCATTACTTTAAACATCCTGAAGAATCAGCCAGGTATCTAAATACAGATTTAACCTCAGACCATACCAAAGACCAATTTGAAATCTTCCCAATTCCCAGGGACTCATCAACAAACTAAAAGATATTTTAGAATTTAAAAAGTACTCTATCCCTGGACACAGTTAAGGTGAATGAGAAAAGATGGGGGAGAAAAAGTATGTAGGAAAACTGTTGCAGACTTTTTGACTAGGATACTCTTTTTTTAAAAAAGAACTGTCTGTAGACTCACAGAATAGACTAGTCATCTTAAAGTTGCTTTAATATTTGCTTGTCTGAATAGTTCCATTACTGCCAACTTACAGATTCAGCCAATAAGGACTACTCATATAGAATACTAACAGCACTAACCAACATACCCAACCCCCAGAACAACTTATAATCCTTTTAATAACTTCCTTTCAAACTCAGTACAATTTGTCTAACATCACTACAATTCCTTAAAGAGTGAATGCAAAAACTATTCTACACCAAATATATCATTCTGCAGCATGTACTGGAAGTCACCTGTAGATGCAGGAAGTCCTGCAACAAACTTTTTGGTACTGCCTCACAGGAACACATAGGTCCACATAAAATTATGTTACCACAACACCTAGGAGATACTATTTCAGTCTCTGTATTTTCTTACAACATCAAATAAATGGCCCTATCTAAATGCAACCCAATCAATCTTACTTGTTAATTTTCTAACCCACTCACTGAGACTGTATCTAACCAAAACAAAATACCTGTTTAATCCCTTTGACTTCAAACTTCAAACTTTATCATCCTGCAGTCCTTTCAGATCCGGTATTATTCGATTTATCGTAGTTCAATGTTGAGAAGTACTCTAACAAAAGCCAACCTCAATTGATAAAGAATTAACTGGGACTTCGAGTAGAAAAACATAATCTACACAGAACTTTGCCACAATATTAACTTAAACTACAGTGTTTAAACTTCCAGCCTTCAGTCTTCCAGAGAGGGGAGAGGAAAAATAACTTACAGAATACACTCACACTTGAGCCAAATGTACTCCCTTTCTTGTTTAATCTTAAGCCACAGGCCTGGCTTCACAGCACTGTTAGGATTGTCCATAAATGCAACTGCCTCTACAAACTTTAGATAACCGGTTAATTATGTTTCTTTTTTCAAATTATTTTAAGTATCAGTGTTCCTATATGAACTTTAACACCTAAATTAAAGTCCGTTTTCTTTTGCATCCGTATTCACTTGAAAGGAAAGATGTTTTGATTTGATGACTGGTGCACGGTACAGCAGTAGCAAGAGATACTATGTTCAATAATGCCAATCTTACCTTTTTCCTCTTAACTGGCGGAGGTGGTGGAATACATTAATCACATCTCTTATTCTTCTAGGTGCTTCTTCGATTTTTGATGCAAGATTAATACAAGCCATAGCAACAATCTGAAAGAACCCATGAGCCACAAAAGCCATTGTTAGATTAAACTCACTTTGAAGAATAAAATTTAGAACACAATTGGGACAACCTTTAGTAAAATTAGAGAAGACATCTCTATGCCGTAAGTCTACCAGCTATGCTAGTACTATACTTTTTGTTGTTTAACTCATCTTAATTTTGGTTCCAGAGTCAAACTCAATCTTACAGGAGTTCTGCATTTGGTTGAAAACTGTACTTTTCGTTAAGAGGGCACTTAGGCTCGTGATCGATTTTGAACCACATTCTAAAGGTTTCCACTTCCTGGCGAGTGAGAAGTAGGTACAAAGGCCTAAACTAAACCACTCCCTTTCTGGAAAAGCTGGCTGCTGACACTACCCCTACTCTGCCCATTTCCGGATGAAGAAATCCCTTTTACCCGCCTCCGCTGTGCTTACCTCGAAACTGTGTTTGACGAAAGATTTGGAGTAGAAAAAACGATGAAACAACACCTGCCCCGTTGCCATCGCCACCTGCAGACAAGAGAGGAGAACGGAAGCGCAGGGGTCAGGCGGGCCCGCTCCAGGCGCCGCCGCCATTTTGTGCCGCCGATCGCTTCCCTTTCCCCTCCCGCCGCCGCCGCCGCTGCGAACAGCCCGCTGCCAAGTCCTCCCTCCGCCTCCGCAGCCCCCCGCCCCGGCACGCCCCGGCCGCGGCTGGGCCCCGAACGGGAAAGCCTGAAGGAACCGTCCCCACCCTCCCGGGGCACGGTGATACTGAGATGCGGCGTAGGGGACGGAGGAGAGGAGAGGAGCGCCCGGCCGGCCCGGGGCCGGAGCACTGACCTGCGGCAGCCGGAGGAGAATGCCGGCGGCCTGGATGAGCTCGCAGCCCAGGATGCGTAAGTCCGTCTCACTGGGCAGGTCGAGCCCATCCTGCATGGATGGGGTGGGCGAGAGCCTCTCCTCCGGAATCAGAGAGTGGTCGATGGTAAGTGAAACTTCCGAGTACAGGCGATCGCCGATCAGGATCCCTCCCGTCGTGGTCGTCGTCGTGGTCGTCGTCCCGGAGCTGGAGCCGCCCGCGCTTGGGGCGGCCGATGAGGCGGCTGCGGCAGCAGTAGCTGTCGAATGAGGCCCGGACGCCATAGTCTTAGCGAGCCGCACGCAAGCCCAACGCAGCCGGAACCCGAAACAAGACTAACCAGCGTTCTCGGCGCGACGGATATTCCCGTGACCGCCGGGTTCTGGGCCGCTTCACGCCGCGTGCGCTTCCGCCCTGACGTCACCACGCCGGGCAGCCGCGCGCCAACTAGTCCCTCCAGGCCGCGCCTCCGCCCTCGGCATCTGGGCCTGCGAGGGGAGTGTTGGGTGCTGCGACAGACCTTGGGATCCTCAGAGGCTGAGGAGGCCTTCTCTAGCCAAGGCCGGTCGAAACCACCTTGTTTGTGATAGCCACACGAATAACGGAGCTTTACAAGATCCCTTATACCCAAAATAGAGGTGGCAGCATTGGCTAGCATCTCTGCGCCCCTTCGCCCTGCATTCCGGCCTCTTCCTTTAGCCTCGGCGCGGCTTGCGTTCCGCGTGTACCAAGGGAAGTGGCGGCCGACCTGAGCGCGCTTTGGCGGGTGGAAGTGGTGACTTTGTTGTCCTGTGTGGACGAATGTGTAATATAAAGTGACCCTCAAGGAATCTGGAGAGGGCTGCTTTACAGTATTTGAAGAACACAGGGCTGTGGACCCTATCGGTTCCCAAATGAAAGCTCCCCGGGGAGCGTGTTTTTGCCAGTATGGGGAAGTAGGGCGGAGGCATAGGAATGACCGCGAGAGTGGCTGCTTTCATAGCTCCGCTTGCGAAACTCCTGCCCGGCCTTTGACACCGCCACGGCTTTCAGTAATCTGGAAAATCCCTAGTTTCCAAAAATAGTCTTAGGGCGAGGACTTGACAGAGGTAATTTGATTATGCCTGGGAGTCTCTATTCATACATGGTTACCTACCGCGGGTAGGGTGAGGTCAACCTCGTGTTTTTTGTTTTTTTTCCTGTGATATTAGCTAGCAATTTCCAGCGTTTCCTGAACCTTGAAGTAAAAACAATGATACTGATCTAAACTACTAGAATCTAGGTTGGAAGGAAAGGAATGCATCACGTTTTACTCTTGACGCTCAGAAAGCGATACCCCAAAGACAGAGGCTTTAGAAGCTGCCTCATAATGCAGGTCCCCCAACCTTGACT
Source organism: Homo sapiens (assembly GCF_000001405.40). Taxonomy (NCBI): domain Eukaryota; kingdom Metazoa; phylum Chordata; class Mammalia; order Primates; family Hominidae; genus Homo; species Homo sapiens. Next base: position 157,161,182 of record NC_000003.12, read on the forward strand.
TGTTGCTCCCACTTTTCCCAAGTGCAGGGAGGTACTCTCTGAAATTTCCTTTCCTGACTAGAGAAGCCTCTTTGTAGAAGAATCAATCGCATTCCTCCCCTCGCTGAAATCTCGTATCCTATTTCAAAAAGACTCAGAAATGCAGCCATTCCTGGAGGGACTTTTTCACAAGATTACTCAAAAGAAAATTATTTACTAATTTCTGTCCATTCATTGTTCCTAATAATCATTTGCTGCTCCTCAAAATAAATGTCTACATTTCTCATCTACCCTTTCCCCTATGAAAAAAAGATATAAAATCTTCTGTACTCCATTAAGCTACTGGGTAATCATCCTCCTGCTTTTACCCCGGTGTTATGTATCCCTTTTCTCCTGTTAATCGCCTGTTATCAGTTGATTTTTTTTTTCTTTTTTTTTAGATAGAGTCTCACTCTGTCGCCCAAGCTGAAGTGCAGTGGCGCGATCTCGGCTCACTGCAGCCTCCGCCTCCGGGGTTCAAGCGATTCTCCCACCTCAGCCTCCCCAGTAGCTGGGATTACAGGCACACACCACCACGTCCAGCTAATTTTTGTATTTTTGTAGAGACGGGGTTTTGCCATGTTGGCTAGGCTGGTCTTGAACTCCTGACCTCAGGTGATCCGCCCGCCTCGGCCTCCCAAAATGCTGGGATTACAGGCATCCAAAGCGCTGGAATTACAGGCATGAGCCACCGCACCCGGCCTTATCAGTTGATTAAGTGAACCTTCAGTGGGCAAAGTTGTTTTAAAATGTACTGATACTTGAGCCTTGCCTGCAGAGGTTGATGTCACTGATTTAAGGTGGGCCCAGCCAGTGGTTCAGTTTTGCCTGTCTTCGAGTGATTGGAATGTACAGCCAAGAGAGTGTAATTATGGTGCTGGCAGAAGTATTAACCTATCTGGATGTCACTGTCTTCACTTTCTGACTAGGCTGCTTCCAGGGAATCTTTCCACCTCAATATTTATGAGATATCTATAATTTTATAACAAACTTTTAAAGGAGCCTCGGTTTCCTTAAACACAATTGATGACACCAGTTTTCTGGTTTTCTTCCATTTTTGTTTATAGAGCCAGGGTCTCACTGTGTTGCCCAGGCTGGCCTTGAACTCCTGAACTCAAGGGATCTTCCCACCTCAGCCACCTGAGTAGCTGGGACTATAAGTGGCACACCACTGTGCCTGGTCAGTTTTCTGGTTTTGATAATCTATGGTTGTGTGAGATATTATCATTGGGGAAAGTTGGAGGAATACATAGGAGTAGTCTATCTTTGCAACTTCCATGTCTTATTTCCAAATAAAAAGTAAAAACCCTCATTGATTATGTACTTCATTAAAACACTGGACTTCAATGAAATCATCACCTATATTTGTAATGACTTGAGAGTAATATAATTTAACTTTTTTTTTGACTTCTGAACTTTTTATTGGCCTCCTGCTCCCCAAAGGGTACCCTGCTTCTGATGGCTTAATGTCTCAGAACTTGGGTGTCGTTGGTCTCAGATACCACTTTGCCATCCACTATCCAGCAGATAGTGGTCTTTTGGATGGTTTGCATGGAGTTGCTGCTGTCCAGGGCATCACCAAGATTGAAGTCCTTGCCATCTTCCAGCAGGCGGCGGTAGGTGGCGATCTCAGCCTCTAGCTTGACCCTGATGTTCAGCAGGGCCTCGTACTCCTGGGCCTGGCACTGTCCCTCTGCCCAGGCCTGTGCCAGCTCTGACTCCAGGTGCAGCAGGATCCCGTTGAGCTGCTCCATCTGCAGGGCGTGGCAGGCCTCCACCTCCCTCAGGCTGTTCTCCAAGCTGGCCTTCAGATTTCTCATGGAGTCCAGGTTGATCTCCAAGGACTGGACTGTATGTCTCAGCTCCGTGAGCGTTATAGCAGCTCCAACCTCGACGGACTGCGTGGTGACCCCTGTGTTGCTCTCCTCAATCTGTTAAGACCAGTACTTGTCCAGCACCTATTGGTTCTTCATGCCAGCTCATCATATTGGGCCCGGATGTCTGCCATTATCTTGGTGAGGTCCTGAGATTTGGGGACATCTACCTCCACAGTCAACCCAGAGCTGGCAGTCTGGGCTTGTAGGCCTTTTACTTCCTCTTCGTGGTTCTTCTTCATGAAGAGCAGCTCCTCCTTGAGAGCCTCAATCTATCTCCAGCTGCAGCCGAGTGACATTAGTGTCATGGATTTTGTTCCCATGGATGTTGTTCTTCAGAGGCTGGCACGTGGCCAGCTCTGTCTCATACTTGACTCTAAAGTCATCAGCAGCAAGATGGGCATTGTCAGTCTGCAGAACGCATTGTCCACAATATTTGTGAAGATCTGAGCCCTCAGGTCCTCAATGGTCTTGAAATAATGGCTCCAGTCTCTGACCTGGGGTCCCTGCTTCTCCAGGTGCTCCCGGATTTTGCTCTCTAGCCTCCGGTTCTCGGTCTCCAGGCTCCTCACTCTGTCCAGGTAGGAGACCAGGTGGTTGTCAGGTTTTGCATGGTCTCCTCGGTCTGGATGCCTCCCATTCCTGCCAGAACCCCGGCCATCCCCGCAGTCAGGCCCCCGGACCTCATGCTGCCCCAGAAGCTGGTGGAGCGGGACATGGAGATTCGGCAGCCAGAGCTCCCGGCGCCTGCACAGACGCTGGCCATGCTGCTCACCAGCCAGGAGTCGTAGCTGGGTGCCTGGACAGAGCCCAGGGACCGGTAGTTGGTGTAGAAGGCGGAGTGAGTGGTGAAGCTCATGCTGTCCAGGGAGGAGGGTGAGAGGACAGAACTCAGGCTTTGCCGACCAATTTAACTTATTTTTAAGACATATGTTAATAGAAGATTTTCTCCTCTTTAGAGTCTTCCACCATGCCTCTGCAATAAGCTGGCTTGGTGATGTCTTGATATACTTTATATTTTTACCCACTACATTCATGGTTAATCCAGTAAAGGTTCACAAGCATAGGAGGGAGAAGTCTGGGGGATGAGGGTGGGAGGAAGGTCCCTTTCTCTCTAGCAGTGCTCCTCTCTACTTCTGAGATCTGTTCCCAGTGGACCTCTACTCTCTGCTTCCTGTATCTGGCAGTCATTTCCAGGAGAGCAGAGCCATCCAGGGCAGTTCCATAATTTTGTGCCCATTTCCCACTCATTTCTGACAGAACCTTTCATTTTATTGACAACACATGATTGTTTTTACTGTTCCTCCCTCCAGCTTCAACAAAGGTGGAGGGGGTGGGTCAATATTTTATATAGGTATTTACTTAGCATTAACTCTTCAAACTGTCATGTTATTTTAAACTTTAGTTTCATTTTTTAAAAATCTATGACATACCCTAATTGGAGGTGACAAAAAAAAAAAAATCATGGATAATCCAGAGGATGGAAGGCATTGGGGCTAGTGGCTCTACTCCCCAAGGTTTTGTAAGGATGGAGGTTTTAAAAAAAATGAGTCTATATCTGTGGATGGAAGGAAAAAATAATTTTAAAAAATGATAACTCTGTCCTATTCTTTCAGGGTCAAATTCCAGAAAAATCATACTTTGGAAATTCTTTTCTTTCTCTTTTCCTCCCCCCGCCGCCCCACCCCCACCCCCAACACACACACACCTTTTTTTGAGACAGGGTTTCACTCTGTTACTCAGGCTGGAATGCAGTGGCATGATCACAGCTCACTGTTGCCTCGACCTCTCTGGGCTCAGGTGATCCTCCCACCTCAGCCTCCCAAGTAGCTGGCACTACAGATGTGCACCACCACTAATTTTTGTATTGTTTTGTAGAGACAGGGGTCTCACTATGCAGCCCTAGTTGCTCTGGAACTTCTGGGCTCAAGAGACCCGTCCACCTAGGCCTCCCAAAGTGTTGGGATTATAGGAGTAATCCACAGGGCTTGTCTGTGTTAACCTTGTTTCTGTTACTTTGAGGAAGGTTGCTTTTCCAAATGTACCTACTTACAAAACATCAACATTAAAATGCAGATTGGGAAAGACCGCTGGGCGCAGTGGCTCACACCTGTAATCCCAGCACTTTAGGAGGACAGGGTGGGAGGATCGCTTGAGCCCAGAAGTTTGAGCCCAGTCTGGGCAACAAAGTAAGACCATCCCCCCTTTAAAAAAAAAAAAAAAGAAAAGGAAAGAAAAAGAAAACAAAAGTGGAAAGGGTAAGACCTAGTCACAATTATAAAGGATTCAAAGTTTGGAAGAGTGAAGCTCATGTTTTTTTGTTTTTATTTTATTTATTTATTTACTGAGACAGGACCTCACTCTGTTGCCCAGGCTAGAGTGCAGTGACATGATCAAAGCTCACTACAGCTTTGACCTCCTAGGCTCAAGTGACTCTCCCACCTCAGCCTCCCCAATAGCTGGGACTACAGGCACATGCCACCAAGCCCAGCTAATTTTTAAACATTTATTTTTTGTACAGACAGAATTTCACTACATTGCCCAGGCTGGTCTTGAACTCCTGGGCTCAAATGATCCTGCTGCTTCCACGTCCCAAAGTGCTGGGATTACAAGTTGTGAGACACTGCACCTGGCCAAGCCACCCCCGCCTTTTTTTTTTTTTTTTTTTTTTTTTTTTTTGAGATGGAGTCTTGCTCTGTCGCCCAGGCTGGAATGCAGTGGCACAATCTCAGCTCACTGCAACCTCCGCCTCCCGGGTCCAAGCAATTCTCCTGCCTCAGCCTCCCCAGTAGCTGGGACTACAGGCACACGCCACCGTGTCTGGCTAATTTTTGTATATTTAGTAGAGATGGGGTTTCCCCATGCTGGCCAGACTGGTCTTGAACTCCTGACCTTATGATCCACCTGCCTTGGCCTCCCAAAGTGCATCAGCCACTGCACCCGGCAACCAAGCCCATGTTTCAATTGTATATGTTGGTGCAATAGTAATTACGGTTTTGCCATTTTAATAGCAACGCAATTACTATTGCACCAACCTACTATAAATGCATTATTAGAAATGAATCCAGGTAAGTAAGATGAGACTACTGGAAAGTAAATGATTGAATTCCTTGTCACTCTAAGAAAAAATGTAATAGTAAGTCTGTAATTGTACACACACAGCAGAGGTCTGAATAGTAGACCCTGAGTTCACCCATGTCTAAAAGGAAATCCAATGATAAGTAAACATATCATTACATATTACTGTTTCAACACAGGCAGGCTTCCAGTGACAACTGAAGAGACAAGTGGAATTATCAGTGGCCTACCTGAGGCTACTGAAGAATGATACACCTGATGTTTAAATTAGTTCTCATTTTACTAGACTCTGTATCCTCTCTGGGGAGCATGGTTTTCATTATTTAAATTTCAGGTTCTTTAATCTTAAAATCACAATTGGCATCATTCCATTAATTTCTTCAGCAATCACCAGTAGACCACAGGAATTTAATACCTTGCCACCAAAACTTAGGCAAATTAAGTCCCCAGCTAGAAGGAGCTACACTCAATACACAGAAAGACAAATGTTAAGGTGACCAGCAAGTGTAAAAAGCAGGCAGAGAAGGGATAAGTCGTCATGCTTGTTGCCATTATGGAGAGGGTATAACCTTAAGAAGTTGCTAATCACATTTCTATTGATGGCAGGGAGGAGCACCTGACTTTATGCATGAGCTGTTCATGTAGTTAAATGACTGTTATAAAACATGACCTCTCTGTTATATGAGTACACACACTCTGAACTGGTTGTTCTCTTCATTAGAAATACAGTCACTCTGTAAATGATTTGTAATGAACACTTAGGCATACGCTGCCTGGTACATCTCCTGATAGCCCTGGCCTGGAAATTCTGCTGCTGACTCTGTTGAGAATTAGTCCTGAGACTTTGGGCAAACATAGTTTTCTCATCTTTAAAGTGAGGGAGTCTGACCCTTGCAGGTCTAAAATTATTTGTCTCTGGTCATAAACATATCTCGAACTTCAGACTCATTTTTGGTTCTTATTTCTTCTTTTTGTGTTAATCACCAAGTTCTGTTGGTCCTTCCTTCTAGGAAGGAAATTGTTTTTGAATCTCCCTGTTCTGTCTATTCTCACAGCTACACATCTGCTGTTACATCATGGTTGGACCATTATAGTAGCCTCCCAAATGGTCTCCTTGTCTCTATTTTCTCCCATCCTTATTTGTCCTGGGAAATCTCTCAATCTTTTTGAAATACCAATTTCCCTACCTCACTTTTTTGAATAAAAACTTTGGAGATAAAAAATAGAGATTGTGACTTCTTGGCCTTTTGACTAAGATCAAGTGTAAAGGATAGAGATTAAATATCTTTTGGCAGTTGAGGCTTTCCACAATCTAAATTTACCTTGTCTTCTGTTTCCTTGTGACATTACCACCTCACCTTATTCCCCACTGTGTTTCTGCCTGAACCAAGACCAACTGGACCTGTCTGCTCACTAACAAACATGTTATTTACTTTCCCTCCTTCTATTTCTCAACCCTGCAAATTCTTACTACTCCTCCTTGTTAATCAAATCCTAGCAACTTTTTTGAGACTTGGGATGTTCTACGTTTTGCCGAAAGCCTTCCCCCACCTAATCTAACTTATGCTAATTTTCTCCTTTCTCAGAGCCTCTCCTAGCATTTATGACCTCTGGTATGTATTTTGACATGTTTCCTTACTATTAAACGTTATTACTGATCTTATCATGGGTGTATGTCTGGACAAAAATAAGACCATTTTACATTTATTTTGCATCCTCTACAGCACCTGGTAGACACTGTGTGTATGTTAAGCACATAATCAGCACCCGTGGACTGAATTTGCCCACTTGTTTCCTAGTGCCTTTCAAAGACAACCTGGTTTTGCCTTTTCTTTTCCATTCAGGAGCTAATTCTATCCTCACGTGTCTGTCCTACCAATACAGCCCTCTCTCCCTAATAGAGGGTCCAGGGCCCCCATTTATCCTGTTCTCTTTGCAGCACTTTGTAGCAGATCAGCTGTGTTTCCACATTTGTTCTTTGTTTTCTTACAGTGGGCTACTTAAATAGTCCATAACTTCTGCTCCATACAGGCACGGGCTGCAGAACAAGAGGCCTGTTGGAATTGCCATAACCAAAGAGATTGTGTATATTGTGGGGGCTGGGGAGTGGGTAGAAACTCACAGAAAGCAGTATGGTGAAGGGTTTTGGTGTCTGGTATACACGCAGGCTCTGGGACAGTTTTGGAGATAGGTCTGGAAATTGGGTATATGTGACGGAGATGTATGGCCAAAGGCAATTTCATAAACAACTATAAAGTCAACAAACCCACAAATTTGCTTTTAGAGCTAAAGTTAATATTATGCAGTTCAGTCTCTCTTTTTTACACACAAGAAAACTAAGGTCCAAAGAGGTACTTGCAAATAGTAGATAATAAATATTAGCTGATTGCAAATAATCTAATCAAGTCAGTCTTTAGACAGATTCATTCTTTATGGTATTTAATGTCAGAACGAACTAGTCTTGGTTTTAGTCAGCAATTCAAGACTAAATCATACTTGTCAGCATGATAACTAAACAGGACCCATCAAGGGAATCTGGCTTTGCTGACACCTTGATTTCAGACCAGTGAACCTGACTTAGGACATCTGACCTCCAGAACTATAAGAAAATAAATGTGTGTTGTTTTAAGCCATCAAGCTTCCTGTAACTTGTTACAGCAGCCCTAGAAAATATACAGTGACCTTAGAGATTCTTCAAGTAAAGGTAAACTTCAGTAATATCTTTATCTCAATAGCACTGGAAAATCAGATAAGCCATATTAATTATGTTTTTTAATGTTATCAGATGTGGGCCACCAGCCTTAAGCCAGAGGGAGCTTTGTAAGACAGGAACATATAAAATGATAAAAGCTTCTCTACGTACAGTTTTCCTGACTCTGATTCTGCGTGGGACAACCAGTGAAAATTGCAGGTGAAGAGAAGAAATGCGTATTTATTCCTCCACTGGGAAAAAAAATACCATCCAAAGCTACATGACTTGAGGTAAATTAATTTGCTTATTTAGGCAATTATTTAAGCTCAGTTTACTCACCAATAAAATGATAACACCTACCACAAAAAATTGTTAGCACATAAAATGATTATAGATTAATTCATGTATTTTCCAGTCCTTGGAAATGCAGATTCCCTATGTGGTGTTGGTCAATGGTTAATGCCTGTTGTTCTGGCCAGGGATTTTTGATCTGCCAGCTGTGAACAGTTTGTCTTCATTCATTCATCTTTAAATTCTTACTTATTAATTGACAACTAAGTACCAGGTTCTATTCTAGGCATTGGGAATGTTTCTTTAAAAGTTTCTAAAAAAAAAAATAAAATAAAAGGTTGGATCTCTGAGATATATTATTAAGTGAACCAAAGGAAGTTCCAACACAACATGTATAGTATGATACCTTTTGTATAACATTATGTATATATCATATAGAGATATGTATATATCTGGCCAGGCATGGTGGTATGTGCCTATAATCTTAACTACCTGGGAGGCTGAGGCTGAAGGATCTTTTGAGGTCACAGGTTTAGGCCAGCCTGGACAATATTGTGAGACCTCATTTCAAAATTTAACAAAAAAAAGAAAAAAGGAAGCAATATGTATATATTTGGAAGGCTAGATATGATGCTGCTGCCTTTGGGGAAGGTAACAAAATCATTTTGGTGAAAATTGGGGAACACAGGTAGGTGGGATGGAGGCTTTCATATTTTACTTTCTGAAGTTCTCTGTTGCAATGCTTCTCAATCTATAGTGAAGAAACACATTTGGGAAACTAGTGTGGAATGATACTTCTGTAAAAATCCAATAAAGATATTAGTAAAATGATTTTTAGTTTTTTCTTTTTTTGAGACAGGGTCTTGCTTTGTCACCCAGGCTGGAGTGCCATGGCATGATCATGGCTCACAGCAGCCTTGACCTCCCGGGCTCAAGTGATCCTCCCACCTTAGCTTCCCAAGTAGCTGGGACTACAGGGTTTGCACCACTATGCCTGGGTAATTTTTAATTTATTTTGTAGAGATGGGGTCTCACTGTGTTGCCCAGACTAGTCTCAAACTCCTGAGCCTCCCAAATTGATGAGATTACAGGCCTGAGTCACCTCATCCAGCTGAAATTTTTAAAGACATTGAAAATACAAGCCTGCATTGTTTATCATTAGATTCAACAGACATCAAATTATTCTGTCAACATGCCATAAAAGTTTCTAAACGTTTACTCTCAATTCTTCACTTACCTCGTTGAAGATGGGTAATAAGTTCAGAGTCAGGTGCCAGTCCTTGGGCCACAGGCCACTTTTTGAATGGCATTAAATATATATAAATTAATATATATGTAAATTAATATATATGTAAATTAATATATATGTATAAAAATATATTAATTTATGTCCCTGCAGACATGCCCTATATTCTACCCCTAGGATTTTCAGTTACATGAATACATAACTCCTTTTTATTTATTTAATCTTAAATCCAACTTAATGGAAAGACTGATAAAAGGAATATTGTGGTACGCTAGAATGTGGAGTCTATAGATACACACACACACATATTACACTGAACATATATGACTTATAGAATTGCCATGCCTTGAAAAAGAATTTTGACTCAGTCTGGTAATAATAGAAACAGATACAATGCACAGAAGGGGTTCAGAGGATGGAGGAATTTTTTTTGACAAGGTAACAAAAAGGAGGTAATATGTGGTCTAGGTTTTAAAGACTACATTCATAAACATTGGTCAGAAGGATAAGTGTGGAAGACCATTTTAGGCAGAGGGAAAACAGGTGCCAAGATGGGGAGGTATGAGATCGCTGGGTGCATTGAGAAATACAGTGAACATCTGTGTTTCAGCCTGCCCAGTGCCCAGTCTCCCTTCCTCAGTTCTCCCTTGAGGACCTGCAACTTCTCCATTCTCAGCAAAAGTGGTTTGGGTAGGACTAACCTCTTTCCTACTTTGTGAACTAATCTGAGTCTCCCATCGCCCTTCCCTCCCACACAGCGATTGGTTCTGAATGTCTGTCATGTCCAGAACTCTTGCTGGAACACTTGCAAGGGGAGGAGAGAGAAGTGCTTGTTCTTGCTGGGATTACTGAGAGGAGGATTTAAGCACAGAGCTACTGAGTGCCATCTTGACACAAAAGAGAACCAGCTGGAGAATGGAACCAGCAGAGAAAAGAGCAGAGACCAGAGCTAGAAACAGAATCCAATCACTTAGTTTATTTCCCTGCAGCCATGCCCTGTATTCTACTGCTGGGATTTTCAGTTACACGAACACTTAACTCCTTTTTACTTATTTAATCTTAAACCCATCTTAATGGAAAGACTGACACAAGAAATACTGTGGTGTGCTAGAATGTGGTGCATACGTGTGTATACTAGGGACTAATGTGGCTGAAGAGGTGGGCGAGGGCAGGCATGTCAGGCATGTGAAGGGCTGAGGAACAGACCCTCATTTTAGGGGACTCTCAGAAACTCTGGAGGGTTTAAAGCAGTGTTTACCTCAACAAGAAAATCAAGAGCTATAAATCAGAAACTGTAATATTAAGAACATTTAGTTTTTCAAGCTTTTCTAGTAGTTCATTTCTTTTTATTGTTTGTCTCTAATAATTACAAAACTTGAAAACAGGAGAAGGAGGGCTACAGAAGTAGCTGGGGCTGGAGCAGTGACTTCAGGGACTGGAGATAGCCCTGTACAATTAAAAATAGAAAGGACCTAGCAAGTCCCTGGAAATGACATTTTTAAAATGATTCCATTTTCCTCTTAAGGATTAAGTTGTAATTTTATTTTGAGCAATGAAGTGGCTGACCCCTTTTAGTAATGTTTTCTATTTCATAATAAACATTCAACAGAAATAGAATTTCAAGAGGAAACTTTTATAAATAATGAGAATCAGCTATTCCGAAGCTCCCTACACATTTTAATTAGTTTTCTCCCAGGAACACATTCATTAACTATTTTGAACACTATAAAACAAAAGTAAACCAGCACCACATCAAGTTCCCTGCGTATAGCTGTCATGTCTGTTTAAATTCTATAGCAGTTTGTGTGTGTGTGTGTGTGTGTGTGTGTGTGTGTGTGTGTGTCTTGTGATATTTTTCACAATTCCAGGCCAACTACTTTGAAGCATGTTCCTAAATTTGGATGTGTCTGATTATTTCCTCATGATTAGATTCAGGTTAAAGATTTTTCAAGGAATACTCCATAGGTAATGTTGTATCTCCATGCTTCACATCTAGGGGCACACGATGCCCAATTTTTTGTTCAATTATTGGCTACTTTTTATCATTTGTTAAGGTGGTATCCATCAGATTTCTCCATTGTAAAAGTACCTTAACACCCTTGCAATTAATAAGTAATCCATGGGATTATTCTTCCACAGTAAATAGCATTCTAACAAATATCAGTATCAAAGAAAAATGGCCCATAATGAAATTTTGTACAGTTAGAATGACTCTAACAAATCTCTACTGAGTATTCACTAAACTATGTTATGCTAGGCACTAAGACCAAAGTGATGAACAAATAGAGTACATGGAATGCTACATGAAAGGGTAGAATGCTACAGGAGCATACAGGAGAGGAACAAAGACCATTACATGTGAAGAAATGGAAGTTCAGAGATGTGAAAGGACTCGACCAAGATTTTAGATCCAGTAGCAGAGTGAAATTAGAACGGTGGTTTTTCTGATGCCCAGTCCAGTGTTCTTTCCATGACCACACACAAGGGCTCTACTGTAATGTTGGTTCTCTGGAACAAGTATAGCATTTGTTACCACAGTGAAAACAATGATACCTTAGTACTAAAAGAACAAGCTTTCTCCAGATCTACCACAAGGTGCTTTAGAGGGAATTTCGATTTAAACTATGTGCATTGTAACATTGAAGTCACTGGAGACCTAGTCTAGTTTTGCCTCAGGGAACTGTTTCTTTATAGTGTCACTGTCACACACACATGCACATACACACGCAGGCACATGCATACAGCACATAACTGGATATTGCTTATCAGCCCCATCTTAAAAATAGCACAGAACAAGACTTTTATTTTCAGCAATCAGGAAACGTTCAGAGGTATCTACATCCTAGTCTTGAGAGTCGACTTATATTTGATACCTGATTTTTATAGTTTTCACAGCATTTTCATATACTATCACTGGACTCTCAAAAACAACACAGTTAAGGCAGGTGTGATTGGGCACAGCTGTAGTACCAGGTACTCAGGAGACTAAGGCGAGAGGATAACTTGATCCCAGGAGTTCAAGTCCAGCCTGGGCAACATAAGGAGACCTCATCTCTTAAAAAACACCTGAACTGGCCAGACGCGGTGGCTCACGCCTGTAATCCCAGCGCTTTGGGAGGCCGAGGTGGCTGGATCACCTGAGGTCAGGAGTTGGAGACCAGCGTGACCAACATGGTGAAACCCCGTTTGCGGTGTTAGCCAGGTGTGGTGCCGCATGCCTCTAATCCCAGCTACTTCAGGAGGCTGAGGCAGGAGACTCACTTGAACCCAGAAGGCGCAGGTTGCAGTGAGCCAAGATCGCGCCCATTGCACTCCAGCCTGGGTGACAAGAGCAAAACGCTGCCTCAAAAAAATACAAAAAACACAAAAAAAAACCCCACCTGAATTATTTCTTAAGGTGGGAAAGAGGGATCAGTGTAAAATGTTGGCTGGATTACTGTCTTGCCTTTAGATATAAAAATATCTAGTGTATACTTAATTTTCAGAATTACAAAATTAGGGAATGATCAAACGTATATATATATTTTATTTTTCAAAAGCCTGCGGCACCCAGTGTTTCAAGGTGGTCTCGCATTCAAGGACTAGCTAAGCAGGTCAGACCCTGCTTAGCTTCCAAGATCAGAGAAGACAGGGCAAGTTCAGGGTGGTGTGGCTGTGGACCATGTTTTTATACCTATAATTTATTTATATTCATTCACTCAATCCTGCTGTATGCAGGACGATCTCAGCTTCAAACTCAAAAGCTGGATCTGGTGGTCAGCTCTTTCAGGCACTGTTTTGTCATGGGATTTAAAGATCTCTTGTGCTTAGTTTTGGATCTGTAAACATAAATCCCAACCTGGATTCTTCCCTGGGCTGACGGAGTTCAGGGAGAAAGGTAGCAGTAGATAAGTCATATGCTGGAAAAGCTTGGACTCTACCCTGTCATGAAAACTTTCAGGAACATTTCTTATTTCTTTTTAGAGACAAGGTCTCACTATGTTGCCCAGGCTGGCCTCGAACTCCCGGGCTTCAGCAGTCCTCCCGCCTCACCCTCCGATGTAGCTAGGACTACAGGACCGCGACCCGGCGCTGCCTAAGAACTGTTTTTAAACGTGAAAGCCACGGCTATCATTTGCTTTTTGCTCTGCTCTTCATCTTCTGGATAAACCTCGTAACACACTGCTTGTTTTGGGGTAAGTGAATTTAAGTATTATTATGGCATTTCCAATTTTCACGGAAGGACTCTGGCGATATCATAATCGTCACAAGCCCTGAAACGGCCATCAGAGGTCAAGCAGGGAGGTGGGTTTTCTGGAGGGCTTAACTGTGGGGTAAGTGACTGGAGGGGGCTGATCAGTTTCCCCTTTCCCTTTTCCCGGAGCTCAGTGGTAGTCTGCTGCCTACGCCCCGTCAGACAAGTGGCCTGAGTCCCCCGCAACCCCTGCAGGTCCGGCCGCCGGCGCCAAGCCTCAAGGCATCCAAGCCAGGAACGATCGCGGTCAGCTCTGCCACGGAACATGTGCAAGACCCGGCAGCAGGTTCCGGGGGAGGCGAATTGATTTCACAACGGTCGAGAAGGAGGACCCCGCCCACTTCGTCATTTCTCGGAAGCCCAGGGACTCGCCGGAAGAGCGGCTCAAAAGCCGGAAAACTGGCAAATCCGAGTCTCCCGGCGCATGCGCGGCGCAATCGGCTTCGCGTGGTTGCAGTAGAGAGGATCCCTCCGCCAGCCACTGCATCCGGCGGCCGGATCTAACTTACCCGCTAGCGTTTTACCCTTGCGCGGCCGTGGCGTAGGGCGGTCTTTTCCCTTGGTCCTCCGCGGCGCCGCCTCTTGTGACGTAAGCCGCAGAATCCTCTGTCTTAGTTCGGCTCTATTGCCGCGAGCTTGACTCTTCCTGGGTCTGAGGAAAAGTAAAAGTAATTTTGTCATTTCCTGAAACTTCAAGTTAAACCTTTAAGCTGTTCATTTCCTAAAAGGGTGAAAACGCGGGCACCCCTCGAGCTAGTTCATCGCCTTTTAACCTGTGAGTTCTGTTAAAAGGAAGTAACTGCAAAATGTCTTCGCTGTTAGGTTTCTTTGGAAGTTTTGGGTTGTGTTCATGCGTTCTCTCGGCGTGTGAACTGGGAGAAAGTGGAGTGCCAGCCATATGAAATGACAACTGTATATGGAGGCTGGGAAGTATAATGCGCATTCTGGCTTGATGAAATTAATGAAATTTTAATTAAGTTTAATTTTCATTTGAATTACCCAGGAATAGCATCTTGAAAGGCGGGGCATAAAAAGCAGTTAAAGAGCTTCGAGAAACGGTTACTCGTTTTGTAAACTAAAGACCAAATGAAAATCCAGCTGCACTAGAAAAGAAAGAAACTTATAAGGGCCGAAGGTTTTGTCTGCAATTTACAGCTAATTAGTCTCAAAGATTTCTGTGATTTGCCCAAGAGAGGTGGAGTTGGGGCCACTGCTTTACCCAGGACACCGCCGCGGCCCGCTTGAATACTGCCGCCGTTAGGACCCGCCGTACCTGGCCGTCCAGGGCCTCTTTTCTTGTCTTCCACTCTCACTTGTCTTTTCTCCCCTTTCCATGTTTTTGGTTCCTTTCCTGAGTTTCCCTTGTCTCCACTCCCCTGCCCCTTTGCTTCCTCTATCTCTTTAACTTCTGTTTTCTTGATGGTGGAGCCAACTTTAGTTTCCCTTAAAAGGCCATAAAAGGAAATAGAATAATTTTAAAAATGTCTTTTCATAAGGCTTGTTTTCTTGTCTTAAGCCTGTTTTTTGGTGGGGGGTGAAAAAGTTCATATGCAGATAGACATAAACTTCTTTTGGTAAAAGCTGCCCTCTATTTTCTTCCATAGCTGTCCTGTGAAAGTAGGAGTGTGTGTGAATGGTGAAGCAAAGAGAGGGAGACATGGGGTCAGGAGAAGAGGGAGCACAGCGTGTGTAAGGAGTTAATTAGAACCAGAGGGCCTGGGTCTGTGGCTCATGCCTGTAATTCCAGCACTTTGGGAGGCTGAGGCGGAGGACCCTTTGCACCACTGCACTCCAGCCTGAGCAACAGAGTGAGACCCAGTCTCAGAACAAAAAAACAGAAACAGGAGAAAAACCATCCATATAAGCAGAGAGGTACTTAAAATGTTGCAAAACTAAATTCCAAATAACGTCTGTGGATTCTACAAAATCTAGGAAATACACATTTCCAATAAATCTTTGTACATTCATCTGTAATGCATTTCCTTAGGTGATTTGAGTCCTTTAGGAGTAAATCTGTATCTTTAGCTGTCCCAGAAGTAATCACAGGCGTTCATTGTCTATTCAATGACAAAGTATTGTGAACTATTCTATGAAATAATAAAATATCAGTGTTTTCAGAGTACATGGCCTTTTCAGTAGCCTTTTCAGTGTGGTGGCACGTGTTCCCAGTTCTGCCAGTGGATATTGTTATCTTTGATCTACAACTGGGAAGCTAAAACCCAGAAAGTTACTTGTCTAAGACTATACACCTCCAAGAAGGCAGAACTGTGGCTGCTATTTCCAACTTTCTAGTCTCTGAACATGTAATAAAGAACTGATTTCCAATTTACAATGAATAATAGAATTTACAATGAATAATATAATTTACTATAATATAACAACCGACCAAAGTGTGCTGTTTTATTACCAATTTCTCTCTCTCTCTCTCTCTCTCTTTCTTTTGTGACAGAGTCTCGCTCTGTTGCCCAAGCTGGGGTGCAGTGGTGAGGTCTCGGCTGACTGCAACGTCCGCCTCCCAGGTTCAAGCGATTCTAACTGCGTCAGACTCCCCAGTAGCTGTGACTACAGGCAGGCGCCACTACACCTGGCTAATTTTTGTATTTTTAGTAGAGATGGGGGCTCACCATGTTGGTCAGGCTGGTCCCAAATTCCTTGCCTCAAGTGATTTGCCCGCCTCGGCCTCCCAAAGTGTTGGGATTACAGGTGTGAGCCACTGTGCCCACCCCAATTTGCTTCTTTGGTGTTTGTAATTCTGCTTGGTCAACCGTAACTTGCAGAAATTGATTGGAACATATATTTTGATAAAGTATTTGAAGGTATTCCTGAAGTTTGATTTATGTTTCAGCTGCCTATACTGAAAGAAAATAAACTGCTGTGTATTCCATAATTTAAAAATAATTGTTCACTTTAGTGACATTTTGTAGTTGGATAGTGGAGACAAAAGATGATACTCTCTGTGATCTTCAATCTAAACATTTATGTTAGGACAAATTATTCCCATATCTGTATAATGCTATATTTCTTCCCTGACCTCTACAAATCACAGAAGCACCGTTATTCGATCTTGTTCTCTTTTTCAAAAAATTCTACCTTCCAAGGTGGTGGTTCTTTAAGTTTATAAGTGAACCATAAAGTAGTTGGAAACCTGGATCCCAGGATGGTAGAAACATGAAGCTTGTTTATTCCAAGGACAGTTTTATATATGTATAGGACTTTATTATCCTTACTATATACAGCATTTTAATGGGGAGGGGGAACCAGGAGCATTGTTGGGGGTTAATTTAATTTTTGTAGTTTTAAAATACAAACGAATGATTGTATCAGTCTTTTTTTTTTTGTATTTATTGATCATTCTTGGGTGTTTCTCAGAGAGGGGGTTGTGGCAGGGTCATAGGATAATAGTGGAGAGAAGGTCAGCAGATAAACACGTGAACAAAGGTCTCTGGTTTTCCTAGGCAGAGGTCCTTGTGGCCTTCCGCAGTGTTTGTGTCCCTGGGTACTTGAGATTAGGGAGTGGTGATGACTCTTAACGAGCATGCTGCCTTCAAGCATCTGTTTAACAAAGCACATCTTGCACCGCCCTTAATCCATTTAACCCTGAGTTGACACAGCACATGTTTCAGAGAGCACAGGGTTGGGGGTAAGGTTATAGATTAACAGTGTCCCAAGGCAGAAGAATTTTTCTTAGTACTGAACAAAATGGAGTCACCTATGTCTACTTCTTTCTACACAGACACAGTAAAAATCTCATCTCTCCTTCTTTTCCCTACATTTCCTCCTTTTCTTTTCGACAAAACCGCCATCGTCATCATGGCCCTTTCTTGATGGTCGCTGTCTCTTCAGAGCTGTTGGGTACACCTCACAGACGGGGTGGCTGGGCAAAGGTGCTCCTCACTTCCCAGACGGGGCGGCCGGACAGAGGCGCTCCTCACATCCCATACGGGGCGGCTGGGCAGAGACACTCCTCACTTCCCAGACGGGGCGGCCGGGCAGAGGCGCTCCTCACTTCCCAGACGGGGTGGCCGGGCAGAGGTGCTCCTCACTTCCCAGATGATGGGCGGCCGGGCAGAGGCGCTCCTCACCTCCCAGACGGGGCAGCAGGGCAGAGGCGCTCCTCACCTCACAGATGGGGCGGCTGGGCAGAGGTGCTCGCTTCCTAGATGGGGCGGCTGGGCAGAGGCGCTCCTCACCTCCCAGAAGAAGGGCGGCTGGGCAGAGGCGCTCCTCACATCCCAGATGATGGGTGGCCGGGCAGAGGCGCTCCTCACCTCCCAGACGGGGCGGCCAGGCAGAGGCGCTCCTCACATCCCAGATGATCGGCGGCCGGGCAGAGGCGCTCCTCACTTCCCAGATGATGGGCGGCCAGGCAGAGGTGCTCCTCACATCCCAGACGATGGGCGGCCGGGCAGAGGCGCTCCTCACTTCCCAGATGATGGGCAGCCGGGCAGAGGTGCTCCTCAGCTCCCAGATGGGGTGGCTGGGCAGAGACGCTCCTCACCTCCCAGACGAAGGGTGGCCGGGCAGAGGCACTCGCTTCCTAGATGGGGTGGCTGGGCAGAGACGCTCCTCACCTCCCAGACAAAGGGCGGCCGGGCAGAGGCGCTCGCTTCCTAGACGGGGCGGCTGGGCAGAGGCTCTCCTTACCTCCCAGACGATGGGCGGCTGGGCAGAGGCGCTCCTCACTTCCCAGATGATGGGCGGCCGGGCAGAGGTGCTCCTCAGCTCCCAGATGGGGTGGCTGGGCAGAGACGCTCCTCACCTCCCAGACGAAGGGTGGCCGGGCAGAGGCGCTCGCTTCCTAGATGGGGTGGCTGGGCAGAGACGCTCCTCACCTCCCAAAGGGCGGCCGGGCAGAGGCGCTCGCTTCCTAGACGGGGCGGCCGGGCAGAGGCGCTCCTCACCTCCCAGACGAAGGGCAGCCAGGCAGAGGTGCTCCTCACATCCCAGATGATGGGCGGCCAGGCAGAGGTGCTCCTCACCTCCCAGATGGGGAGGCCGGGCAGAGGCATTCCTCACATCCCAGATGATGGGCGGCCGGGCAGAGGCGCTCCTCACTTACGAGACGGGGCAGCCGGGCAGAAGCGCTCCTCATTTCCCAGACGGGGCAGCCGGGTAGAAGCGCTCCTCACTTCCCAGACGGGGTGTATCAGTCTTTAAAATCAGCAATAATGTTACACTGCTAGAACTTTAGAACATACAGACATGAAATAATATCCTCACCAGAAAAGTACTAACCAACTCTGTTACTGAGAAGCTTGAGAAAACATTTTAACAACATCTGCACTCAGGGATAAAATTTGAAATGAGAGTTCAAAGGACAAGATTTATTAACCTTATCTTTCTGTCTTACAATGAACACAGAAGCTCTCATAATTAAGCAATTTGAACAGAAAGATTAGCAAGGGATTGGTCTTTGTATGTTTAATTACTCTGAAGTTATAATGGAAAACCTCTCATGGGACAACATGTATTTACATGTTTGCAAATAATGCTTTGCTTTACATTATGTAGAAAATATTTTATTCCAGAGTATTGTGAACTTTCAAACATCTATTCTGTAGATGATTGAAATATTTTGGATAATTAATCTCAATTCATATTGATACAAATATCTTTGACTCTCATACTCTGTTGCAGTTACTATTGCTACATAGCAAATTGGCCCAAATTAAGCATCTTGAAACAACCATTTCTTATGTTCATGAATTTTGGGGAAATTCACATCAGACACGGAAGGAATAATCCCTGCTTCTTGTGGTGTCAGGTCTCATCTCTTAAGCCGGGCTGGCTTAAAGACTAGAATTGCTGATGGGAACACTCACACCTGGCTGCCTTATGTGATTTGGTTTCCTTACAGCTAGTGATCTCAGGGTAGTCAGACTTTTTACCAGGTGGTTCAGGGTTCCAAGCATGAGTGTTCTAGTGCACAAGGCTGGATTGCCAAGCTTCATTATCATGTCCACAGTGGTCTGTTGGTTGAAACAGTCACAAGCCTGCCCATAGTCAAGAGGTGTGGCCATAGACACTTCCTCCTCCACCTCTCCATGAAGAGTATAAAAAAAGTTAGGACCCTGTTTAAAAACTGCTACTTACTTTATCCAGCCCTCTCATAGTCATATTCAACTCTGAAGAATTTTTCTTTAGATATTTTCCCAAAGGGACTACATGTTCATAAACCCCCTACATGTGGGTGAAGGCCAATTAAACTGCCATGGGATGATTTTTCTTTCTCATGGGAAGCAGATAGAATTAACAGACTGTGGCTGCTGTTTTTAAACAAGGTATGCCAGTATCTGTATCCCTTCTGAGATGCGTTGTGTTTCTTCAGTGAGGGAGAACATGTAATTAATCCCTGTTGAAAGCCCTTTTATTTAGAAATCATGCTTGCTTTTACTCTTTATTATTTGGATATATATCTATGTCTGGAAATAGACTGAGAGGAAACTTGCCTGTTGATATCTTAATAAAAGTAATTAAAACATTCCCAGGGCCAGGACTAGGATGAGGTGAGTGAGGCACTTGCTTCAGCTGTAAAATTTAAGGCTACGCCAAAAAACTCAGTAATCCAAATAAATATTTTCATGTGATATTAAAGAAAGTTAAATCTAATGCCAAGCAATCTATAATCAAATATCAAAGTTTTAGATAAAGACAGTACATTATTTTCCAAGGGCTGCTGTAACAAAGTACCAAAAACTGGGTGGCTTAAAAGAACATACATTTCTTTTCTGTCAGTTCTGGAGGCCAGGGGCTCTCAGGAGGAAACCTCATGCCTCTCTGCTAGCTTCGGGTCATTGCCTGCAATCCCTGGTGTTTGTTGGCTTGTCTCCACTCATCTTCGCCTTCATCGTCATGAGTTCTTCCCTATGTGTCTCTGTGTCCTCTCCTTTTCTTTTGAGGACACCAGTCACTGGACTTAGGGCCCATTCTAATCCAATATGACCTCATTTTAAATAATTATATTTGCAAAGACCCTGTTTCCAAATAAGATCACATTCTGAGGCTCTGGGTGGACATGAATGTTTTGGAGGCACTATTGAACAATACAGACAGGATCAGTGTCACTGATTTTTTTTTTTTTTTGCCATAAGATCCAATATGGCTGAGCATGGTAACCTCCAATCTGCCTCAATGTCCAAAAACTTGCTCACACCTATTACAGGAGTAGATATTAAATGTGTTTTGGGCCAGGCACAGTGGCTCATGCCTGTAATTCCAGCACTTTGGGAGGCCGAAGCAGGTGGATCACCTGAGGTTGAGAGTTCGAGACCAGCCTGACCAACATGAAGAAACCCTGTCTCTACTAAAATTACAACAAAATTAGCCAGACGTGGTGGTGCATGCCTGTAATCCCAGCTACTTGGGAGGCTGAGGCAGGAGAATCTCTTGAACCCAGGAGGCTGAGGTTGCCTTGAGCTGAGATCACGCCATTGCGCTCCAGCCTGGACAACAAGAGCAAAACTCTGTCTCAAAAAAAAAAAATAATAAAATAAATGTATTTTGACTCAAAATAGACAATACATTATGAGATTTTTTTTAGTAGTTAGCATGGGCTGGCTACTGCCAGGTGAGCTGCTGTTCCATCACCTCTGGAACCAAAGACTGAGAAGTTTCACCCACTCATCTATTTCAGCTTCCACATGCCTATATGATGACTTCTAAATCTGTCTCTCCTGCCTCACTACTGTATGAATTCTAGATTCCTTTTTCCAACGGCTCCTGGACAGCCCAACTTGTTAGCCTAAAGGCATCTCAAATGTAACTTGTATTTCAATGAAGCATTTATGTCTTCTTGTCCTCTTCCCCATCTCCTTCATTGGCATATTCATCCTCCCCATCCCCTAAAACAAACCTTGAGAGTCTCTCTACTCTGGTCTCTCCCTCTTTTCCAGCATCTTATCTGGTTCCACCTCAGAGACAATTCTGGATCACCTTCCTCTGCCATGATTCTCAACCTTTTATCAGCAGGTATCATCTTGGGTATGGAGATGTTCCTATAGAATATAATGTTTATCGTAATCTGCTTGGAAAATAAGAGTTGTGACTGTGTAACAGGTTTAGATACTAAATATGTTTTGCCTCAGAAAATACAGTGAATTATACACAATTTTGTTAGCATGACTTTGACATTGTATATGGTTATATATATAAAATAGACATATACTCTATATTATATATATAAACTATATATTTTATATATTCATAAACCCTATATATTTATACACACACACACACACACACACATATATATATAAAGAGAGTGAGAGAGAGCAAGCATGAGCCTGGGCTTTCATGATTCTGCCCTCAGCCTCAGAAAGGCATTATGGGCATGCACTACCACCCTCATACTGGATGTTATGTTTTGATGCTTTAGTATTGCTAAACCTGGTCATCCAAAGCAAATTCCTTCTAGTCTTCTTTTTGCTGTAATAGAAACTCTGCTCGTCCTGAGGATGCTGCTCCCTTGTGGCCCTCTCTAGTGTAGCTGTTCACAGGCCTCCTACCCCTCGCTCTGAAGCAAAGTGGAAGTCCTCCCTTCTCCTTCTGGTCACTTCTGGACCATTTTTCCCCCCTCCACCCTACCTGCCCCAGTTTTTAGTCTCACGTTAGCAGATTGGCATGCTCTGTTCATGAACCTCCTGAGTTCTTCTCCCTGGTTTTTTGAAGATTTTTACCTTCAGGTTCACTGCCATTCTCTGAAATGACACCTGATTTCAGCATCCAAGTAGATGATCTTCCAGGAGCCACGTTTCATGGTTTCTTGACTTCTCCTTTTCCAACAATTTTGTTCTCTCTCTGTAGCAGCCACTCTACTCCATGGACCTACTTTAAACTGTGTTATCTCACATCCAAGCCATCATCTCAGTCTTTCTTTACCACTTCTAATCTTTGCAGCTCACTCTTCCTAGTTCTTTTCACCCCACATTATATTCTCACTATTCTCTTTACCTGGTTTAAATTCCATGATCAGTCATTATAATCACTCCCTTGCATAATCTCAGCACCCAACTAAACCCACCCAGCATAATATAATTGCAGAAAGACACACAACCATGCTTCCTGGGCTCACTCTAAATGACCCCAACCTTGAGTGGACTCTTAATTCTGTGTGGCAACCACATATTTCCCTGGAACATTCACCTTCTCCTAGATAACCCTTCTGATAATAAACACACTCTCCTGGATACCTAGTTTTCATTCCTTCCCTTCTTTCTTCTGACCTCTCATACTTCTCCCATCATCACTCTGTCAGTTTCCTTAAGAAAACAGAAGTGATCTGAATAGACCTCCATGGCCCTCACCAGCTGTCCACTCACCTTCTGCACCTGGGTCTACATACTCTGCCTTCCCTGATGTTTCTGTGGGTAGACTGTCCATGATCCTAGCTAAGGGCAACCCTTTCATTTGTGCCCAATGGCTCTTCTTCTTTCATTTATTCAAGGTAATTACAGCAGCAGTTGTACCCTCCTTCTGTATTATCAATTAATATCAATTGATTTTGAGATAGGGTCTCGCCCTGTCACCCAGGCTGGTCTCAAACTCCTGGCCTCATGTGATCCACCTGCCACAGACTCCCAACTCACTCAATTGATATTAATTATATATTAATCCATATCAATCAGTTAATATCATCAGTCAATGGATTGTTCATCAATACACAATCTCTACTTTGTCTAATAAAAAATCAGGCCTCTCTTTTGATCTCTCATCTCCTCTAGTTACTGCCCCATTTTTCTGTTTTTTTTTGTTTTGTTTTGTTTGTTCACAGCCAAACACCTTGCTATGATTTGGATGTGGTTTGTTTGTGCCCTCCAAACTTCATGTTGATATTTGACCCCCAGTGTTGGAGACGTAGGCCTAATGGGAGGTGCTTGGATCTTGAAGGTAGATTCCTCATGAATAGTTTAGTGCCCTTCCTTAATGGTGAGTTCTCACTCTATTAGTTTCTGGGAGAGCTGGTTGTTCACAAGAGCCTGGCATTTTCCACCCCCTGCCCCCCATCCACTACCTTGCTTCCTCTCTGGCTGCGTGATCTCTGCACACACTGGCTCCCCTTCTGCCTTCTGCTCTGAGTGGAAGCAGCTTGAGATGCAGATGTCCAGTCTTCAATTTTCCAATCACCAGAATTGTGAGCCAAATAAAATATTTTTCTTTCTTCTTTTCTTTTTTTTTTGAGACAGGGTTTCGCTCTGTCACCCAGGCTGGAGTGCAGTGGCACCATCTCAGCTCACTGCAGCCTTGACCTCCCAGGCTCAAGTGATTCTCCCACCTCAGCCTCTCTAGTAGCTGGGATTACAGGTGCGTGCCACCATACTTGGCTAATTTCTTAATTTTTTGTAGAAAAAGGGTTTTGCTGTTATCCAGGCTGGTTTCAAAACTCCTGGACTCAAGTAATTCCCCTGCCTTGGCTTCCCAAAGTGCTTGGATTGTAGGCCTGAGCCACTGCACCCAGCCAAATTTTTTTTCTTTATAAGTTATCCGACCTCAGATTTCTTTATTGCAGCACTAAATGGAATAGACACATCTCAACATTTTCCTAATTCCTCTCTTTCCATTCTTTGTTGGACCCACTCAAACCAGGTTTCACCCTTGCTGCATCACTAGACCTGCTCCTATCAAGGTCACTGTGACTGCTCTACCATTGGTTAATTCTCACACTTTACCTTTCCCAGCCTATCAGCAGCTGTGACACAGTGGCCTCTTAATTGGCTTTTCTGCCTTTACCCATGTTGCCTGAAGTCTGTTCTCAACACAGAAGCCAAAGTGATCCTTTTAACAGCTTTATCACTGGGTCAACTCATCCCATTCATCTCCTCAATAAGTTCATACTATTAATAAAAGCCAAAATTTAAATCATGTCCTAAAACCCTCTCAGTAATTCTGGAACCTTCTCTCCTGCTGTTCTCTCATAGATTTCTCCCTTCCAAGCACATTGGCTTCCCAGCTGTTGTTCCAACACACCTGGACACACTTTTCCTTAGGTCACGTCAGTAGGGAATTTCTTCTGCCTAGAAGGCTCTCCACTCATCATTATTATCTATCCTCTCCAGCCCTCCCTCCTTCCACCCCCACCACTAGAATGCAAAACCTGTAAGGCAGGGAGGTTGGCCCTTGTTCACTGCTCTCAGTGCTTCTTCACTGCTCTCACATAATCTCAGTGCTAAGAATTATGCCCATAGTAGTCCTCATACAATGTTTGTCCAATGACCGAAAGAACTCATGTTTTGTCCTCATCCTGTACCTTCCTACTTGTGTAACCTTGGCCTGGAATGCCCTTTCTCCCATCTGGAAAGTATTCATTCCTTCAGACTTACTTTTTGGTGAAAAGTCTTTTTCTTTTTCTTCTTCCTTTTCTATTACCCATGCTGGTGATTTAAATACACTTAACCACAATTACCTTTATTATCCCTAAGAAATTTAAGATTCAAGATGGCCAACTAGATGCAGCCAGGAAGAACATCTGTCACTGAGGGACCGGGACATCAGGAAGACTGGTGCACATTTAACAGATCTTTGGAGGAAAGGCATTAAGAGTGGACAGAGGGAGGACACAGATACTGGGCTGAAGGGAGAGGAAGCTGGGAACACTGCATGGGGCTACTGCACACTAGGACTTATTCCTGGCCCCCAGTGACTCTTGGGGAAGGGATGAGTTGAATGGGCAAGGAGTGACCCACCCTTACCATGGACCTCTGGAATCCTGGCAGCCAAAGACCCCATGACCCCCATGGACACTTAAGCTGGCAAGGATAACCGTTTAGAGAGGTAGTAGGGGCAGGACTCCAGCCTGCAAGGAGCCCAGGGGGTTTGGTGCAGGAGTGTCTGAAGTGGAGCATGACCAGGGATGCCCATCTCTCAAGGCTCACCATGCTCCCCTAGGAGAGTTTAGCCTTACAGAAACTATCGGACCTGAACAGAGCAGGACAGTCTTGCCTGTGAGATGTGAGCAGTCTTATCTGAGTGCCCCACTGTCTGCTAGCCTCTTCTTGGCCTGTCCAAGTCTGCTTGCAGTGCAGCCTCAGATGCCCAACTAGGGTGCGTTTTGTGAATCCATATCATAGATCCTTTGTTGTCATACCATCAGAGAGCTCCAAAAGAGCAGCCTGTGCCGACGTGCACCAACCCACCCACACCCTCCCCTGACTGCAGCCTCCTTCGCGTCACTTTGCCTGCGCTCATTTGCCCACGTCCACTCCACACTGCTTAGCCAGCATGGTGCCTGCCCTCCTTCTCTGACATGGGTGTGCACATGTACCCCACCATGCCACTGTTGCCGACATAAGTGCATGGAGGCCAGTGGCCTTGTCCCCCACGCATTGCTGCTGCTGCCAGTAAAAACACACACATGGAGCCGATAGCGCTGTCCCCATCAGTGCCTTGTCCCTGTGCACACACCACCACCAGTGTGAATGTGTACAAAAAGGCGACTGCCCCCAAGCCTACCAGTACCCCACCTAAGCTGCTGAGCATGGACCCGCCTTGCTGCCACTGTTGTTGGCATATGCGAACAAGCATAGATCCTGCTACAACTGCCCCAAAGAAGCACTTTTGCTGGCATCACCCATTGGAGTATTGTTGCTAGTGGTCCTAACCTCCAGCAGCCAGAGGACAAAGCCAGGGGCCCGATACCAGCCCCCTAGAGTTATAGCATGCAGCCCAGAAGTGCTGAGCTGATCCTTGGTCTCCTAAAATCTTCCAGAAATGAAGACAGTCAACTTAACCCACCTTATATAACAATCAAACGCCCAAGGGCATCAAAGAAGATAAAAGCAAAAAAAAATTAAAACTCATCCAAAGGACAGCAACTTCAAAGATTGAAGGAACGTCAGCCTATGCAAATGAGAAAGAACCAGCACAGGAACTGTGGCAACTCAAAAAGCCATAGTGTCTTCTTACCTCCAGATGACCACACTAGTTCCCCAGCAGTGGTTCTTAAGCAGGCTGAAACAGCTGAAGTGACAGAATTAGAATTCAGAATATGGATAGACATAAAGATAATTAAGATTCAGGAGAAAGTTGAAACTCAATCCAAGGATTCAATGGCATATGATAAAATTATGCAGGTGATAAAATACAAAACGGCTATTTTAAGGAAGAACCATACTGATCTGATGGAGCTGAAAAAGTCACCTAAATAATTCCAGAATATAATTACAGTATTAACAGAGAATTGACAAACTTGAGGAAAGATCTCAGAGCTTAAGACTTGTTCTTCGAAATATCTCAGATAAAAATGAAGAAAAAAATTAAACAATAATGAACAAAACTTCTGAGAAATATGGGATCATATAAAGAGAAGAAATCTGTGACTCATTGGCATCTCTGAAAGAGAGAGAGAAAGGAAGCAAGTTGTAAAACATCTTCCAGGATATATCCATGGAACTTTTCCCAACTTTGCTAGAGGAGCCAACATTCAAACTCAGGAAGTGCAGAGAACCCCTGTGAGATACTGCACAAGACAACCATCCCCAAGACACATAGTCCTCAGGTTCTCCAAGGTTGAAATGAATGAAAAAGTGTTAAAGGACCTAGAGAGGAGGGGCAGGTCACCTACAAAGGGAACCCCATCAGGCTAACAGCAGACCTTTCAGCAGAAACCCTATAAGCCAGAAGAGATTGGGGGTCTGTATTCAGCATTCTAAAAAAAATTCCAGCTAAAAACTTCATATCAGCCAAACTAAGATTAAGATAACTAAGATAAGCCAGGGAGAAATAATATCCTTTTCAGACAAGCAAACATTAAGGATGTTTGTTACCACCAGACTTGCCTTATAAGAGGTCCTTAAGGGAGTGCTACATATGGAAAGAAGAGACCATTACTGGCCATTAGAAAAAGACACTTAAGTACACAGATCATTGACACTATAAAGCAACCACACAAACAAGTCTGCAAAATAACCACCTAACAACATGATGACAGGATCAAATCTGCATATATGAATATTAATCTTGAATGTACATGGGCTAAATGCCTCAATCAAAAGGCACAGAGTGGCAAGTTGGATAAAGAAGCAAGACCCAATGGTATGCTGTCTTCAAGAGACTCATGTCACATGCAATGACACCTATAGGCTCAAAGTAAAGGGATGGAGAAAAATTTAGCAAGCAAATGGAAAACAGAAAAAAGCAAGGGTTGCTATTCTAATTTCAGACAAAACAGACTTTAAACCAATGAAGATTTTTTTAAAAAGGGCATTACATAATAATAAAAGGGTCAATTCAACAAGAAGACCTAACTATCCTAAATATATATGCACCCAACACAGGAACACCCAGATTCATAAAGCAAGTTCTTAGAGATCTATGAAGAGACTTAGATAACCACACAATAATAGTTGGAAACTCCAACACCCCACTGACAGTATTAGTTCAGTGGGGAAGAAAACTAACAAAGATATTGAGGACCCGAACTTTACACTTGACCAAATGGACCTAGTAGATATCTACACAACTCACCACCTCAAAACAACAGAGTATGCATTCTTCTCATCTGCATATGGCACATACTCTAACATTGACCATACAATTGGCCAAGAAACCATCTTCAGCAAATTCACAAAATCCAAAATTTGGATCACAGCACTCTTGGATCACAGTGCAATAAAAACAGAAATCAATACTAAGAAAATCACAGGCAGGTGCACTAGCTCATGCCTATAATCCCAGCACTTTGGGAGGCTGAGGCGGGAGGATCGCTTAAACCCAGGAATTCACAACTAACCTGGACAGCATATTGAGACCTCATCTCTAAAAAAAGAAAGAAAGAACAAAAGAAGGAAGGAAGGAAAGAAAGAAAGAAAAGAAAGAAAGGACGGAAGGAAGGAAAGAAAGAAAGGAAAGAAAGAAAATAAATCACTCAAAAAAAAACTATATGATTACATGGAAATTAAACAATGTGCTCCTGAATGACTTGGGTGAACAATGAAATTAAGGCAGAAATCAAGAAATTCTTTGAAATGAATGAGAGAGAAGATACAACATACCAGAATGTCAGGGATGCAGCTAAAGCAGTGTTAAGTGGGAAGTTTATAATGCTAAATGCCCACATCAAAGTTAGAGAGATCTCAAATTAACAACCTACCATCACACCTTGAGGAACTAGAGAAAGAAGAGCAAACCAACCCTAAAGCTAGCAGAAGACAAGAAATAACCAAAATCAGAGCTGAAATGAAGGAAATCAAAATGCAAAAAATAAAGTAAAAACAAACAATGAGTCCAGGAGTTGGTTTTTTGAAATAATAAATAAGATAGACTGCTATCTAGACTAATAAAAAAAGGGAGATCCAAATAAACACAATCAGAAATGACAAAGGAGATGTTACCACCAACCCCACAGAAATAGAAAAAACCCTCGGGGACTACTTCAAACATCTCTGTGCACACAAAGCAGAAAGCTTAGAAGAAATGGATAAATTGATGGAAAAACACAACCTCCCAAAATTAAAGAAATTGAATCCCTGAACAGACCAATAATGAGTTCTGAAATTGAATCAGTAATAAAAAGCCTACCAAAAAGAAAAGCCCAGGACTAGATATAGATTCACAGCTGAATTCTACCAGATGTATAAAGAAGAGCGGATATCATTCCTATTGAAACCATTCCAAAAAATTGAGGAGGGTCTTCTCTCTAACTCACTCTATAAGGCTAGCATTATCCTGATACTAAAACAAAGCAAAGACACAAGAAGAAAAGAAAACTTCAGGCCAACATCCTTGATGAGCATAGATGCCAAAATCCTCAACAAAATACAGCAGACTGAATCTAGAAGCACATCAAAAAGCTGTGAAGTTGCAAAGTTGGCTCAGCATATGCAAATCAATAAGCATGATTCATCACATTGTGAAAGGAAAATAAATCTCAGGGCCCCAAAATCACTAAGCCAAAGGGAAGAGTCAAGCTGGGAAGGGCGTAGGGAAAACCTGCCTCCTATTCTATTCCTAAATAAGATAGCTACAAAGATAAAAAAGCTGCAAATCTCCCTCAAAATTTGCCCACAGGGAAATTCCTTGTAGACAAAGGGCAGGCAGAACTCAAAGTCATCCTTCTGCTCTTGTGAGATAAATGCATATCTGATTGCTTCATTTGCCCTATTATTTCACTAAGCCAGACTAAGGCATAAGTGACTATTACTGTAAATTGTGCATTCAGTGAAAGGCTAATCAGAAACTCAAAAGAATGCAAACAGTTGTCTCTTATCTACCTATGACCTGGAAATCCCCTCCGTGCTTTGAGTTGTCTTGCCTTTCTAGCCTGAACAAATGTACATTTTACATAAATTGATTGATGTCTCATATCTCCCTAAAATGTATAAACCGAGGCTGTGCCCTGACAACCTTGGGGACATGTGGTCAGGACCTCTGGAGGCTGTGTCAGGGGCAAGTCCTTTACCTTGGCAAGATAAACTTACTTTCTTTCTTTTTTTTTTATTATTTAAGTTCTAGGGTACGTGTGCACAAAGTGCAGGTCTGTTACATATGTATACATGTGCCATACTGGTGTTCTGCACCCATTAACTCTTCATTTACATTAGGTATATCTCCTAATGCTGTCCCTCCCCCCTCCGCCCACCCCACGACAGGCACCAGTGTGTGATGTTCCCCTTCCTGTGTCCAAGTGTTCTCATTGTTCAATTCCCACCAATGAGTGAGAACATGTAGTGTTTGGTTTTCTGTCCTTGTGATAGTTTGCTAAGAATGATGATTTCCAGCTTCATCCATGACTCTACAAAGGACATGAACTCATCCTTTTTTATGGCTGCATAGTATTCCATGGTGTAATGTGCCACATTTTCTTAATCCAGTCTATCATTGATGGACATTTGGGTTGGTTCCAAGTCTTTGCTATTGTGAATAGTGCCGCCATAAACATACGTGTGCACGTGTCTTTATAGCAGCATGATTTATAATCCTTTGGGTATATACCCAGTAATGGGATGGCTGGGTCAAATGGTATTTCTAGTTCTAGATCCTTGAGGAATCGCCACACTGTCTTCCACAATGGTTGAACTAGTTTACACTCCCACCAAAAGTGTAAAAGTGTTCCTGTTTCTCCAATATCCTCTCCAGCACCTGTTGTTTCCTGACGTTTTAAGGATCACCATTCTAACTGGTATGAGATGGTATCTCATTGTGGTTTTGATTTGTGTTTCTCTGATGGCCAGTGATGATGAGCATTTTTCCATGTGTCTGTTGGCTGCATAAATGTCTTCTTTTGAGAAGTGTCTGTTCATATCCTTCGCCCACTTTTTGATTTTGATGGGGTTTTCTTCTTGTAAATTTGTTTGAGTTCTTTGTAGATTCTGGATATTAGCCCTTTGTCAGATGGGTAGATTTCAAAAATTTTCTCCCATTCTATAGGTTGCCTGTTCACTCTGATGGTAGTTTCTTTTGCTGTGCAGAAGCTCTTTAGTTTAATTAGATCCTATTGGTCAGTTTTGGCTTTTGTTGCCATTGCTTTTGGTGTTGTAGACATGAAGTCCATGCCCTTGCCTATGTCCTGAATGGTACTGCCTAGGTTTTCTTCTAGGGTTTTTATGGTTTTAGGTCTAACATTTAAGTCTTTAATCCATCTTGAATTAATTTTTGTATAAGGTGTAAGGAAGGGATCCAGTTTCAGCTTTCTACATATAGTTAGCCAGTTTTCCAAGCACCATTTATTAAATAAGGAATCCTTTCCCCATTTCTTGTTTTTGTCAAGTTTGCAAAGATCAGATGGTTATAGATGTGTGGTATCATATCTGAGGGCTCTGTTCTGTTCCATTGGTCTATATCTCTTTTTTGGTACCAGTACCATGCTGTTTTGGTTGCTGTAGCCTTGTAGTATAGTTTGAAGTCAGGTAGCGTGATGCCTCCAGCTTTGTTCTTTTGGCTTAGGATTGTCTTGGCAATGCAGGCTCTTTTTTGGTTCCATATGAAATTTAAAGTAGTTTTTTCCAATTCTGTGAAGAAAGTCATTGGTAGCTTGATGGGGATGGCATTGAATCTATAAATTACCTTGGGCAGTATGGCCATTTTCACGATATTGATTCTTCCTATCCATGAGCATGGAATGTTCTTCCATTTGTTTGTGTCCTCTTTTATTTCGTTGAGCAGTGGTTTGTAGTTTTCCCTGAAGAGGTCCTTCACATCCCGTGTAAGTTGGATTCCTAGGTATTTTATTCTCTTTGAAACAATTGTGAATGGGAGTTCACTCATGATTTGGCTCTCTGTTTGTCTGTTATTGGTGTATAGGAATGCCTGTGATTTTTGCACATTGATATTGTATCCTGAGACTTTGCTGAAGTTGCTTATCAGCTTAAGGAGATTTTGGGCTGAGACGATGGGGTTTTCTAAATATACAATCATGTCATCTGCAAACAGGGACAATTTGACTTCCCCTTTTCCTAATTGAATACCCTTTATTTCTTTCTCCTGCCTGATTGCCCTGGCCAGAACTTCCAACACTATGTTGAATAGGAGTGGTGAGAGAGGGCATCCCTATCTTGTGGAAGTTTTCAAAGGGAATGTTTCCAGTTTTTGCCCATTCAGTATGATATTGGCTGTGGGTTTGTCATAAATAGCTCTTATTATTTTGAGATACGTCCCATCAATACCTAATTTATTGAGAGTTTTTAGCATGAAGCGTTGTTGAATTTCGTCGAAGGCCTTTTCTGCATCTATTGAGATAATAATGTGTTTTTTGTCTTTGGTTCTGTTTATATGATGGATTACATTTATTGATTTGCGTATGTTGAACCAGCTTTGCATCCCAGGGATGAAGCCCACTTGATCACTGTGGATAAGCTTCTTGATGTGCTGCTGCATTCGGTTTGCCAGTATTTTATCAAGGATTTCTGCATCAATGTTCATCAGGGATATTGGTCTAAAATTCTCTTTTTTTGTTGTGTCTCTGCCAGGCTTTGGTATCAGGATGATGCTGGCCTCATCAAATGAGTTAGGGAGGATTCCCTCTTTTTCTGTCAATTGGGATAGTTTCAGAAGGAATGGTAAAAGCTCTTCCTTGTACATCTGGTAGAATTTGGCTGTGAGTCTGTCTGGTCCTGGACTTTTTTTGGTTGGTAGGCTATTAATTATTGCCTCAATTTCACAGCCTGTTATTGGTCTATTCAGAGATTCAACTTCTTCCTGGTTTAGTCTTGGGAGGGTGTATGTGTCCAGGAATTTATCCATTTCTTCTAGATTTTCTAGTTTATTTGTGTAGAGGTGTTTATAGTATTCTCTGATGGTAGTTTGTATTTCTGTGGGATCGGTGGTGATAACCCCTTTATCATTTTTTATTGCATCTCTTTGATTCTTCTCTCTTTTCTTCTTTATTAGATCAATTTTGTTGATCTTTTCAAAAAACCAGCTCCTGGATTCATTGATTTTTTGAAGGGTTTTTTGTGTCTCTGTCTCCTTCAGTTCTGCTCTGATCTTAGTTATTTCTTGCCTTCTGCTAGCTTTTGAATGTGTTTGCTCTTGCTTCTCTAGTTCTTTTAATTGTGATGTTACGGCATCAATTTTAGATCTTTCCTGCTTTCTCTTGTGGGCATTAAGTGCTATAAATTTTCCTCTACACACTGCTTTAAATGTGTCCCAGAGATTCTGGTATGTTGTGTCTTTGTTCTCATTGGTTTCAAATAACATCTTTATTTCTGCCTTCATTTCGTTATGTACCCAGTAGTCATTCAGGAGCAGGTTGTTCAGTTTCCATGTAGATGAGCAGTTTTGAGTGAGTTTCTTAATCCTGAGTTCTAGTTTGATTGCACTGTGGTCTGAGAGACAGTTTGTTTTGGCAAAATAAACTTTCTAACTTGATTGAGACTTGTCTCAGATACCTTTTGATTTACAGCAGAAGCAGAATTGAAAACAAAAACCACATAATCATCTCAATAGATGAAGAAGTCTTTCAGTAAAGTTCAACATGCCTTCATGTTAAAAACCCTCAAAAAATTAGGCATGGAAGAAGCATATCTCAAAATAATAAGAGCCATCTTTAACAAACCCCAAGTCAAGATTGTACTGAATGGGCAAAAGCTGGAAGCATTCCCCTTGAGAAACAGAACAAGACAAGGGTGTCCTCTCTCACCACTCCTATTCGATATAGTATTTAAAGTTCTAGCAGAGCAATCAGGCAAGAGAAAGAAATAAAAGGCATCCAGAGAGGAAGTCAAACTATCCCTGTTTGAAGATGACATGATTCTATACCTAGAAAACCCCATAGTCTCTGCCCAAAAGCTCCTAGATCTGATAAACAACTTCAGCAAAGTTTCTGGATACAAAATTAACATACAAAAATCAGTAACATTCCAATACACCAACAACATCCAAGCTGAGAGCCAAATCAAGAACACAACTCCATTCACAATTGCCGCAAAAAGCATGAAATACCTAGGAATACAGCTAATCAGAGAGATGAAAGATCTCTACAGTGAGAATTACAGAACACTGCTCAACAAAATCAGAGATAAACAAGTAGAAAAACATTCCATGCTCATAGTAGGAAGAATTGATATTGTTAAATTGCCATACTGCCCAAAGAAATTTACAGGTTCAATGCTATTCCTATCAAATTACCAATGATAGTCTTCACAGAATTAGAAAAAAAGATTTTAAAATTCATTTGGAATCAAAAAAGAGCCTGCATAGCCCAAGCAAGCCTAAGCAAAAAGAACAAAGCTGGAAGCATCACATTACCTGTCTCCAAACTTTACTACAAGGCTACAGTAAACAAAATAGCATGATGCTGGTACAAAAACAGACACATAGACCAGTGGAACATAATAGAGAGCTCAGAAATAAGGCCGCACATCTACAACCATCTGATCTTTGATAAAACTGACAAAAACAAGCAATGGAGAAAAGACTCCCTATTCAATAAATGGTGCTTGGATAACTGGCTAGCCATATGCGGAAAATTCAAACTGAACCCCTTTCTTACATCATATACAAAAATAAACTGAACATAGATTAAAGACTTAAATATGAAACCTAAAAATATAAAAACCCTGGAAGATAACCTGGGAAATACCATCCTGGACATAGGACCTGGCAAAGATTTCACAATGAAGACACCAAAGGCAATTGTAACAAAAACAAAAATTGACAAATGAAACTAGTTAAGCTAAAGAGCTTCTGCAGAGCAAAAGAAATTATCAATAGACTAAGCAGTTAACCTTCAGAATGAGAGAAAATATTTGCAAACTATGTATTTGACAAAGGTCTAATATCCAGAATCTATAAGGACTTAAACAAATTAGCAAGCAAAAACCAAACAACCTGATCAAAAAGTGGGCAAAGAACCTGAACAGACACTTTTCGAAAGAAGACATACACATGGCCAACAAGCATATGAAAAAATGCTCAATATTACTAGTGATTAGAAAAATGCAAATCAAAACCACAATAAGATACCATCTCACACCAGTTAGAATACACCATGGGATACTATGCAGCCATAAAAAGCAATGAGATCAAGTCCTTTGCAGGGAAATGGATGGAGCTGGAAGCCATTATCCTCAGCAAACCAATACAGTAACAGAAAACCAAACACCACATGTTCTGACTCATAAGTGACAGCTGAACAATAAGAACACATGGACACAGGGAGGGGAACAACACAAACTAGGACCTGTCAGAGTGGGGATGGGGTCAAGGAGAGCATGAGGAAAAATAGCTAATGCATGTGGGGCTTAATACTTAGGTGATGGATTGATAGGTACAGGAAACCACCATGGCACATGTTTACCTCTGTAATAAACTTGCATATCCTGGACATGTACCCCAGAAATTACTATAAAATTAAAAAAAGAAAATTCCAAAAAAAAAGTAAAAAAAAAAAAGTCAAAAAATAACAGATACTGGCATGGTTTCAGAGAAAAGGGGACACATATACACTGCTTGCTGGTGGGAATGCAAATTAGTTCAGCCATTGTGGAAAGCAGTGTGGTGATTTCTCAAAGAACTCAAAACAATTACTATTCGACCCAGCAATCCCATTATTGGGTATATATACCCAAAGTAATATAAATTACTGTACTATAAAGACACATGCACATGAATGTTCACCACAGCACTATTCACAATAGCAAAGACATGGAATCAACCTATATGCTCATCAACAGTAGACTGAATAAAGAAAATGTTCATGTACACCATGGGATAATACACGGCCATAAAAAAGAATGAGATCATGTTCTTTGCAGCAACGTGGATGGAGCAAGAGGCCATTAGCCTAAGGAACAGAAAATCAAATACTGTATGTTCACACTTGTAAGTGGGAACTAAACATTGAATACACATGGATACAAAGAAGGGAACAAGAGACACTGGGGTCTACTTGATGGGGGAGGGTGGGAGGAGAGTGAGGATCAAAAAACTACCTACTGAGTACATGTAATTTACCTATATAACAAACCTGCATATGTACCACTCAACCTAAAATAAAAGTTAAAAAAATTAACATAAAATATTTTCTAGTGAATATTCCCTAT
The DNA here is from genome assembly GCF_000001405.40 of Homo sapiens. NCBI lineage: Eukaryota > Metazoa > Chordata > Mammalia > Primates > Hominidae > Homo > Homo sapiens. The sequence goes on from NC_000003.12 coordinate 157,197,087, forward strand.
TCAAATTTCCTCAACTGTCACAGTAATGCCTTTGTAGTTAATTTTTTTTTTTTTTGAGGTGGAATTTCACTCTGTCTCCCAGGCCAGAGTGCAGTGGTGGGATCTCAGCTCGCTGCAACCTCCACTTCCCTAGATCAAGTGATTTTCCTGCTCCAGCCTCCCAAGTAGCTGGGATTACAGGTGCCCACCAGTACGCCCAGTTAATTTTTTTGTATTTTTAGTAGAGATGGGGTTTCACCATCAGATGGCCAGCCTGATCTTGAACTCCTGAACTCAAGTGATCTGCCTGTCTCAGCCTCCCAAAGTGCTGGGATTATGGATGTGAGCCACCGCGCCTGCCCTAAAAATTTTTAATCCAAGATTTAATCAAGGATTATACATTATCTTATTTTTGAAATTTGCTTTGTTTTCCATGTATCTATCACTAATTCATGCCCATCATTTCCAAGGGAAGAGTAAACTCCTTTCTCAGCAAGGTCAAATAAATGAGAAATCTATCAGTTCTGTTTGTTTTTCTTGGAGATGCCGCTCCCAAAAGTCTTCTTTGTATTATATGCCCACTGCACAGTTTCCTCTGGACACTTGGCGTCACACATCATCTCCCTCCTAGATTAGAGTCCATGTGAACTGGATCCCAGGTCTTTCTCTGTCTTGATTTGTTGTTCTTTTGTTTTGGTAAAAAAACATCCTTCAGTAGCTTCTTGCAGGAGGGTGCATTGGAGGTAAATTTTTTGAGAACGTGCATGCCTCAAAATATGCTACCCTCACATTCAGCTGGGAGTTTATTTGGGTATAGAATTCTAGGTGTAAATGTAACTTACTCTTAACATTTTGCAGGTACTGTTCTGTTGACTTCTAGTTCAGTGTGGATTAGACATCCAATACATTCTTTTTTTTTTTTTTTTTTTGAGACAAAGTCTCACTCTGTTGCCCAGGCTGGAGGGCAGTAGCACGATCTTGGTTCACTGCAACCTCTGCCTCCTGGGTTCAAGCGATTCTCCTGCCTCAGCCTCCCGAGTGGCTGGGATTACAGGCATGTGCCACTGCACCCAGTTAATTTTTGTATTTTTAGTAGAGACAAGGTTTCACCATGTTGGCCAGGCTGGTCTCGAACTCCTGACCACAGGTGATCTGCCTGCCTCTGCCTCCCAAAGTGCTGGGATTACAGACATGAGCCACCATGCCCGGCCCCAGTACATTCTTATTACTTGTTTCATGTCTATAACCTTTCCCTCTTCCCTCTGAAGGTTTTTAGGATTATGTATCCCTCATGTTCTAAAATTGTGCAGTGGTATGCCTTCGGTCATTTTTTTTAATTTTAATTCAGGAAGCTGGGTACTAGGTTGATGCTTTCAATTTGGAAACTTATTTCTTTCAGTTTGGGGGAAATATTTTTGTATTATTAAAGAAATAATGTTCTTGTATTATTTCTTTAATAATACAAGAACATTTGATTTATTCTCATTTATTTTTCCAGATCCTCTTTAGTCTAATGTTGAGGATCCTGGATTTACCTCCTAAATATTTCCATCATTTTTCTATTTTCTCCTTCTGCTTTTTTTGAGACTTTCTGAAACTTTTCTTCTAACCATATTTTTTTTTTTTTTTTTTTTTTTTTTTTTTTTTTTTTTTTTTTTTTTTTTTAGACACTGTCTAACTCTGTGGCCTGGCCCAGGCTGGAGTGCAGTGGTGCAATCTCAGCTCACTGCAACCTCTGCCTTCTGGGCTCAGGTGATCCTCCCACCTCAGCCTCCCAAGTAGTTGGGACTACAGACGTGTGCCACCACATCTGGCTAATTTTTGTCTTTTTTGTAGAAACTGTATTTTGCCATGTTGCCCAGTCTGGTCTCAAACTCCTGGGCTTGAGCAATCTACCTGCCTTGGCCTCCCAAACTGTTGGGATTATAGGTATAAACCACCATACCCAGCTGTCTTCTAATCTTTCTACTGAAGTTTTCATTCTTGTTATATTTTTAATTTCCAAGAGTTCCTTCTCATTCTCTGTTTCTTTTGTTTTTTTTTTTTTTTTTTTTTTTAAAAAAAGCCTGGGCGTGGTGGCTCACACCTGTAATCCCAGCACTTTGGGAGGCCAAGGCGGGTGGATCATAAGGTCAGGAGTTCCAGACTAGCCTGGCCAATATGGTGAAACCCCATCTCTACTAAAAATACAAAAATTAGCCAGGCGTGGTGGTGCGTGCCTGTAGTCCCAGCTACTTGGAAGGCTGAGCCAGAAGAATCACTTGAACCCGTGAGGCGGAGGTTGTAGTGAGCCGAGATTGCACCACTGAACTCCAGCCTGGGCGACAGAGTGAGACTCCGTCTCAAAAAAGCAAAACAAAATGAAACAAAACAAAATGAAACAAAACAAAACAAAACAAACAAACAACAACAAAAACCTGGGCACAGTGGCACATGCCTGTAGTCCAAGCTACTCAGGAGGCTCAGAAGATCTCTTGAGCCTAGGAATTCAAGGCCAGGCTGGGAAACATAGCAAGACCTTGTCTCTAAAACAACAAAAACAACAACAAACCCTTCCTGATAGCACCTTTTTAATGTTTCATGGGTCCAACAGCTTTTCTTCTTTTTCAGAGGATACTAATTGCAGTTTCTTTGAAATTTTCTTCTTTTGTCTCTGGTTCCTCTAAGTTCCCCCATCCACATTTTTTTGCCTTGGTATATGCCTCTTATACCAAGAGGCTTTCCTATATAGGAAAGTTGGAGGCTTTCCTATATAGGAAAGTTGGAGGCTTTCCTATATAGGAAAGTTGGAGGCTTTCCTATATAGGAAAGTTGGAGGCTTTCCTATATAGGAAAGTTGGAGGCTTTCCTATAATGTCGTTGATCTTTGGTTGTCTGTTTATATTTAAGACTGAGGATGGAAAGCTGATTGTGGTGGGAAGTGGGAAAGCCTGGTGAATAGTAAGCTTCCCTGGAGGATTAGCAAGCAAGGAGCGAGCCAATTTCTGGCAGCCTTGCCAAATGTTAGTGTCATAGTAGGATCTTTTCATCGCCAGTTTTGTAGGGAGCAGATTTCTGGGAAATGAAGGGGAAAAAGGCTGGGAGGTCTTGCAGGCCAGTATGCAGATTACCCCAATTTTTATTCTCTTTTCAGTTCACCCTGGCTCCTACTTTTCCAGGCACCTGGAAGAACTTTTGATGTCTGACTCCCAGGGTTCTGAGGTGAGGTAGGCTGGCTTCTTGCTGGTCTCCCCTCTGTTGTTGTGTGGGTTTCAGTGTTTTCCTAGTCAGTCCCACTCAGCCAGTGGCTGCCAACCTCCTGAAACTGTGATCTGGTCTGCTGTTGTTTTCTTCTTCCACTCTTTTTTTTTTTTTTTGAGACAGAGTCTTGCTCTGTTGCCAGGCTGGAGTGCAGTGGCATGATCTCGGCTCATTGCAACCTCCACCTCCCGGGTTCAAGTGATTCTCCTGCCTCAGTCTCCCAAGTAGCTGGGAGTACAGGCGTGTGCCACCACGCCCAGCTAATTTTTTGCATTTTTAGTAGAGGCAGGGTTTCACTGTGTTAGCCAGGATGGTCTCGATCTCCTGACCTCGTGATCCACCCGCCTCGGCCTCCAAAGTGCTGGGATTACAGGCATGAGCCACCGCGCCCGGCTCTTCTTCCACTCTTTATTTCTGTGTGGATTTATAACTTTTACTTTCCTCTTCTATCTTTTGAGAGAGCGTTGGAATGGAGTGGAGACAAAAGCTCATGTTCAGTTTTCCATCTTATTAGGTAATCAATTTGTTATTATGCTTTTCAGGTAATCACTTCATGGTTTTTCTTTAAAAGAGGACTTCTTCAATGACATGTATAATTAAATACATCATAGTTTATTTTATCATGGGAATAAATGCTTGACTAGTTAAAGGATACTTAGCATATATTAGGGTTGCCTAGTGGACAAGCTGAATTCAGCACCATAGGCTTTGACCAAAAGAAAGCCCCCTGAAACCTACAAAAAGAGTTAGAAAGCATCACTTACTATATTCTTGGTGTCTCTGCAAAATCTCGCCAAATAGAAGAGTATCTCTTCTACTATATGGAAAGAACACACATGCACATTTATTTTGTGGTTTACTTTAGTATCTATTTCATTTCATCTTCATGGCTACCTTAAAATCTTACAGTTGAAATTTAACATGTTTTACCGTTAATTTCCTTGTGGGAAATGAAAAACAATAACTGACTGGACTGTTCTCCCTTCTTTATAGCAGTTTTTTAACAAATTATTATTCAGTGGGGATTAGATTTGATTCTGTTCGCCTCTGGGATGTTGTACTAGTCCACGGCTGGTCTTTCCTAGGAATTAATTGAAAAGGAAATGGTAGATATGATTAGATTGCTGGACCCAGTAAAAAGGTAGACGCTGAGAGGTACCCGTGGCCAACTGAGACAAGCTGCCCATGAATTATGCTGCTCTGTGCTTATTAAGACTTCATGTTGCACAGAAATGGATTGAAAAGATGTAAGTTATCCAGTCTCTCAATATTACCCTCAATAATTTACTTCCAAAAAGAAAAAAACTGATCTGAAGATTTCAGGCAAGAATTTAAAATTGCTAATCTCATTTCATAACTCCAAAAGGATTTTATGTCTGTCACTGTAAAACCTGCTGTGGATATTCCTAAGTCTCAATTCAGCCAACTTCCGAGAATTCCCACAGCATGAAAATACATGAATCGCCAGTGCTTGGGCTAAATGCAAACCAATTAAGCTTTTAAATAGCTGAAGTGTGAGCTAAAGCCTGCTACATAATTTAAATGCCATCTAGTGGCCAAATGTCATCTTTAGTCCTCATTCAAAACAGTTTTGGTGCCTTCTGGTATTTATCTTAGGGTGATATACCAAATAGTTTTGAGTCAATCATATGATAGCCACTTCTGCTTTCAGAGTGAAACGAAATTGGAATATGATAAAAAATGTTTAACAGCTTGAAATGTGCGTAAGTCCCAGCTTTTATTCCAGGGTCATCTGCTTATATGGCTATAAAACAGAGTTGTTGCTTGGTTTGACTAGTATGCCATCAAATAGTACCCGTAAGCTGGGCACAGTGGCTCACACCTGTAATCCCAGTACTTTGGGAGGCCGAGGCAGGTGGATCACTTGAAGCCAGGAGCTCAAGACCATCCTAACCAACATGGTGAAATCCCATATCTACTAAAAATACAAAAAATTACCAGGCATGGTGGTGCATGCCTGTAGTCCCAGCTCCTCGGGGAGGTTGAGGTGGGAGAATCACTTAAAGCCAGGAGGCAGAGTTTGCAGTGAGCCGACATTGCACCACGGCACTCCAACCTGGGTGACAGAGCGAGACCTTGTCTCAAAACCAACCAACCAACCAACCAAACAAAAAACCCAAATAGCACCCATAGTTATAATTTACTATTTTGCCATTGAAAAATTAAAGCATATATGTAATGTTAGGAAGCTAATATAGGACCGTATTTTAATCATTGATAGACAGAGGATTTAAAGGATCAGGCTTCAGTCTTAGCAAATGAAGTAGCTGTGAGAGAGACATATCATTTGTCCATAAGTAAGTGCCATGCACAAGCACATTAGTATGATTATAATAATAGTGGCCTTGAGAGCAGCAGCCAACATAGATTAAATGCTTATATGCCAGGTACTGTTCTGCATGCTCTGCTTGTATTAATTCATTTGATCTTCACAATAACCTAATGAGGTAGGTATTGTGGTTGCACCCATTTTATAGGCAAATTGGGGCACAGAGTGGTTAAATTTCATGCCCACTAGAGAGAGGCCGAATAGGAATTGGAGCATTTGGAGTATCCTTTGGTCTTTTAGCTGGTTTGGATTTTGGGTAGTGCTTTGGTGGAAGGATCCTCAGAGAATCATGAAAGACCCTTTAATATAACAAGGACACAGTCAGCACTTGATCATCCTATGATCTAGGCAGAGTCTAGATCTAGGCAATGCTCTAGGAAGAGTCTGGGAATGTTGGCTCAAGGATGAGGCTGTGCAAACAAGGCTCTCTCTGGGTCCCTGGCAAGAACAGCTTTGGTTAGACCTACCTGCTCTTTTGGCTCTGTGGGGGTAAATCATCTCTGGAGAATTGAGAGTGGATTTTGCTTTTGTATAATTGTGGTCTGGGGTTATTTGTAACGTCTTTCTCTCTCTGTTTAGATCATAGAGTTGATTGATTTGAGTGCAACCAAACTAGCTGTGGTCATTCAATAAATAAGACACCATTAAGCATTTTTCTTCTTACTGGTCACAGATATGGTTCTATTCTTTCACTTTGGACATGTGATCATATAAAGCCTTAAGGATAAGAAATTAGGTTACTACCTCACATAGGGATTTGTTGATTGTATTGTATTGCATTATTGTATTGTATTTATTTATTTATTTTGAGACAGAGTTTCACTCTGTTGCCCACGCTGGAGTGCAGTGGGGCAATCATGGCTCACTGCAGCCTTGACGTCCCAGACTCAAGCGATCCTCCCACCTCAGCCTCCCAAGTAGCTGGGACTGCAGGCATGTGCCACCACACCTGTCTAGTTTTTTTAAAAAAAATTTTTGTAGAGGGGTCTTGCCATGTTGCCTAGGCTGGTCTCGAAGTCCTGGTCTCAAGTGATCCTCCCACCTTGCCCTCCCAAAGTGCTGGGATTATAGGCATCAGCCACTGCACCCTGCCTGCTTTATTAATTTTAGTGAGCCTCACATACAGTTTTCAAAGTCAATAACCATGGGTTTATTATCCTCAATTTACAGATAAGAAAACTAGGATGAAAGAGATTACGTGGTTTGCCCAAATTCACATGATATATGGCTATAGAAGTAAGACTAGAACCTAGGCATTTCATTGAATATGCTAAACACACATATACACACTCATTTTTCTAGGTATATAGTATTAATATGTGCATATGTATAAATGACAATGACAATTGAGTATTTAAACATTTCAAGATGTGAACATGAAAATTATGCTAATTCTATTTTTTTAAAAATAGAGACTGAGTTTCACTCAGTTGCCCAGGGTGGAATGCAGTGGTGTGATCATAGAGTTGTAACCTTCAACTCCTGGGCTCAAATGATCCTCCCACCTCAGCCTCCACGTAGTCTCCTCAGTAGCCAGGACTACACGTGCATGCTACCGTGCCCTACTAATTTTTTAAATTTTTTGTAGAGATGGACCTTTAATTTCAGTTTTGTCATCTATTCTGTACTTTCTCAGTTACTATTAAAAGATCTTCAATAGGACAGATAATCAAATCATCTATATAACATAAATAATTTAAATGTTTTACTGACTAAAAGACAGAATCTAGGTAATCTTTCAAGGCTTACTCTAGATTTCTAGTTTTATTAGTTTTTAATTTAAGAAATTTATTAAGGATTTCTTTTCATAAGATGATATACCTTTACAGCAGTTTAACAAGCTTATCATGCTTCATACAATTTATCCAGAAGGAGGCAGCATTTTACTATTAAATTGATGCTTCCGCAAAGGTTCTAAATTGTTTTGTTTTGTTTTTTAAAGATGTAAACTATCTAAATACACACACCCTAAATCCTTTCAGGGCAAAGATTCCTGACTATCACTAGAGCTTTGCATATTGCCACAACTGTGAAATCCAAATTCCACTCAGATTAAATGCATCTAAAATTACAAATAGCATAGATAGTAGCAAAATTCATTGGCAGAAACCATTTTTGCAATAAAGATATTGATCAAAATAATTTAGAGTTGAACAGAAGATGGAGTAGAAGGGAAAATGAATGATTCAGTTGTTGCTAACTTGTAGAAAATAAGTATTTGGTTAATAAGAGATCAACTTGTTGAAAAAAATTTGATTCACTCAGAAACAAGGATAATGAATTAGTTTTAATCATCTAGCTAAATTCATAAATGGGACTTGCTGTTTCTTTTGATGTTTTTATTGAATCATAGGATCTTTAGAAAGAAACTTGAAATTTCCTGTGGCATATTTCAGTGATTGCTGGTCAGAACTCATTTCATCTATCACGGAAAATGAGAGTCTATCTGCTTTCAGAGGATTAGGAAGAAGGGAATTCCACCATGATAAGGGAAATTAAGTTATGAGAATAACAGGATGGCAGAGGGGCCTTTTTCTGTTGCCCTGTATTTGACACAGAGCCCAGAGCTAAAAACAGTAACTGGGGTCTGGTGCTTTCTCCAGAGTATTCCTAAGGGGCTAAAGAACTATACACCAGTCCCCACCCACCTCCTCTGTCCCTTAACACCCTGTCCTTGGGGAGTAAGTAGGGTGGAGTGATTTCCCCCCTGCCATCACTAAGGGGCTGCTTCCCACTCCCATTTCCAAGTGAAGAAAGAGACTGTCCCCATCGTGACCTCTACTTAGGCATAAGATTTGCTAGGCTATTCATTCTACTAGAGCAGAGGAGATGCAAGCTAGGAGAGATGGGTGATCAGAGAGAAGAGGCTACAGTGGAACAGTCAGCTTGCCTGTCCATTATGTGGCATGGCCAGGGTGCAAGAAATTCCTTAGGGCAAGAGGACATATGGAAGGCAGGTGCCTTCGAGCCAACTTGCTGTAACAACATCCTCCCTTCCCAGGGCTATGCACCATGACTTGGAGTGTATTACTGGGGATACTTGAGGGAGTGGATGGGAAAGACCCAGCCATAGCTCAGTCTTCCATATGGGGGTGTGCAGTGGGAAGACACCCCCAGGGCCCTCTGACTGGCTCTCACATGTGCTCCAAAAGGTGGACTTGAGAGGCCGGCACTCACACTCAGGGTTTTCTGGAGAAGCAGAGCGGCGGGCAGAGTGAGGGCCACAGCTGATCCTGTTGGGTGGAAAGACCCTGTCCCTTTCCTTCCCACTCTTCCTGACTAAAATACTCGAGCAGGGCATAGGAGAGGGAGGAGGAGGGGTATCTCAGAGCCCGCACTCCCCCTCACCCATCTTACTTCAAACAGCCGGGGTCCTGACTCAAGCGTTCTTTGGAGTGGGAGGAGATGGAATTTAAATGGAGTTTGAAATTGAAGTTTTAGTTGGTTTTTTAATAACCAAAAATGAATAGAAAGTGATGCAATTTTGGCCAGGGGCAGTGGCTCATGTCTGTAATCCCAGCATTTTGGGAGGCCAAGGCAAGAGTGTTGCTTGAGTTCAGGAGTCCAAGACCAGGCTGGACAACATGGCGAAATCCCGTCTCTACAAAAAATACAAAAATTAGCCAGAAGTGGTGGTGCACACCTGTGTTCCCAGCTACTTGGGAGGCTGAGGTGGGAGAATCACTTGAATCCCTGAGGTTGACAGTGCAGTGAGCTGTGTTCATGCCACTGCACTTCAGCCTGGGTTACAGAGCAGGAGACCCTGTCTCAAAAAAAAAAAAAAAAGATGCAATCTGTCTAGGATGCCATGGAGAGATGGGAAAGGGAAGTATGGAATTTGGATAAAGGGTTAGGAAAAAGTTGAAAGATTTCATATTTATGATCCAGTAAGTAGAGCTAAATTGGCTATATAAGTATGTAATGGTAATGCTATTTAAACACTAATATAATTTTTATTTTTCCTAATTCCTGTTCCTCCTCCACCCTTCATCATTAAGGCTTATTTAACAGGGAAAGAAAGGACAGTATCAAAGAAGTTCTGAGGGAAATCAAGATGATCAGTGTTCCTTAACCAACAGAAAGAGAAAATAGATAACCGTTTTAGTTTTTAGGAAGCTGTGTGTGTATGTGTGTATGTGTGTGTGGTGTGGGTGGGTGGGAAGGACAGACATTACACACACACACACACACACACACACACACACACACACACACATACTCTCACACTTTGTAACTCTGTACCCAGGACAGGGAGAGGAAGGAGAGTGTAGGGGAAGAGACAGGGAATATGTGGTCAAATAATTGGATCCTGATTTTCTCCTCATACCTACTTGGCCAAAGGAGAAACAGAGTTTTAAAAAAAGGTCTTTTGGTGGGGGCTATATTCCCAGAGCGAGGAGGTTTGTGTCTAGTTTCCCTAGATACAGGCTAGGAAAATTTCAGGCCTTCCAGGAGAATCAAAATATCTAACACGGAACCCCACAGGCAGTGAATTAGACATGGCTGCAGATGGCATCTAAGCAGAGAGAGGGTCAAATATAGAGCCCCAATATCACGAATCATCAGATAAATGCAAGACAAAACCATGGTGAGATATCTTCTCACATGAGTCAGAATAGCTATAACTTGAAAGTCCAAAAATTACAGATGTTGGCAAGGTTGCAGAGAAAAGGGAACACTTATACACTGTTGGTGGAAGTATAAATTAGTTCAGACCCTATGGAAAGCAGTTGGGAGATTTCTCAAAGAACTGAAAACAGAATTGCCATTTGACCCAGCTATGCCATTGCTGGGTATATATATACCTAAAGAAAAATAAATGGTCCTACCAAAATGACACCTGCATTCATATGTTTATCATAGCACTATTTACAATAGCAAAGACATGGAATCAATCCATGTGCTCATCAATGGCGGATTAAATTAAAAAATGGGTGCTGTGTGTCCAGGCTGTAAAAAAAAAAAATAAAGACAAAAATAAAAATTAAAAATTTGGTACATATACACCATGGAATACTATGCAGCCATTAAAAGAATGAAATCATGTCCTTTGCAGCAACATGGATGTAGCTGGAGGCCATTATTCTAAGAGAATTAACACAGGAACAGAAAACCAAATATTCTCACTTATAAGTGGAAGCTAAACACTGGGTACACAAGGACACAAAGATGGGAACAGTAAACACTGGGGATCCCAGAATGGGAGAGGAAAGAAGTGGGACAAGAGTTGAAAAGCTACCTATCAGGTACTATGTTCACCACGTCAGTGACAGGATCATTAGAAGTCCACACCTTAGCATCATGCAGTATTCCCATGTAACAAACCTGCACATGTACCCCCTGCATCTAAAATAATTTTTTTTTGAAAAGAGAAACTTTTGGAAGTCTTGGTTATATTCTCTGTCTTTACTGTGGTGGTGATTTCATGGGTATATACATATGTCAAAACTTTTCAAATAGCACATTTGAAATATATGCAGTTTATGGTATGTCAGTTATAATTCATAAATCTAGGGGTTTTATCCCCTGAAAGGAATAAACTTCTGATACATACAATAAGATGACTGCATCTCAAAATGCTAAATGAAAAAAGAGCAAGACACAAAAGGCTACAAATGATATGGTTCTACTTATATATTATTCTGGAAAAGCCAATGTTACACAACACTACAGAAATCAGATCAGTGGTTGCCTGGGGAGTGGTGGCAGGTGCTGACTGCAAAAGGGCACAGGGAATTTGAGGGGTGGGAGATGCAGAAATGTTCTATATTTTCATTGTGGTAATGGTTACACAACTACATACATTTGTCAAGACTCATTAAAACATGCGTGAAAAGGGATTTTACTGAATGTATATTATATCTCAATAACCCTGACAAAAGTAAAAAACAAACAGCCCAAATAGAGAGCCCCAAGAATGCCTTGGCTTTTGCTTTTGTGATGCGGAAGGATCCAGAAATTCTTACATTCTGCTGTGGGATTGAAACCAGAGGCCTCCAACCAGGGATCTGGGAGCAACATGTGGGTAAGACACCCTCTGCCCCGCAAGCTCCCGCAAGCTCCCTGGTGCAAGCCTGCCAGGGGCTGTTGGAGGAAGAGGTGGAAGTAGAGCCAGAGGATTTGCAGAGCCAGCCTGAATGAAGGCGGGGCCAGTTAACAGGGGCAAGGACCTGTGAGACCCTTGCTTTACCCAAAAAGCTGACCACAGATGTCACTGGCAGGGTGTTACCAGGGAATATGTCTGAAGAGGCCAGCCCTGGGGTCAACTGTCTCCCTCAGCTGCCCCCGGAGACATGTAATCTCTGTTCTACACTCAGGTCCCTATTTTGTGAAGGAGCAGGGAGGAATGGGAGAAACAAATCTCCGAGGGCATTTGAACTTTGAACTGACTGCATATTGATCTGAAAAAGACTGTTTAAAGCGAGGTAACTGATTGACTCTTTTTTTTTTTTTTTTTTAGACGGAATCTTTCTCTGTTCACCCAGGCTGGAGTACAGTGGCATGATCTCGGTTCACTGCAGCCTCCACCTCCCAAGTTTGAGTGATTCTCCTGCCTCAGCCTCCCAAGTAGCTGGGATTACAGGCCGAGTAGCTGGGATTACAGGCGTGCACTACCACGCCTGGCTAATTTTTTGTAGAGACGTGTTTTGCCTTGTCCCGGATGGTCTCGAACTCCTGGCTTCAAGTGATCCTCCGACCTCAGTCTCCCAAAGTGCTAGGATTACAGGCTTGAACCACCACACCTGGCCGTTGACTCTTTTTTTTGAGACGGAGTCTCACTTTGTCACCCAGGCTGGAGTGTGGTGGCATGATTTTGGCTAACTGCAACTTCTGCCTCCTGGGTTGAAGCGATTCTCCCGCCTCAGGCTTCCAAGTAGCTGGGATTACAGGAGTGGTCTTGAACTCTTGACCTCAGGTGATCCACCCTCCTTGACCTCCCAAAGTGCTGGGATTACAGGCATGAGCCATTGCCCCTGGCTGGCCACTGACACTTAACCAGCAAATTCATACCTTTCCTATCCCACTCCATCCTGCCACCTCTAAAAGTGGGAATGGAGCTTTTGAGGAAGTTTATATCATTTATAGAAAGGCACAATGCTGGCTGGGCGTGGTGGCTCATACCTGTAATCCCAGCACTTTGGGAGGCCAAGGCAGGCAGATCATGAGGTCACGAGTTTGAGACCAGCCTCACCAACATGGTGAAACTCTGTCTCTACCAAAAATGCAAAAATTAGCTGGGTGTGGTGGCATGCACCTGTAATCCCAGCTACTTGGGAGGCTGAGGTAGGAGAATCGCTTGAACTTGGGAGGCAGAGGTTGCAGTGAGCCGAGATCACTCCATTGCACTCCAGCTTGGGCAACAGAGCAAGACTCTGTATCAAAAAAAAAAAAAAAAAAAAAAAAAAAAAAAAAAAGGCACAATGCTGCCATCTTTTTGGTGCATATAAACTGCAGCATGTCATTAAACAAATCCTGCTATGAGTATTTTCAGGCGTCCTTCTCCCCACAGTGCCTGTGTGGGTAGAGGGTGAGACTTGGGTTGTGGGGAGGAGGCTACAAGAGAGAGAAAGAGAATTTGAGGGAGATGAAGAGGGAGAGAGGGATTGACTTGGAGAGGGGAATGAGAGGAGGAAACACAAGGAGGGACTCAGAGCCTACTAGAGTAAAGGAGTTTGCCGGGAGGACTGAGCTTTTGGGGAAAGGAGAGGAATTGGAGAGGATTCTAAGGAAGCCTTGCTCTGTGATGTGTCCTGTGATCCCCTGCTGATCTCATCGAGACACCTTCTGTGAAGAAATGTGTTCAATTCCACTCCCTGGAGTCTGCTCTCCTGTTTCCATTCTGAGGCTTCAGTGTGCTAGGATTGGCTTTGGGGCCCGGGCACCTTGGGGTCACGCACTTTTCATACAGCGGTCACCCAGGCGAGAGCTGAACAGATTCCCCTTATTGTGGAGACTGTCTTTTGTCTATGCCTTTATGTTGAAATATATGGCGTCCTATCCTGTTTTGTCCCATTGGAGAGCTGTCTGTCCCTGATCTGCATAACAGCCATATTAAATGGAAGTTTACTATGAAATCGGCTTCCAGGCTTTCTTAGGTGGAATAGCTGCAGTTTCTTTATTCTTTTGCACAAGTTGCTGTAGGCTTTCCTTCTTTGAGTTCTTTAATCATCTTTAAGCTTCCTGGGATTTGCCAGGTATGTTTTCAGCTAATTAGCCTAGAGTAGGATTAGCAAACATCCCAAACAGTGCTTGGCTCATGTGTTTATGAGTCATGCTGTATCTCTTTTAACTACTTTACATTTATTTCTTCAAACTATTTGTTTAATTAAATAAAATGTCAAATTTTAGTTATAATGGGCTCAATGATTTCACCTGTCTGCTAAGTTATTTGGGCTTCTTCAGACTTGGATCTCACTGCCTTTTGTAACAACATTGGCTTTCGTATGACATAGAGGACATTGGTATCATATATATATGTATATATATGTGTATATATATGTGTATGTATGTATATATATGTGTATATATGTATATATGTGTATATATGTATATATGTGTATATATGTATATATGTGTATATATGTATATATGTGTATATATGTGTGTGTATATATATATATATTTTTTTTTTCTTGAGACAGGATCTCACTCTGTTGCCCAGGATGGAGTGCAGTGGTGCAATCATAGCTCGCTGCAGTCTCGAACTCCTGGGTTCCAGAGATCCTCCCAAAGTACTGGGATGATAAACTTGAGCCATGGCATCTGGCCCTTATGATTTTTTTTTTTGATAGTCTATTTTCAAGGTAAAACACTTAGTGAATATTTAGAAGTTTAGATTGTTAAAAAAATTAGTGTGTGTTTACTTAAAACGAGAGAACTTTAAGTCTATCATAAATGTCTATTTTGGTTGATTATGGGTCTAGTGAGGCATAACACACAAAAATGTTGAACATTCCATTTAACCATGTGGGAAAACTGGGAATTCTGAAGGATTAAATTTTGGTAGAAGACAATGGGAAAATTCCATATAACTAAGAGGAGATGAGAAGAAGTATATAAGCTTATAATTTTCTGGAAAAAAAGTAAAAAGGACTTTTTTTTTTTTTTAAATTCTGGGTAGAAAGGTAGGGGAAACAGTTTCAGAATTTCTAAAATATATTGCTTTTATGCCTTGAATTTTATGGTCCACTTTAAGGCTTGAAAATAGTATTTACAAAAACTGATTTGATTATTTATACCAAGGGCATCTTTCATAATCAAAGGCTACCTGGAGATAAACTCTATGATATTTGACAATAGTATAAAACACTTCAATACTCATGATCTCAGGCACAACCTGTAGATGTATTTAAAGGGATTTCTTGATGCTATATTGATTTTTTTTGGACAAATAAAAGCTATTTTGACACATCAAGTACATTAATTTATTTTGACCAAAAGGATAGAAAGTAAAGCCATGCCTAAGAATGTGTTAGAAGTACAAAATATTATAAAAATTTGAGCTAATTATTTAGATAATTCAAATATTAAAGTTTGAATTATTCATTAGAGGTAAAGTGAATTTCTGTTGAATCCTTTATTGAATTGACTTTGTTCTCTTAATGGAGAATTAGCCTCAAAACTAGGAAGTGATAAGTAGCCGGGGGCGGTGGCTCACGCCTGTAATCCCAGCACTTTGGGAGGCCAAGGTGGGTGGATCACAAGGTCAGGAGTTCGAGACCAGCCTAGCCAATATGGTGAAACCCCGTCTCTACTAAAAATACAAAAATTAGCCGAGTGCCGTAGTGTGTGCCTGTAGTCTCAGCTACTCGGGAGGCTGAGGCAGAAGAATCGCTTGAACCTGGGAGTGGAGGTTGCAGTGAGCCGAGATCGTGCCACTGCACTCCAGCCTGGGCGACAGAGCAAGACTCCGTCTCAAAAAAAAAAAAACCTAGGAAGTGATAAGATTGGAAATAATGTGCTTGGTTTTTTTTTTTTTTTTTTTTTTTTTTGGGTTGGGTGTATCATTTTATTTATTTTTGTTTTTATTCTTATTTTTATTTTTATTCTTATTTTTTTTTGAGACAGAGTTTCTTTCTTGTTGCCCAGCTAGAGTGCAATGGCACAATCTCTGCTCACCGCAACCTCCACCTCCCAGGTTCAAGCGATTCTCCTGCCTCAGCCTCCCGAGTAGCTGGGATACAGACATATGCCACCACACCCAGCTAATTTTGTATTTTTAGTAGAGACGGGGTTTCTCCATGTTGGTCAGGCTGGTCTTGAACTCCCGACCTCAGGTGATCTGCCTGCCTCGGCCTCCCAACATGCTGGGATTACAGGCGTGAGCCACCATGCTCAGCAGTGTGCGTCATTTTAGTAGCAAATTATTTATTTGATGCTTAGGTACCTAGCCATTAGAAAATGTGTTCATTCCCGCTTTGTTTAGTTTAATATTTTGGACTTTTGCCTTATTTTCTTTCATTACTTCTTTTGTTTTCATCAGTTTTCTTGTTTAAAATGGAAACAGAATGCTCTAGAATAAGCTTAGTTCTCAAGTTTGTCCACTTATTTTCTGACTGTCAGTGATCTCATTAATCATAATATAATCCTTGGTAAGCGAGGACTAGAGATATGCATTGTGAAAGAAAACAAAAAGAGGAGGGCACAGAAGGAAGATGGGGTGGATTCAGTCTCCACTGCCACTGTGGTTATATCAGACTCAGAAAGTAAACATGCCTGTGCTCAGATCACGCACATCTAGTGGCATACATTTGTCAACACCCAACACCACAAAATCATTAAAAATCAAATCAAAAAGGATAAATTATCATTCTGAACAATATGACACAGGTACAGTTTAGTCCTCTTCCTTCTTCTGATATCTAGTTGTGTCTTTCCATCACTGTAGGCAGACCGAAGTGACATCACATTTGAGGTGCAATCAATATAATTAATCACCTTGGAGGTGAGACATATTGGTTCTCAAGAACTGGGTCTGACGTCAAAGGAGAGCAATCTTGCAAGTGCAGAAGAAAGGAGTATCAAACAGTGCACCTATCTTGGGGACCTCGACCTTCCAATAAATCACATCATAGCACACCTACCATGACAATATTTCACATTTTCAAAACAATTTTGGTGTAAGTATCTTGTGCATTTTTTTAAATTTTTTTTGAGACAGAGTCTTCTCCATCACACAGACTGGAGTGCAATGGCATGATCTTGCCTCACTGCAACTTCCAACTCCCGGGTTCTGGTGATTCTTCTGCTCAGCCTCCCAAGTAGCTGGGATTACAGGTGCCCACCACCATGCCCGGCTGATTTTTGTATTTTTAGTAGAGACGGGGTTTCACCATGTTGGTCAGGCTGGTTTCGAACTCCTGACCTCGTGATCCACCCACCTTGGCCTCCCAAAGTGCTGGGATTACAGGCATGAGCAATCGTGTCCGACCATCTTGGGTATTTTTAAAGAAATAGCACTGCTATTATAACTTTGTTTTCATGTAAGTGGAAATAGTGGATTTCCATGGGATGAAAGCAACGGGGCAATGCCTCTAGCATTGTTTAGTGCTAGATGAGGCTGGTAGTTGGTAAGAAGTATAAAAATCAAGGAGAGACCGGGCGCAGTGGCTCACGCCTGTAATCCCAGCACTTTGGGAGGCCGAGGCGGGCAGATCACGAGGTCAGGAGATCGAGACTATCCTGGCTAACACGGGGAAACCCCGTCTCTACTAAAAAATACAAAAAATCAGCCGGGCGTGGTGGCGTGCGCCTGTAGTCCTAGCTACTCGGGAGGCTGAGGCAGGAGGATGGTGTGAACCCGGGAGGCGGAGCTTGCAGTGAGCCCAGATGGCGCCACTGCACTCCAGCCTAGGCAACAGCAAGACTCCGTCTCAAAAAAAAAAAAAAAAAAAAAAAAAAAAAAAGGAGAGAAGGAGAGATGACTTTAGCCAAAATAAGTCTGGAAATGTGATTTTAGCCAGTCTTCACTTTATTTCATCTGTGGTTCGTCTGTGGGTCACATTTCCCTTCCTAACAACCCCAAATTCTTATATCTCTTTAAACCTGATCTTATGAATGTTGTAGAACCAAATTTGTGAATTTCAGACAGGCTACTGCCTTTTCCAGAGATATTTACAGTTTAAGCCTTTTTTTAAAAAAAAAAAAAAACAAAAGAAAGATAAGCTTTATCAGTAAATGGAATTTCAAAGTCAAAAGAGGCTGAGCAAGAGCCTTTTTATTTGGAAGCAGAGGGTTCTTTCTAGTACAGTCTTCTTTGCTTCATCTGTAAGTTTGAAAGTCTTTTGTCTTTATTTATATTTTTAAATAAGTTAGGTACAAAAGTTCAGAGAAAGTCCCACTTGATTTGGTGGAAATTCATCAATTAACTTTCAGGTGGTCATGCTATTAAAACAGTCTTCTGGGTATATCCTGACATAAGCCAAGACGTTTTCACTGGACCACTTTTTTTTTTTTTTTTTTTTTTTTTTTTAATTTTTGAGATGGAGTCTCACTCTGTTGCCCAGGCTGGAGTGCAGTGGTGCGATCTTGGCTCATTGCAGCCTCCGCCTCCCTAGTTCCGGTGATTCTCCTGTCTCAGCCTCCTGAGTAACTGGGACTACAGGTGTGTACCACCATGCACAGCTAATTTTTCTATTTTTAGTAGAGATGGGGTTTCACTGTGTTGGCCAGGCTGGTCTCGAACTCCTGACCTCAAGTGTTCCTCCCACCTAGGCCTCCCAAGGTGCTGGGATTACAGACATAAGCCAAGCCACCCAGCCATTTTTTTTTTTTTTTTTTTTAAGACAGGGTCTCACCATGTTGCTCTGGCTGAACTTGAACTCCTGGGCTCAAAGTGATCTTCCCATCTCAGCCTCCCAAGTAGCTGGGACTACACGCTTGTGCCACTGTGCCTAGCTCAATAGCATGTGTGTTAACTGAGTTAGTAACACAGTTCCTTTCTACCACCTCCACCTTAAGAGTATTGGGAGAGACTTTTAATTAAAGAAAAAAGTAGCAAATTTGAAAAATAGAATGTACTAAACATTCTGGTTTTTAAAGAATGACTATTATGTCTGTGAAACATCACCTATATTTTGTTTGATAAAATAAAAAAAGAAATGCTTGGTTGAAGGCAATAGCAGGTTCATGTTTTTATGATTGCATATCTCACAATAAAAAAGTAAACTCATTAAGTTTGTTACAAGGATTTGGCAGTTTTTATGTGATTTACTCTTATTAACAAGGACAAATATATTGAATTACCATTTTATATCAAATCTATATCCTATAGGATTTAAAATGAACCAGTCTGGTTGACACATGAGTATGATGCAGAAAATCACTAATGAGAATAAAACAGGATTCCAAGTATATCAGATGTCCCTATTTGTGTATGTTATATATTAAAACATGAATTTGTGTTTCATAAGTGTAAGGCTTTGACTTGGTTTTAAGAATCTGATATTTTAATGACCTATCCAGATCCTTTCAAAAGAAGTCATTCCTTGACTATTTCAAAGACTTTACTTCTCTATTTCTGCTAGCCTTGGAAATATTCACTGTTGATTTTTTTCCTTTGGTCACAACCTTCCACCTCCTGCTTTTATCAAGCCCTTCAAAATGGTTCTTTTCATTCTGCCTTGACATTTCTCCATGCGCCCTGTGGCGGCCCACTCCAGCCTGTTGTCTCCCACTGCTCACTTAGGGGCTTTAGCTGGAACTGTGTCTGGGCTAGACCTGGTCCTCAAGAATATGTATTTAGAAAGGTGAACAGCTTTAATCTCATTGTGCTGTCCTTCCCTCTGTTACTTCCCTGCTCTTCCAGTCTGTTGGCTTTTAATTTCTTTTTTCTTTTTTGAGAGAGAGTCTAGCTCTGTTGCCCAGGCTAGAGTGCAGTGGCACAATCATAGCTCACTGCACCCTCAACCTCCTAGGCTCAAGTGATCCTCCCACCTCAAGCTCCTGAGTAGCTGAGACTAGAGGTGCATGCCACCATGTCCAGCTAATTAAGTTTTATTTATTTATTTATTTATTTATTATTATTATTATTATTATTATTTTTTTTTTTTATAGAGACAGGATCTCTATGTTGCCCAAGCTGGTCTCAAATTTCTGTGCTCAAGCGATCCTCCCACCTTGGCTTCCCAAAGTGCTGGGATTACAGGTGTGAGCCACCATGCCTGGCCACCTTTCATTTCTGACTTCTTTATTTTTTAGCTGCATGTTTGGGAAAGAGAGAACATAGGGAAGGCCTACCATACACTTGACCACCTTTGCTCAGAAGTGACCCACATCACCTCATCCATGTTCTGGTGGCCAAGAAGGAGGCAGGAAAATGTAGAGGTGCAGATAAATATTGATAAGCATTGACAGTTTCTTTGATGTCAGTCTTGTAGAATTATTTTGAGAATTAAATATGACAGCATTTTAAAAATATTTAGTTCAGTGTGTGGTAGATAATTAGATCAATAATTATTAAATTGCTTAGTATTCCAGTTCAATAAAAGTTGTTTTTCTCTTAAAAAAGGGTTGATGAATTAGCATTCTACTATATGTTGATATATTTCCGTGAGTTTGGTTAGTGCAAGCCAAAGTCAGAGAGGTTGTTCCATACTCAGAGTATTCATAAAACCGTATTTCTGGGTCTGCAAGAACAGTGACTTAGAAACCATCCTGTGGAGTCACATCTTGGGGACATTTCAGTCAGCTCCCAGGTGAAATTACATGGTCAAAATGATGTTTTTCTTCTGATTTTAGCTGAGCTCTCAATGTTAAGACCTGGGTTTGGAGTATCTATTTATCAATATACATTTTTGGGGTCATTCTGAGTTATCTCTAGTAGGCTGTTTGTTCTATTCTAAAGCTCATTTCCTGAGCTTTCTGTGGGATGCCTGCCATGGAGTCGCCTCCTGCTGTAGCCTGGAGTGGGGTTTGCCTGGTGGTCCTGACACTGATTCCCTTGCCACCTGCACTCCAGGTGGCTTAACACCCAATCTTGAGACTGAATGTGTCACCCTTTCTGATAATCCGATACCATTTTCTTTTTTTCTTTTTCTTTTTTTTTGAGACAGAGTCTCGCTCTGTCACCCAGGCTGGAGTGCAGTGGCGCAATCTCGGCTCACTGCAACCTCCGCCTGCCAGGTTCAAGTGATTCTCCTGCCTCAGCCTCCTGAGTAGCTGGGATTACAGGTGCCTGCCACCACGCCCAGCTGATTTTTGTATTTTTAGTAGAGACAGGGTTTTACCATGTTGGTCAGGCTGGTCTCAAACTCCTGAGCTTGTGATCCGCCCACCTTGGCCTCCCAAAGTGCTGGAATTATAGGCATGAGCCACTGCACCTGGCCACCTTTGCGTTTTATAATCCCTCTGCTCTTTTGCTGCCTAAATCAGAACATGCCTACCCCAGGAAGAGGCAGGGCACATCCGCCTCAGTATCAATTCTACTCACTAGGGACAAATAAAAGCCATTATTTTTATTTTGAAACAAAAATAAATATATTAGGGAATAGAATGTAAAATCCTCTTGAATTTTGAATCAAGAACTACAAGAATTTTTTTTTCTATAAATTGGGTGGAACTCTTGACCCATTTTTAGTTTGGTTTCATTTGCCATTTTGAAAATACTGTGGGTAGAGTTTAAGGAGCAGACTTCTCTCACTTACATCTTGTTAACTTGAACTTGTTCTTATCAAGTCTAAAACGGATTCTATTCTAGCAATGCATCCTCTGATAGGTCACTCCTGATGTCTTCTGGCTGGTAGAGATGCCTCTTTGTAATGCTCACAGCCATGCATGGCTTTCTCTTATGGATTTTGTTTACATTTTATTTATTATTTTGTTATTTAGCAAACATAAAATGCTTATTAAAAGCAAGGCAATCTTCTAAGTGACTAACGTATTTTAATTTTCACAACAACCATATGAGGGAGGTACTCATTTGTGTGTATGTATGCATATATATGCATGTTGGTGTGTGTAAATATATCTCTGTGTATGTATTCTTATATGTATATATGTATGTGTGTATGTATATATGTGTGCATATATATGTATGCTTGTGTGTGTATGTTTATGAAACACTGAGGTACAGAAGCTGAATAACTTTCTCAAAGTCACATAGCCAATATAAGCCATAAACCAGAGATAGTTTTTGAAATCAGGTAACTGACTTCTAAGTCGATACTCTTAGCCACTATATTGCCTCTTGCTGTATTTTAATTGTTGGTTAACTTCTCTCTTTTCGTCTGGACTATAAGGGCCTTCTGGACAGAGTTTTATTGATCTTGCATCCCTTGAGCCTAGAATGGAGCCAGACACACAATAACTGGGCAGCCAGTGTTGGCTAAACCTTTGCATGGAGAGGGTGGAGGTCATTTGAACTGTCTGCCTAGGCCATGTGACTTAATGACCCCATCACCTTCTTTATGAACATAGCCAGTGGGTTCTAATTGTTAGAGGAATTGTACACTTATTTCATTCTGTGCTTAGTGGAACACGTTGTGAAATTTTTGTACATAGACAGTTTCTTGGAATATTTTAACAATTTCTTTGAATGTCTGAATGGGAATTCTAGGATTCCAATTTCTCTCTGTCCCTTGTTTGTGATTCTAGGAAATACAGCTTAATTCAAAGTTTGTGAAAGCTCAGGAATCTTTCTGCCATGTTCTGAGATTTTATTCTGTACTACCTGTCCTAGAGTTCTGATTTCAGGAACAGACTCCACCAAAAAACAGCTTTTGAGGCTTTGAAAGTAAAAGCAGATGCCATTACCTGCAATATCAGCAGTTTTCCTTAGAATCTTTCCGAAGTGACATCTCAAGGAGCTGATTTGGAGCAAAACTTTATATTCCCTGTGAGCCGAATCATTTTGAAAACACACTTGTTGCAAGTGATGACTGGTCAGAAGTAAATCTACTGAGTGTCAGCTCCATGTAGGAGTAATCCACCACAGCTTAAAAAATCAAAACCGTATTTTCCTTAGAAAACATGTTTTAATGAATATCAAGGTAGAAATCTTCCTTATTTTGTTGATAATTAAAAGGAAGGCTTTGCATTACACCAAATTTGGACTCTCTTTGTGGTCCTTGCTTCCCCTAACCCTACTTTATTTCATACACACACATACACACATGCATACTTTTGTTTTGTTTTGCTTTGTTTTGAGACAGGGAGGGTCTCACTCTGTATCCCAGGCTAGAGTGCAGTGGTGTGATCATGGCTCACCACAGCCTCTACCTTCCAGGCTCAAGCAATCTTCCCACCTCAGCCTCTTGATTAGCTGAAACTACAGGCATGCACCGTACTCAGCTAATTTTTATATTTTGTAGTAACAGGGTCTTGCTATGCTCCCCTGGCTAGCTTCAAACCCCTGGGTTCAAGTGATCCTTTTGCCGTGGCCTCCCAAAGTGCTGGGATCAAAGGCACATGCATACTTTGTTTCTATTTGGAATATTTTGAGAAAATGTGGTCTGCCTGCTGTCAGTTCCATGTCAGCATTCATTGACTCACTCATATGGCAAACATGCTGTATAACTTTTATCATTACCTTACTTGCATCTGATTTTCTTTTTCAAAAACTGGAAGTAGTTACATGTCTTTGTAGGGTCAGAGAGTTAGAATTATATCACAGTTATTCTCTCTCCCTGTTTTCCTCCTCTTCCTTCTTTCTCTTTCCCCACCTTCAACTTTGGAAACAAACCATTAGTGCTTTTATAGTTAGAGAGTACCTTGAGGGAGGAAATATTTCTGTTTCCTCTTGAGGGCAATCTCGTAAATTCTGCTAACATACTAAGAGGTGTGAATCAGTACAGTGAGGCCAAAGGGATCATATGGTTGAATTCAGATCCTGAAGCAGTTACTCTGGATATAAATGACTTTGCCACTAATTGTTTATGGCATATTAAAGGCTAAGAGCTAGAAAGATGACAAAGGACATGCATTTAGGGTAGTGTATTATAATTATATGTTGAGTGTTACTTGTGGTAGGTAAACACAGTGTGAAAGACATAGTAACTGACACAGCCAAAGATCAATAATCCACATATTCTCAATTAGAATATGTATGTGTGTGTGTATAAATATGCATTTATTTATATATAGCCCTTCTTATCTCAGAAAGGAATGAAGATTATTTACCAAAATACACATGGTACAAAGAGATAAGTAAAATTGAAAACAAGTGGATGAGAGTACCAGAACCCTAAATGAGGGTAGGAAGATGCAGATGAAGCTAGGAGTTACATTATACATTAAATGTATGCTGTAAGAATGGGTCTATTTGCTCGTGTTGGCTACAAAGTCTGCCCTAAACTTTCCAGTAGCTGATACAGAAAGCGATATGGCCCCAAACTAAGAAGGAGCAAAATTATTCCTAATGCTAAGAAGACCAGTGATGAATTTTTCATAAACAGGGTGTTGCAAAATAACTAGGCCCTCAGCAATATCCCCTGAGTAAATACAGGAATTAGTTTTATTGGTTTGCTCTATGATCCTGTGCACCCTGAGGCTGGCAGATATTGACTCTTCCAGAAATAGCTATTTTTCATTTGTGGAGCTGCTTATTGTTTACCAAGGCTCAGGAATCTTTGAGGAGGGATGATAGCAAAATATTATTGTTTTACTAGATTAAATTAGGTAACAATACTTTGGCAGCTAATCAATAGCTAATGTATAATCAGAATAATTGTGTATATACAAGTATTTTTTATCCTAGAAGTAAACAAAACTTTTCTTAATTTCACTGAGTTATTATTATTAATTTTGCTGACTGTCATTTGATGTTGTTTATTTGAATATGACTTCTATAATTTCTGCTGTGTGTCTGAAGAAAAGGGCAGAATTTGAGAGTGTTTTTAAAAAAATTCTTACATGTTTCCTGTAAGAATTTTACATGTTTGCCTTAGACTCTTTAACAAAAATCATTTATTTGTAAAAGTGATACATGCTCATTTTAGGAGATTTGGAAAACACAAGAACACACAAATGACCTAAAATCTCATCATTTATAAATAACTTTGGCATGTTATATAGTATATGTCTTTATGTGTATAGTGTATGCAGTGGCTTAATTTCTTAATTTTATGAGGGTTACTACATGGTTCCACAGCCATAGAAACTAGCTTTATAGTTTCTCTACTTATGATTAAGTAAAACTATTGATTTCCTATCTGCTTGAACACACAGAACTATCCTAAGATACTGTGGAATTGGGAGCAAAACACAAAACCCAAAACTTTGAGTTTAAGACCAGAGACTTGAGAGAAAGTCTGACATTCACAAATACACTCCCACCACCACGTTTTTTATTTTGTTTTTTGGTTTTTATTAAACAATATTAGGTATCAGTTTCCACAATGAAATAATGTTCCCCAAGTGATGGTGCTACAGAAAGTGGGATGCACTATATAAATGTGAATGGTATTGTCCTTGTTAACTAACACTAGTGACTTCGAAACTGAACAAGAGCCCGGTGACCAGGGCTCTGACCATGTGCTCTTGACCCTTTAATATAGAAGGAATGGGGGAAAAAAGAGGGAAATTAGAAAGAATACTCCAGAGTAGTGGGATGGGTCCAGAGATATGAGTTGAGACAATAGAGAAGAGTGAGAAATATTGCTCAGAGGCATTGCCATTTTAATTTATTTCCCACAAGCATCATTTAAGTTCACAGGAAAAAGTAATCACAATTGGAAATATAAATAAATAAGGGGGCTGATAGGGATATGTTCATTCTCAGTGCAAGGAACACTATTGAGTGCCTGTGTGTTCCAGGAACTTGGGAGATGCAAAGGTGCTTGAAATGCAGCCTTTATTCTCGAGGAGTTCCAGGTGCATTTTGCATGATACTAAGAGTACAAAAATAAAAAATGGGAACAATCCAATTGAATAATGAGACATTTTATTTTTAATACATTTTAAAATTTGTAACAGTACCAAACTTTTAGAAACATTGCAAGTACAGAACAGAACAAAAAGTTTTTTTGTTTTTCTGACAATTTTAGAGTAAGTTGTTGACCTGATGTCTTATTACCTGTAAGTATTTTAGTGTGTATTTCCCTACAAGCATATTCTCCTACATAATCACAATATAACCATCAAAATCAGAAAATTAATACTGATACTGAAGTACAATGCCATGATCATAGTTCGCTGCAGCCTCAAACTCCTGGGCTCAAGCAGTCCTCCTGCCTCAGCCCCCTGAGTAGCTGGGACTATAGTTTCACACCACCACGCCCACCTAATTAATTTTTTTTTTTTTGTAGCGATGGGGTCTGGCTATGTTGCCTAGGCTTGTCTTGAACTCTTGGCTTTAAGCAATCCTCTCACCATAACCTTCCAAAGCACTGGGACTACAGCTGTGAGCCACCGCACCTGGCCCATTGCTAACTTTAATCCTCAGACCCCATTTAAGTTTTGCTGATCATATGCTTTATAACAAAAGCTTCCAGTTCAAAATCACATATCACATTTAGTTGTCATTTTAGTTTCCTTCAGTCTAGAAGAAGTCCTCATTTTTTCTTTGACTTTCACAACCTTGACACTTTTCAAAGGCTAGTTATTTTGTAAAATGTCATTTAAATTGGGGTTGTCTGATATTTCTTCATGATTACACTCAGGTGATGCATCTTTGGTAGGTGTGATGGTTAATGTTGGGTGTGAACTTGACTAGATTAAGGGATACCTAGATAGCTGGTAAAGCATTATTTCTGGGTGTGTTTGTGTGAGTGGTAGACTGAGTGGGAAAGATTTGCCATCAATGTGGGTGGGCACCAGACAATCATCTGGGGGCTCAGATAGAACAAAACGCAGAGGAAAGGTGAATTCAGCTTCTCTCCTGGAGCTGGGACACCCTTCTTCTCCTGCCCTTGAACGGCAGAACTCCAAGCTTCCCAGCCTTTGAACTCTGATTTGCAGTAGCGGCCGACTGGGTTCCCAGGCCTTCAAACTCAGACTGAGAATTACACCATCAGCTTCAACACTCTGTGCTGGGAAGCTCCCACGCCTTGATGTTTTCCTCACCCTCTTTGAGCTCTGGCAGCCCACAGCAGATTGCCCCTTTTTGGTGGACACTCTTCTTACTGAGCTCAGGCTTTAAAACCCCTGTGAGGCAGCCATCTTAGAGAGTGTCTGCTCTATCTGAGCTCTGACACCCTGCTCTGGGCCATGGTGGCTCTCCCCTTTGAGGACAAATATTTCTCTTACTCTGCCCCAGTTCATGGTTTTAGGACTGCATTATTTGGAAGGGAAGGAAAGAGAAAAGGGGAAGGAAGAAGAGGAAAAGAAGATAAAATCTATTTTAAATTATGAAAATTGGAAGAAATAACAATGTATATTTTGTATTTGTTTTCTATACTAATGATAAATGAGGCCTCTAGTTATCTTAAAAGACTAAAATTTTATTCATGTTTTTAAACTTTACATTTATTTTTTTCTTAGGGGACTAATGTAATGCTAGATAATTAGGCTCAGATTCCTTATTTATATTCTTATTTGGGGCCAGAAGGGAAATATACTTTAATATATAATCTCCCCTTTTTTAATATGCCCAGAAGGATTGGAAAATATTGGGAATTAACAATTATTAGTGAAGAGACTAGATTGTAAAGCTATTATATTTTAAAATAAAGTCAGCATTGCTCCTTTTAATCATTTCATGCAATTTTGCCCCAAAGGCATTTATCCTTGTCGTTATCCATTGAGTTGCACTGTAAACCCTATTAACTTAATCCAGATGAAGTCACAGAGTTATTTCTGACTCCATGTTGTGGTTCTATTGAGGTAATTACTACCAAGTGATCAGTGATTGAATTTGAAAAAATGCATTTAATTATTATTAATTGAATAACCACTGAGTTAATAAAACTGTCCTAAGATATTATACTGGAAATTAATTGAATACAATATATCTACCTTCTAGAAGTTATGCCCTGAAGGAGATAATAAAGAAGTAACAGTCTTTTTCAGGAAGGTGAAAGACACTTAATAAATGCTCATTAAATTAAATGTTTTCCTAACATTTGGAAGCTGGGGTGGCTCATGGGAGCTAAATGACAATTTCATTCATACAAATTCTTAATATGGCAAGCATGTCAAGTTAATCAACAATGTTAGGCAATCCAGTGACTTGTCTGAGATTTTTAATATCTAAATAGTAAGCTGGATTTAAAATAATCAGTCTAGTCAATTATTTATTTTCTTTTGTAAAATGTAGTAATAACATCAGGTTAAATCAAGGTAAATAACCTAAAGTTAAAAGATTACAAATGTCCACAATCCCATCCCTTTCTTTTTCTTTTAAAATGTAAGGTGCCTAGTAATTTTCTTAAATAATAATATAGAATAATAGATAGCTTGTCTGTCTCTGACTGGCTTGACCTTGACTTGTTCCATGATTTCAGCTTAGAATTCTTACTAACCATAATGTGGAAGAATTGCAGGGCCTTAATGCAAGCTGTGATTCTGGAATTGCCTCATAAATTTACAGATAAAAAAAAAAAGTGGGATGTTTTGCGCTTAGTAATGTAAAGAAAGCATTTGAAGAAGTTATCACAATCAAGTACATCTGCAAAATTCAGAATCCAGGAAGTTAAAATTTCCCATTGAAAGAAGAGATGACCACAATACCCAACAATACATTTACTGATTCAGCATGACCTTAAAAATGCATTTCACTTTTTCTCTAAATGAATGTGTGTATTTGTTAAGAACATTAAACAAAGTCTGCATATAGCTTCAAGGATTCAATAATAGTAAAGAGCATCAAATAACAGAGTCAAAAGAAATAAACTGAAGGAAACTGTGAGCAAAGATGAAAAGGCAAAGTCTCTGGAAACAGTCAAGAAGAAAGATTACTGACCACTGGACTGAACTTGAGACTTTCAGCTGGATTCAGGTGTGCTCCTCGGGTCTCCTTTCTAGACCCAGGCCGAAGTGGCTGCACCTTCCTATAGCATGTTTTTCTCATGGTGATGAAGGAGAGGTGGGTGCAGGACGTGCACTGCCCCTGAAGACCTTGGCTCAGAACAAACACACTGTCACCTCCACCCACATCCCATTGGCCAAAGGAGGTAACATGGCCAGGCCCACATTAGTAGGATGCAAAATACAATCTTCCCGTAGTAGGAAGATTCTGAAGATTCAAGTTTTGAGAAGACAGAAAAGCAATAAAGTGATGCATCAATAGGAAAAGTACTTTGCTATGAGGCAAGAACAACACATTTGCTTTCAGAAGCAAATAACCCTGAGACTTCAAAGAAAACCTTTTGATTTCTATCTTTCATTTATTTTTGTTCAAATCTTTGTGTCTGATAACAGATTGGAGGACTCTGGGAATCCACTGCTTTATGTTGGTATTTTAAGGCAGTCATTTGCAATATCCCTTGTAGTCCCTGTCCTCCTTTCATCCCCCAACCAACCTCTGGACCATTTCCTAACAGACACCATTCTGAAATTATTTGAACTAAAAAAGCTTGCCTGAGGAAACAGGGTTCTTTTAAATTTATGGAGCTTAAGGATCTTAAATAGGTAATTTTTCCAAGCACTACACTTGGTTAGGAGGGAAGAAAGGGCTGCCTTCCAGAGGGCTAGCTTGTGTTAAATTCAGTTCAGAAATATAAAACTTTTGGGCCCATTTGACAACAATTCAACAACAGTTTAGGAGATTAAAAAAGGAATGGGTAGAGATTCAGACCACTGACTAATCATTCTGAACCCGGAAGTCTAGAGAGTTTCTGAGGTTTTAGATTGCATCATGTATAATGTCAAATTCTCATACATAGGAAACCCAAACCATCTGACTATAAAGTCTATGGTTCTCAATAATGTTAAGAAGTCTTATTCTCCCTGCAGTAACCAAGATTATTGTCCCTAGTTCTTCACTTTATTCTATAATAAAATGATATGTTCTTGTCCTTGGCCAGGGGAATTTGAAGTGCTTCCTACTATGGGAAGATTGTATTTTGCATCCTACTAATGTGGGCCTGGCCATGTTACCTCCTTTGGCCAATGGGATGTGGGTGGAGGTGACAGTGTGTTTGTTCTGAGCCAAGGTCTTCAGGGGCATTGCATGTCGTGCACCCACATCTCCTTCATCACCATGAGAAAAACATGCTATAGGAAGGTGCAGCCACTTCAGCCTGGGTCTAGAAAGGAGACCCGAAGAGCACACCTGAATCCAGCTGAAAGTCTCAAGTTCAGTCTAGCCCTACTGAGTCCAGATGGCTTGCAGACCTATGTGGGGATATATAAATATTTGTTGTGTAAGTCACTAATATGCTGCTTCACAAGCTTGATTTCAAAATTTACTTCTTAGTATAAGTCCTAAAGAACAAATGACACTACAAATGGCATGATCATCCTGACATACTCCAAACGCTCTTTCAGAATAAACTGCCTCAGAGCTTCCAAATAAAAAATGTAAGTCCTAGATTAAGTTATGCTTAATATCACTTAAAAGATCTCAACTATTTTCTTCACTGTGATGGATGTATGAGCTGTTACTGGACTGTCAAATTAAAAACAGCAAATCATTTTACATGAAAAAATAGCCTACCATACAGCCATTATAAAGACAAATCCAGAATCTTGGGACAACCCGATTCTTTGGCTTCTCTATCCCTGCACCTGAGCAGCTGAATGTGGAGGGAGAAAACAGGTAGAAAAAATCCACTCTGCTGGCTGGTCTACTTAAGATTTATTGCAGCACAGTCAGACACTCCTACCCCACTTTTATGGTAGGTTACTGTGTTGGGCTGTTCTTGCACTGTTACAAAGAAATACTGGAGACTAAGTAATTTATAAGAACAGAGGTTTAATTGGCTTATGGTTCTGCAGGCTGTACAAGAAGCTTAGTGACATCTGCCTCTGGCGAGGCCTCAGAGAGCTTTTACTTATTATGGTGGGAGGCAAAATGGGAGCAGGCACCTCACAGGGTGAAAGCAGGAGCAAGAGAGTGAGGAGGGAAGTGCTGCACACTTTTAAATGACCAGATCTCATGAGAACTCACTCACTATGGCGAGGACAATAGTAACAAGAGGGATGGTGCTAAACCATTCATGAGAAATCTGCCCCCATGCTCCAATCACCCACCACCAGGCCCCATCTCCAACATTGGGGATTACCTTTCAATATGAGATTTGGATGGGAACACACATTCAAACTATATCAGTCATCTTTTCCTTTCACCAGGAAGGACCATTTCACATATTCTCCTCTCCCCTCAGACCTCCAGTACCTTCTCCTCTGGCCTCACTCTTAGCTGATGACCTTGCTTCTTAATTTACTGAGAAAATAGAGGCAATCAGGAGAGGTTTACCTTATCTTCTATGTCCAACTCCATCTGGCTATGTGTCTAGATGGTCTTCTCTCTTGTTATCATTCAAATGGTCCCAGTCCCTGGGCCTATATGGGACAGCCTCTCTCAGCACTGAATCTTTGAAGCCCATCCTGGGCTGCATCCTTGAGAACTTTGCTTCTGCAATCATGCCCTCTCCTTTCTGCAGCATCAATTTTCACCTTTGAGGGATCATTCCCATCGGGATACAATGTGTGGTGTCTCTCCCAAGTTCTCCCCAAGTTATTGCTGTTCTTCATCACCAAACCAGTAAAACAGACAGCCTATATTTGCTGTTTCCATGTCCTCACCTTCCATTTTCTCTTTAACTCATTCCAATCAGGATGTCATCCTCATGGCTTCAAGGTAATGATTCTCATCAGGGTCACTAGGGACCTCTATGCTGCCAAATCCCTTGGGCAATACTCCTTTTTCTTGAAATATTCTCTTCACTTAGTTTCCCATTCATCGTCCTCTCCCAGTTTCTTCCTTTTACTGGACGTATCTTCTGCATTTCCTCTGCTGGCTGTATCTGATCTCCTGAACTTCTAAATGTTGGAATGCTATAGGACAGTGTCCTTGACTCTCTTTGGCTGTCTATCATACCCCTTTCTATGTGATCTTAACCAGCCCCAAGGGTATCTATTTTCAGACAAATTCCAAATGTATATCTCCTCTAAGCTCCAAACTCACCTTTCCATTTGTATGTCTAATAAGCATCTCAAACCAGACATGTCCAAAACCAAACTCTTACCTTCCATACCCACTTCTTCCTCACTTTTTCCAATCTCAATAATTATAACTCTATTGACCAGTAGCTCAGGCCAAAACCTAGGTGTCATCCTGATATTGTTCTTTCCTTCTTTCCCCATATCAATCAGCAAAACCCACTGGCTCTATCTTCAAACTATCTGAAATCTGATGACATCTCACTCTTTTCACCCCACCACCTCCTGTGCCCTTTTGGCTTCCTTTTGGATTCTGTCATGATTGGCACCAGCACAGATGGACAGAGAAAGGCCAGGTATTTCTCCCCCACTCCCTCTTTGATTCAGGGCTGCATCTCTAGAAGTCGCTGCATTCGCGTGACTCCAGATAACCCTTGTCCTTGGCCCCAGCTGGCACTGGGCTCTCCTGTTCTATTCTGTCTTTGCTCCTTCAGCCCTTGGAATAGTACTGCCTTTTCTCTTTTGCTTTGCATCCCATTTATGCCTCCGTGAACTTCAAATGAAATCTCTTCATCTGATTCATCTGAGGGTGAAGCTCTTTTTCTGCTGGAACCCTGACTGACACACTACTCTATCTAAAATATCATTCCTCTTCACTCCTTATCCCTTTAACTATTTTTTTTCTTAGTATATACTATTAACTAAAATGTATGATCTGTTGTTTTGTCTTTGCTTTTTATTTTTTGTCCTCCCTCTCCTCTTCCTCAAAAGGTAAGCTTTCTGGGGGCTTTTATTTTTATTTCCACATCTTTATCCCTGGCCCCTGGAAGAACACCTGATATAGAGTTTCATGTAAATATGTTTCTATGAAAGATGGTTCTGAAGTGTTATGGAATCTGGTGTCATTACATTGAGGGGAAATGAAAAAGTGAGTTGAAGAATATCATGGCATGGTTATATTTTTAAACAATCTACCTATTCAGATATAATATTTGAGTAGTATAAAAGAAGCATATACCCCCAAAATATTAACAGGGGTCACTTTCCTGGAAGTGGATGGTAGGATTCAGTGGATTCAGTTTTCTGCTTTGTGCTTATCTGCACAATTTGAATTTGTAGGAGAAATAAGACCACCGGAAGCCTCTACGAAGTTTTTAGAAACATTAGAAAAACTCTTCCCCTAACCACAGTGGAGACACAGACCTGCTGGCACTAGGAAAGTGGATTTTATTTCTCACTGGTCACCATTTTGAAAACACAACTGTACAACATTATGTGTTGGTGTTGAGAACAAGTATTTTTTTTAAGATCAGAAAAAATATCATTTATATATGCCTTTCCCCTCAATTTATTTTCCAACCCATCTTTTATGTTTTTTTCAAAAATGTCTTGACATTACATAACCAAACCAAAATTTATTAATAGTCCCTTATTACTTTTTCTTGACAAACAGAAAAAAAGTATACTCATGAGCAAGAAAGAAAACAAACAACAAACAAAATGAAGTAGGAAACTCAATGTTAACAGCTTAACACAGAAAGCCACTACAACAATGAACAAAAATTGCAAGTTAATGATAAAGTAATGTAGAAACAAAATTACAGACTACTAAAAACATGGGATTGCCAGTTGTTCAGAAATTCCACAGATGGATCGTGAGTGGTAAGTAGCAGAAGGGTTCTGGGTACCCTCTACAGGAAAAGCTAACGTTGCCAGCAGATCTGATTTTAAGTTGTGTCTCAGATATTTGACAGATCCCATTGAATTTTGATGACTTCTGGTCACGCACCCAACTAGATATTTTAGAAAAAGTGAGTTCAAGGGAACTTGAATGCAAAGGTGCTCAACTAGGCCCAAGAGATTTTCATGTCTGGAGAGCTGAATTAAGTGTCATGGAATCTGGTATCATTACATAATATAGAGAAATAAGACTTTTGCATTTCCATCTGGTGCAGCTTAGTAAACCCCAGAGGCGGCCTCTCCAGGTCAGAGTTGAGACACATGGTTGGTGTCTCCTGGATGATGTGGGAAAAGCATGCCTTGTTGCTTGAGCTGCGTCCATCCTGACACCGGCAAAGTTGACCAGAGAGCCGGAAAACTGGGGTTGATCCTGGATAATCATGCCTGCCACAGGGACCAAAGAGAGTTTCCAACACGGCCATGAAGTCTGGTCCACATAATCAATGATAGGTGATGTAATAGTGATGGCCTGCCTGAGTTTCTTCCAGCCTGCCCTGCCACCTGGTCCTGAGCTTTGTGCTCTCTCCTATTTCCTTGATCTTGTACCTGCCTTTCCCAAAGAAACAGCCACACTGGTTATAAAGGATAAATATTTTGTAAAAAGCGAGTTCATAGGAACACCAATGTGCCAGTACCCATTTGGGCCACAGGCTGCCTGGGGATCAATTGTCCCACTGGTTGCAGAGTGGCTGATGTCCTCTCCCAGATTTTTAATGATCACAGCAAATGCTTTACAGATGGCATTAATAGATCTGGCCAGAACAATGATTCTCTCAGAAGAGTTGCCTTCTGAGATGCTGATATGTGCATTATCCTCCCCAAGCAGCTCCTTAACTGCTGTTACTTCCCACACTCTGCATGGTTCTGCCAAATTCCTTTCTACGTAATATGCTTTCGGTCATCCTGGAGTCTGTGGCAAGCAGTATCTGGAGATTTGGATACTTGTTAAGTGGTTGTTTGGTCACTGGTAGGAGTGACCAAACACTTTTCCTCTCAGTCATCCTGGGACCACAAAGCAAGCCTGCTTTGATAAATAGCGTGTAAGTGAAGATGTTTTATATTCAGGTGAAAGGGTTTAAGAATGGAATATGATTTTCCATGCTCTTTTCTCTGGGCATGGTGATTGTGGAATGATATTTTGATACAGATGTCCACACGATTGAATCATGCAGGGATACCAAGACTCCACATGAAGGACAGCTTCATTGAACCTCACCTGCCTCAGCTTTGTATGAGTGACAAATAAACTGTGTGTAGCATCACTAAGATTTTGGGATTGTTTGTTACCACAGCATAAATTGGCCTATCTTGACTATTCATTTGTAAATATTGTATACTTATAGTGCTTATACAGTTTCAGGCACATTGGCAATACATATTCGTTAGTTAAATGGATTGAATTAAGAATAAATTTAACATTCACTGAACAAATGACTATAAATTATGGAAGTATATTAGCTAGAATAGCTCAGTTCAGTTTTATTTATTGACCGATACTGTGGTAGATATTGAGAATACAAAGATAAATTTGTTTTTAACCTGGAAGATTTTGGTTGGAAGATAAAATTGGAAAGGTTGATTACTGTCTGGATGTGGAGGATCTTAAATTAAAGACTGGGCCATTTTAATTCATCTTGTAGACAATGGGAGGGAAAAGTAGGTGTCTATGGGTTTTGAGCAAGGGAGAAGTACTATTAAATTGACATTTTAGGAAAATTAATCTGCTGATGGTGAAGGAGGTATAAGCATACAAGTTGAGAGGCTATTTCAATAATCTAGGTGTGAAAAGATAAGGGTCCAGGCTGGAGTGTTGGTGATTGAAATGAAAAGGCATAATCGGAAATGAGAGAAATTAGAAAGTAAAAACAGGGTATTGGATATGTGAGGGGTAGGGAGGTGAGAAGGAAGAATGATTAACGAATGACTCTTAGATTCCATGTCTGTGATGCCACTGGTGGAGGTTGGGAGGATATAGAAGATGATGAGTTCTTTTTGTTGTGTGTTGAATTTGAGGAATGACAGCTCATTCATACAGAAATATCCTTAAGGTTAGTTTGTGAAGTAGGATTGGATGGAGCTTGGCAGAGAAGTTGATGCCAAAACTAGATTATAGTGTAGTGATCATACTGGAAACAGTAAGAGTAGATGAAGTTTCTAAACGGGAGCTTGTAGAGAGAAAAGCGTGGGCTTTAAGAGAGATCCTCATTTAGGGACATGAGAATGGAGAGGAGTTAGCAAAGGACACAGGGAAGTAATCAGTAGGAGAGGTAATTTTTACTGAACATTTACTATACTAAGAATTTTACATGCATTTTATTATCTAATTCTCACAGCCTCCCCTAGGAGGAAGAGTTATTCCATTTTATGGATGAACAAACTGAGACTGATAGGAGTTTAAGAATTTTCACTGAGGTCAAATAGCTACTAAACAATGATGCCAGGTCTGCTTGACAACAAAATGTTGTCATTTTGTTCTTAACCGTTGCGGTTAAACTCAAATGATCCAAGTTTTAGATGAACCAGCTTGTTATTGAGGAGGGGCTGGCCAACAGGGTCATACGCTATAAATTCAAAAGAAATGATGTTTGAGAACAGGCCATTGATTTGATGAACAGGAAGTGATGGTTTTGAGTAGAAGTGGGGGTAGTGAGCAGGAGCATCACTACAGGGGACAAGGTAAAGGCATGAGTGGGTGATGCTGAAGGAAGGAATCGGTGGAGACAACCAATCAAGAAATGACAGGGGAAAGGAACAAGAGGAAGGGATACATCCTAGGGGGGATCTCAGGGTTACTTTCACAGATGTATTTATTTCCAAGACAGAGGCACAATTTACATATAAGATAAATGGATCCAATGGAGCCAGAGAATGGAAATACCACAAAGATGGCACCAGTGGAGTTGGTAATTTTTTGAGGAGGATAGAAAGACGGGGATCTAAAGTCCAGGGGAAGGGATCAGCTCTGGAGGGAGAAGAGCAACTGCTTGCTTCAAGACCAGAGGGGAAGACCAGCTATATTTTAAACTAGAGATACTCTGGCATCTCTTGAATTTACTGGATTTGTGGAAGTTCCTTTCACCACATTGATACCAGTGAAAGCCAATTTTAACTTAGATTAGCTCAGAATTAAAATTTCCAGTTACTAAAATATGTATGTGAAAATGTGAGATTGTTTTTTAAACTTATAGATAAAAATTGGTTTTATAAGAAAAAATTATTATAATTCTTTCAAGTTACATCACTGAGTCCTTAGTACTTTGTTTTAGAAAACAACTACCTGTTCACCTGCTGAGCTCATTTCCAGTGTCTGGTTTGAGTTCTGACCCTAAAAATGCTATTTAATAAAATGCTCTTATTTTGGATACATCTTATGCATATTTTAAAAAACACTCTTTATGAAAAACATCTTTGCATCTTAAGTTTATTTGCTTTGAAAGCTTTAAGTCTTTTTTTTTTTTTTTTTTTTTTTTTTTTTTTTTTTTTTTTTTTGAGATGGAGTCTCGCTCTGTTGCCCAGACTGGAGTGCAGTAGTGTGATCCTGGCTCATGGCACCATCCACCTCCCGGGTTCATGCAATTCTCCTGCCTCAGCCTCCTGAGTAGCTGGCACTACAGATGCATGCCACCATGCCCAGCTAATTTTTGTGGTTTTTTTAGTAGAGATGGAGTTTCACCATGTGGGCTAGGTTGGCCTTGAGCTCCCGATCTCAGGTGATCCGCCTGCCTCGGCCTTCCAGAGTGCTGGGATTACAGGCGTGAGTCACCATACCTGGCCTGGCAGCTTTCAGTCATAATATATACATCTCAATTATTTTTATACTAACTTATTGGTTTCTTATATAAATTCCAAGGCATGTCTAATAGTCTGTCATTGCAATCTGAATCAGCTTTTTTTTTCCTGAGCAAACACAATTAGAAGGGCTTTAGGATTAATTACATGATTAAACATTTAGTGACTCCCAAAAACTTAGTGAAATAAAATGCATAGAAATTGTTGACTCAGTATTCTAAATAAATCTAATCTTTAGGAATGTCCATGGCTTTGGCAGGATTCGAGGAACATGAATATTATGGGGAAATTTTTTTATGAGACTTAAAAAGGAACAAGAACACAACAATATAAAACATAAGAAAGGAATCTAGTATTTTTGTCAGAAGCAAGTTTTCTCATGAAAATGGAAAAAATATATAATTTAATTTGCATGTTTTTTTTTGGTCAACTCTGGTTTATTTTGTTGGTTTTGTTTATTTGTGTGCTTGAAAGGTTTGCTGCTGGGCCCTTGGACTAAGACCTGGGAAACTCTAAGCTTCATTTTTCTTCACGTGCCAAGTGGTATAGGGAAAGTTGCTTCATCTTTTATATTTATGAATCCCTAGGATAAAAAAAGAATATACCACTTACTTTTTTGAAAGTATTTGTGAGTTTTTATATGAAAAACTGAACAATACTTCAAATTATAGAGCAGCAGGGGAAAATCGAGTGGGGCTGAGGAGACAGATTATGCTGCCTACCTTCCATGGGACTCTGTTGGGCTCACTTTGTAGTTCTGCCATTCAGGGCTGGCTTCCCCAGCTCACTCCGCTTGTGGCTTTGGACACTGCTTTTTCTCCACACTCTCTCTTCGTTCTCCAGCTTCTTTGCTGACTCCTCTTCCTTGACCCAGCCCTGAAATGCAAAGATTCTCTGAAGGTCTATCTCCACACCCTTCTCTTCTAGCATTATCTATATGCTAGTGCAGTCTTTTTCACGCCCAATGTTCCTGCCACGTTTCCACATACCAGTCAGACATCTGTGCCTATGTGCCCCACAGGTACTTTAAACCCAGTGCCCCCAAAGTTTAACATGTCTTCCAGTCCTCTATCAAAATGCTTCCCTTTCTGGACTCTTTGTGTTGATTAAAAGCTTCACCTTCTCATAGTCAACAAAACTAGAAATATGTTCATTTTCCTTGCCTCTCACATCTGATCAACTATGTGTTGTTAATACTATCTCAAATGATTTAATCTCCTTCATTTCCCACATCTTATAAGTAGCCACATTCTGTTTATATTATCTCTAAAATGTTCGCAGTGTCTCTCTCTTGTCCATTCTATCTTCTGCCCTTGTTCTGACCTCATCACCTATTGCATCAGCCAGCTACCTGGCCTTCTTGCCTCCTTCTCTGTTCATTCCATCCTGCACACAGCTGCCAGAGTTGTTTTCTAAAATACAAATTTAATAATAATAATCTTTTGCTGAAAAACCATTGGCTTCTGCAGCAGAGTCTGGCTGCAGCCTCATTTTCTGGCTACACTGTTTCTGCACCCCTTTCCGCCCCCCGTGTAATACATGTGTGCTCTATCCTGTACATCCAGCACACCATAAACTTTCATGGCCCCATGTTTGTTTGGCCTTCTGTAATGCCCTACCTGTCTTTTCTACTTGGTGAAATTACACCAATCTCTCAAGGTCCAGCTCTATTGAAAAGATATAATAGACTATCTTTAGAATATAGTAGGACTCTAATAAATATTTTTTGGTAAGTTAGTTATAAAGAAAATACAAAAGCCTTATGGTACCAGTAAAGGATGAGGGATTATTTTGTTAGCTGAGAAATATAACTGTGTCAAGTCTATACTGTCCAAGATCCCTACCTGCCATTTGCATGGTCTGCCTCAGGCAATGCTTCCTTAGTTCCCTTATTAAAGATAATTTTAGTTTAAAAATATATATATATATATTTTTAATGAAAAATGATACTGTAATGAACATATTTTATGGAATACTTTTGCAAGTATATCTGTAGTGTGCATTCTTTTTTGTTTGTTTTTGAGACAGAGTCTCATTCTGTCATCCAGGCTGGAATGCAGTGGAGTGATCTTGGCTCACTGCAATCTCTGCCTCCTGGCTTCAAGCGATTCTCCTGCCTCAGCCTCCAGAGTGGCTGGGATTATAGGCATGCATCACCACACCCAGCTAATTTTTTGTATTTTTAGTAGATACAGGGTTTTGCCATGTTGACCAGACTGGTCTCAATCTCCCGGCCTCAAGATATCTGCCTGCCTTGGCCTCCCAGAGTGTTGGGATTACAGGCGTGAGCCACTGCACCTGGTATATACACATTCCTTTTAAATTTAGGAAGCTAGCCCTTTGTCTACAATATGCGTTGTAAACAATATTGCCAGTTTACCAATTGTCTTTGATTTTGTTCATTATTATTTTTTGTTGCATAGAAATTTAAAAATCTTTACAGCTAAATTTATTAATATTCTTCATGCTTCTATGTTTTGTGTCATTCTTTAAAAAGTCTTCTTCATTCTAAGATTATGAATAAATACACCCAGTTTTCTTTAGGCATTATTATAGTTTCTTTTTCAGGGTTTAAACCTTTGATCTTTATGAAATTTACTTTGATATAAGGAGTGAGATGAGATTTGTCTTTTTTCCCCAAGTTGTTACTAGTTATACCAAATCAACTTATTGAATATGCTTTTCTTCACTAGTCTGAAACTTAGCTTTTATATAAAATTCTATTGCATAGTTATATGTATTTCTGAACTCTGTACAATTCAATTAGTGAAAACTTTTGATGTCCCAAACCAGTAGTTTAGGAGATTTCAGCATTAAATCAGAGTTACTCTGGATCCAGATCTGTTAGCAGATATAAACTTCACGGTCACAAAATTCAGGTGAGCAAAGATGTAACTTTATTTCCCTACAACCCAACTTAGTTTAGCTCTTGAGCCCCTATGTCCATTTTGTGGTAGAACTCTTAATACAGCCAATTCAAGGTATCTCTGTGTCCCATGGGTGATATAAGACCTGGGGGTTGGGGATGAGATAACTTTTTTCTCATCCAGGATTTCATAAAGAGGATGATTCTGGTTGATAGCCATCTCTGTCTTCTGGCATCTATAAGATATAACTCAATCTGTCTGGTCCTTCTAATTGTGCACTGGCATATGGTTATGTCCTGGCCACGGGCCTTCATTTGCTAGTTCCAGGCACCTGTGCCCAACATCCCCATCTCAGGACCTCTCTTTGCTTTCCTGAACCCTTTTCAAGGGGGGCCCTGGGAACTCTTGTCTGCTTTCCTATACCACTGGAGGTGCTGAGTCTCACTGAAGCTGTGCTCAGGCCAATCTAACAGAACATCTCTCAGACTTTGCCGGTTTTCAGCTGTAGCCTAATGTTGAATATAGGCTTCTCCAAGAGGCTTTAGGTATTTCTGGGAAGGGAAGCAGAAGTTTACTATGCTCTCAGTTCCTTCCCAAAACTACTTTAAATTTCTTCTAGAGGCTTCACCCCAGCTCCATGGAGGCCCCTTTCTCAGGAATTCATATCAATTACTTGTTTTCTTGCTCTCTTTTCCCAATTATCTTCTTTCCTCACAACTGTGAGATTTGCCTCTGTTCTAGGGAGGCAGCAGCGGCTGTGCTGAGAGGAAAGAAATGGCTTTTACATTACCCTGTGATCTTTCCAACTCCAGTGTTTATAGTATAAACTTCTTGTTCAGACCTTTAGAAATTGAGCAGAGCTTTTGGAACCAAAACAATCGTTTGTCTCTAAACATTTTAGCTTTTAATATGATAATTTCTGGTATGAATTTTGAGAGCCTATTTTGGTAGTCATGGCCAATAATTTGATTCTTTCTTCTTGCTGCATCAAGAAGAGTAATGGGCACACAGAAGCCCTGGGGGAAGGATGCCTTGGAGGAGCCCGTGTTATCTCAAATGATTATCTGCAACACTGAGTGAGTCCTTGATCTGGCTCCTAGACCGCTGTCTCCATCCTTGTGATCACTCCCTTGGTCTTGGGATTCATTTCAACTAGCTGCTGGTGCTCTTAGTTCCTTTCCTCTGCCCTTGTTTAGTCCCTGCTTTTTTTTTGTTTTTTCACAAATTATATTGTATGTGGTTTATTATTTGTTTTAAAATTGACAGATAACATTGCATTGTGGAATAGTTAAATCTAGCTAATTAACAAATGCATTACCTCACATAGTAATCATTTTTTGTGGCAAGAGCACATAACATCTACTCTCTTTACATTTTTCAAGAATATTGTCATTAACTATAGTCACCACGCTATACAATAGACCTCTTGAAGTTTCTTCCTCCTATCTAACTGTAATTTTGTATACTTTGACTAATGTCTTCCCACATTCCGCTTTCCCCAACCACCCAAGCTGGTAACTACTTTACTACTCTCTACTTCTATGAGAGCAACTTTTTTAGATTCCATATATGAGTGAGATCATGCAGTATTTGTCTTTCTGTGCCTGGCTTATTTCACTTACTATAATGTCCTCCAAGTTCATCCATGTTGTGCAAATGGCAGGATTTCATTCTCTTGTATGGATGAATAGCATTCCATTGAGTATATATACACCACATTTTCTTTATCCCTTCATTTGTCATGGGTACTTAGATTGTTTCCATATTTTGCCTATTGTAAATAGTGCTGTGAAAAATGAGAGAATGCAGATATCTCTTTGACTTAACTGATGTTTTTTCATTTGGTTATGTAAACAGATGACCTACTGATTACAATTCCTTTAGATATATACTCAGTAGTGGAATTGCTGGATCATATGATTGTTATATTTTTAATATTTTTGAGGAAACCTAAATATTGTTTTCCACAATGGCTGTACTAATTTACATTCTCACCAACAGTGTATAAGGGTTCCCTTTTCTCCACATCCTCACCAGCACTTGCTATTTTTTTGTCTTTTTGTTAATGGCCATTCTAACTGGGTGAGGTGATATCTCGTTGTGGTTTTGATTTACACTTCCCTGGTGATTAGATTTATATTTCCCTGGTGATTAGTAATGCAGAGCATTTTTTAGCAGCACCCCAGTGCTGCGCTAGTCTCTGGGGCATGGGCTTCGGGTGCAACCCAGCACTGCATCAGCCTGCCTTAGGGCTCCCCCTAGTGCTGCAATGGCTATAGCAGTAACCAGTGTGGGAACCTTGCCTGTCAACGAGCCCTGAATCTTTGGACAGGCTTACTGCTGAAGGAAGTACTTGAACAAAGTCCCTT
Organism: Homo sapiens; assembly: GCF_000001405.40. Taxonomy (NCBI): domain Eukaryota; kingdom Metazoa; phylum Chordata; class Mammalia; order Primates; family Hominidae; genus Homo; species Homo sapiens. The sequence continues at coordinate 157,239,401 of NC_000003.12, forward strand.
ACTGCCTTTTGAAATGGGGTTCTGCCTAAGTTCCCTCACCACAAATCCTCTCAGAGATCACAGTCCTAGAATCTACCCTCTTTGGCTGGGTCATCATTTTGATTGCAAAGCTGTCTACTTTCCAAACTTTTGCCTACTCTCTCTTCTGGGAGCCTCCTGATATAGTTCTCTATATGTCTCCTGTTGCAGGTTGTTGGATCTTTCCAGATCACCACACCACATCACCCAGCCACTCTGCCCAATGGGAGGGCAGACAGTGTTCCAGTGTAGGAGGAAGGGGTGTAAGGTGCGGGCAGTTTGTGAGGAGGGCACCAACGAGAGCTACTGTGAGAAAGTCTGCATGGTCAAAAAGTGGATTACCAAGAACAAAGCATCATAATGTTGTCCAGTGGACCCCAGGTTAGCTTAAAAGGTCTAGTCTTTGATTCTTTATGGATTATTGTTTTGATGTATGTCTTAGTCTGTTTATGCTGCTATAACAAAATACCTTAGGCTGGGTAATTTATAAAGAACAGAAGTATATTTCTCACAGTTATGGAGGTTGGAAAGTCCAAGATCAAGATGCTGACAGGTTTTGTGTCTGGTGAAGATATTTCTGCTTCCAAGATGGCATATTGAATCCTGCTTCCTCCAGAGGGAACAAACACTGTGTTCTCACATGGCAGAAGAACAGAAGAGAGAGAACCCACTCTCTCAAGCCCTCATATAAGGGCCTTAATCCTATCCATGAGAGCTTTCCCCTTATGATTTAATCACCTTCAAAATGCCCCACCTCATGACACTATTACATTGGCAATTAAATTTCAACATATGAATTTTAGGAGAAACGTTCAGACCATAGCACAATATTTTGGTAGTCAGTGACTCACTTTTAGGGCATTATCCTTTTCCTTCCCATTTATTCTCCTACTCCGAAATATTCTTCATGCCTAACTCTGAATATTTAGTCATTATAGGGATTTTACTTAATATCAGGAGGTAACTATGGTCATGGTTTTTTTGTGCCATGAGAAGCTTGATCTTTTTCTCTGGCCCTGTGTAAATGGCTGAGGATTTAAAAAGCCATTTTCTCTGACCAGTTTATGCTTGTTCTCCTATTTGCCATTCAGTAAGTAAATGGCCTTTAACACAGACGTTTTGATTTTCAAACAATAATTAGGAAAGAAAGCACTTCATATGGGGGCTGAAGATTACAGGGAAATTGCACCATCTTCTTCCTTAGTACAACAATATGTTGCTAAACCAGCAAGAACAACTAGTTGCAATTTCTCCAAACCAACAATATTTTCTTTTCAGAATCCTACCTAAAAGTGAGATTCACCAAGAAAGTTTTGTGTTTTTGAGCAAGTCTAGGTTTTAATTTTTTTTGACTCATCTGCTTCTTTAATTGAAAACAAGACAAAACAAACATGGAGTAGAAGCTTTAATCAAGTGTGTTCTAACACGCAAACACTATGGAACCCACCTGAGTCCCACTTGGATCATTTCAAATGGCTCCATATTTTTCTGTTCCCAATTAAACTTCCTAGAATGTCTCACAGGAAGCTCACATTGATAAACTTTTTGAGTAATCCAGGAACTCTTAGAACCTGATAAAGTGAAAGGATTTGGCAGGAACGTTTCAGATATGAGGAAGATTTCTCTGCAGGGTATGTTTGTCTATTAATTGGATAGTATACCTGTCCTAACTATGAAGAAATTGGCTCCGACTTGGAGAATGACTGAAAAGTGGCTATTACTCATTGATGATTTTGGTGGGAGGAAAGTAATAGCTTGTGGACTGTTAGTTTTGTCATCATAACAAACTAGATACCCTGAAAAACCTCTCAATACAAAACACCTAGAAATGATGAATTAAATATAATACATAGTCTTTAAAATATTGAGCTCAAAGGAAACAGAAGAAACTCTCATACACCAGAAGTGGTGAGATGATGCTTATACTAGTCCCCAATCCTGTTTGAGGGTATTTGGTGATCTTGGCGATCAAGAGGTTTGGGTTTCTGACATGCTAGTACAATAGGCAAGGCCTTGGCCTATGCAAGGTGGGGAGGCAGAATCAAGGCTCTGCATAATGGCTAGGGCCCTCAAAAGGCTATGCTGCCAGAAAAAAGATGCTCAGGCAAAGGGAAATGTCAAGCAAAGTTGTCTGTTTCCCCTGGCCTCTGGGTAGAAAAGAATTCAGATTCTGCCCATACACAGCTTTGAGGTTTAATTTATACAATCTGAGTGGTCAGAAACTCCAAGTCAAGATATTAACATGAAATTGTTCCAGTTTGATAGCACGTCCGCCATCTGGCAGAACAATTAAAAAAAAAAAAAATCCTTTCCTGGCAGCCATGCGGACTCACCAAGGGCTCCTGGCCATGCCCTCTCCCAAGATTCTCCATAAAATTAGTTGGTTGCTTCTTGCCCTGAGGCAGCCCAGTGAAGTCTAGGGTGTGGTGATCCCATGTTGTTGATGGGGAAAAAGGGAGTGATGGGGTGCTTGAGGGCTTCTTAAGCCATAGTTCAAGCATAGCGAGTGCCCCCTCTTCTTCTGAAAGGGCCAGATACCTGGCCTCATCCTCTCCACAAAGAACTCTCTTGGGATCCTCAGGGGATCCAGGTTAGGGCAGAGCCCTAGGGCTCAGAGAGGGGGGTCAGTAATTAACCTGGGCCCTAGCACTGTAAAAGTGACAGTTTGATCTCCCCACTGTCCTTCTTCCCCTGCCCACCAGGGACAAGGCTTCCAGAAAGAGGGGACCACTGGGAAATTCTGCCTCTTGTTCAGATAAAGTTCTTCCCGCTGCAAGGCTCCGAGCTTCATTCTTCATCCTCAGATCTAGAATGGGATGGAGGGCAGTTAATTTACAAAAAAAATTATATAAAATAATTGTATGTAATATATATTATCAAAATAGCTCTCACAGCATAAATCTTATAGATAAACCTCACCAACATGAACTTACAAACCAAAATTATGAACACATGAAAAAATAAGCTACTAAGAGTAAGAAATTAAAACTAATAAGGAGCAAATGTGGCTGGGCGCAGTAGCTGATGTCTGTAATCCTAGCACTTTGGGAGGCTGAGGTGGGTGGGTCACTTGAGGTCAGGAGTTCAAGACAAGCCTGGCCAACATGGTGAAACCCCATCTCTACTAAAAATGCAAAAATTAGTCAGACGTGGTGATACATGCCTGTAGCCCCAGCTACTTGGGAGGCCGAGGCAAGAGAATCACTTGAACTTAGGAGATGTAAGTTGCAGTGAGCCAAGAACATGCCATTGCACCCAGCCTGGGCGACAGAGTGATATTCCATCTCAAAAAAAAAAAAAAAAAAAAAAGCGCAATGTGATTAGTGCTCCCCAAAAGTTCAGAAAATGAACATATTAAATGTAAGATATTTTAAGTAATTAAAACGGTAAAATATGGATTAAACAATAAGAGAAAGGAATAAGATACTATTAAAAGTACCTGAAATATTAAAAAAAGGAACCAAGTAAAAATTCTAGAAATGAAAATATAACCATTGAAATGAAAACTCAGTGTATGGGACAAACAGCAGGACACAGTTGGAGAAGGAATGAGTGAATTGGGTAACAAATCTAAGGAGATTCTGTAGAATGTAGTACAAAGAGATGAAAAGGTGAAAATATGAAAGATAGGATAAAACATATGGAAGGTAAGACGTGTAGAAGGTATTTCATTCAATTCCTAGGTATTTTACCCAAAAGAACTGAAAATATGTCACAAAGGAATTTGTACAATAATGTTTATAGTCACCTTACTAGCAATAGCCAAATACCAGAAATAATTAAAATGTCTATCTGCTGGAGAATGGATAAAGAGATTTTGGTATATTCATACAATGGAATTGTACTCAGCAGTAAAAAAGAATAAATTACTAATATACATAACCACATGGATGAATCTCAAAAACATTAAGTTAAGAGAAAGAAGCCAAACACAAAAAATTACATACTATATAATTCCATTTATGTATTTTTTTTATTTTTTTAATTTTGAGATGGAGTTTTACTTTGGCCAGGCTGGTCTCAAACTCCTGACCTCAGGTGATCCACCTGCCTCGGCCTCCCAAAGTGCTGGGATTACAGGCATGAGCCACCGTGCCCAGCCTCATTTATGTAACCTTACAGAATATGCCAGTCTAATCTATGTTGATTGCCTCTGTGGAGGGGCATGAGGAACTTTCTGAGATGAGTGTAATATTCTATATTTTGTTTTGGGTATTGATATCTTTGGCTTTTACAATTGTCAAAACTCATGAACTGAACATATGTAATATGAAATTATATTGTATGTAAACTATACCCTTCAAAAAAATTACAAAGTAAAAAGTAAAACAAAGAATAGAAACTTGTCTGGTGCAGTGGCTCACACCTGTAATCCCAGCACTTTGGGAGACTAAGGTGGGTGGATCGTTTGAGCCTAGGAGTTTGAGACCAGCCTGGGCAACATGGAGAAACCCCATCTCTACTAAAAATACAAAAATTAGTCATGTGTGCACGTGTGCCTATGGTTCCAGCCACTCAGGGGCTGAGGGAGGAGGATCACCTGAGCCTTGGGAGGTCGAGGCTGCAGGCTGCAGTTAGTCGTGATTGCGCCACTGCACTCCAGCCTGGGGGACAGAGTGTGATCCTGTCTCCAAAAAAAAAAAAAAAAAAAAAAGAAGAGAAACCAACTAAGGGAGACATGCCTGGAAAATGTAAAGAGCCCCTTAAAAATTGATGTGAAAAAAGAAACAACTTAAAAGAAGAATGTGCAAAAAAAATATAAAGAGGAATTTCAAAGGAGAGAAAATTTGTAGAGTCAATAAATACATGGAAAGGGGAAAGTAGCAGTAATCAGAGGAATACAGATTAAAACAATGCCACTTTGGCACCTATCAGATATAAAAAAAATTAAGTCTGAACCAAGTTCAAAATGCTGACAACAATGTAAACAATGGGCATTTCGATACACTGCAAGTGAGAGTTTAAATTGATAGAATCATTTTAGAGAATAACTTGGTAAATACTTGGTAAAGGTAAATTATGATCTAGCAATTCTACTCTCGTGTATACCCTAAGTCAGCAGTTCTGAGACTCTTTGGTCCCAGGAGCCTTTTAAACTTTAAAACATTTTTGAGGATACCAAAGAGCTTTTGGTTATGTGAGTTGTTTCTATTGATATTTACCATATTAGAAAATAAAATTGAGAAATTAAAAATACATTCATTAAGTCATTTAAAAGGCAGTAAGAAACTGATTACATATTAACATGAGTGATGTATTTTTATAAACTCATTATATTTTCCAAAACAAAAATTTTAGTGAGAAGAGTGGCATTATGTTACATTTCTGTAACTGTGCTTGGCTTAATACAAGACAGCTGGATTCTGTTTCTACATTCAGTCTATTGTGGTATACTGTTTTGATTGAAGTCCATAAAGAAAATAAAGATACACACAAATATTGATTTGGAAAAGAGAGGAGAATTTTAATGGCCTTTTCAGATAGTTGTGGCAATTCTTCTTTGATACTCTACCCAAAACTAACAAGTGGTAGTTTCTTAAATGTTAATTTGAAACCATATCAATGAATTTTTCATACTCTGTTAAATTAAAATGCATAGTTTATATTATACCGTGAGTGGATTTTTTACCCATGCATAATTTTGTAACATTTTGCATTGGTCATTTGGAAATTATTGGTTTACTGAATTACATAGATTTTCAAAATGTTGATACATTATACAATGTCAAAAATCACCACCCTTATCATTAGAGAAATCATGAAATATTGAGAAGCTGTAAGATATAAAAATCCAGGGTTGGATTCAAGTTTTCAAAATTTCTAATTTTTTTGAAAGCTCAAATTTTATCATCAACAACAATACAGTCAGCTTTCTTTGGAGTAGCAGGCTCACATCATTCACTTTTGAGAAAATGTCTGCCAAACCCCAAGAGTTTAATAATCATAGTCTCAATCATCCTCCTAAAAATAATGTTTAGTGAAAAAAGTAGTAGTTAATCTCACAACTCAATCACACAAATGCTTTTTCTTGAGATGACCATTGCACTTTGGCATGTAACAGAGTACTTTGTGCTGACTTCTTATTTTAATATAAAAAATATTAAATAGATGACTATGTAACAGTTGAAATTTAGTAAAATTAATATTCTTCAGTGATTTTTTTTAAAACCACAAGTGCATGGTGGTGAAGAATACAATGATTACTAGTATTGCTGGATGCTGCTGCCTTGATTCCTGCTAAGGTGCCAGCAGCATCAGTGCAAATGTTAACACGGTGAAAAAGATAAATGGTATTATTTTCTTCTTCTCATGAAAATGGTTTTGACCTCATGATTTGCTTGAAAGAGTCTTGGGCCCATGAGGGGTCTGTGGACCATACTTTGAGAATTGCTGACCAAATAACCATTTGACTTTGCACACAAAGAACCAGTATTTCCATAGCAACATTTTTTTTTTTTTGCCATTGCAAAGATTAGAAATAATCATCCCCTAGAAAGTGGATAAAAAATTGAATGATATTTGAACCTGAATCCGAATACCTAAAAACAATGGAATGATACAAAGGAATTATATACAGCACTGAAAATCAGTTAGACCTAGATGCAAACATGAGATGTGAAAACAGAACGATTCATGCTGTATGACACTACGTGAAGTTTAAATATATGCAAAACATACTATGTATTTTTAAAGCATAAAAATGGGTGGTAAGTGTGTATAGAAATATATTAGAATAATAATTAACAAATTCAGGATGGTAGTTACCTGTGTGAGATAGGGAAGGAATTACATTTGTGGAGGAGATACATAGAGGGCTTCAGATGCACATGTACTGCTTTATTTCATAGGCTGAGGGGTGGTTGTAAGGGGTTTATTATGTTATTTTCTATAGCTCTTTCTATTCTGAAGAATTTTGTAATAAACAGCAGCCTGTCTATAATCATATTCTTTCAAATACTTGCTTGTGAATTTAAGCAGTCATATAGATAAACTATTAGTATTGAAACTTTGGCATGTAGATATAAAGTCAGTGAATAACTTCACAGTAATGATGTAATTCTCCTTAATAACACACACACACACACACACACACACACACACACACACACAAATTCTGCTATAAAGGTCTCTTCATTTTCGTTACGTGCAATGCCTACTAAAACTCACTGTTTAAATGAAATGATGCTCCCAAGGCATCCATTCTCAATTACAGAAAGCATCTCTCAATACCCCTCTCAAGGTTGTAGGTCTGAGATTATTGTGTTGTGCCTCCACAGTGTTCCAGATCATCAATTTAGCCTCTGGATATTTTCAGCTTTCTCTGCCGACAGAGCTCTGTGTGCATCTGCTATTTTATTTATTTATTATTTTTGAGACAAAGTCTCACTCTGTTGCCCAGGCTGGAGTGATCAAGTGGCATGATCTCGGCTCACTGCAACCTCTACCTCCTGGGTTCAAGCAATTCTTCTGCCTCAGCCTCCCGAGTAGCTGGGATTACAGGTGCCCACGACCACACCCGGCTAATTTTTGTATTTTAGTAGAGAAGGGGTTTTGCCATGTTGGCCAGGGTGGTCTCAAACTCCTGACCTCAGGTGATCCACCCGCCTTGGCCTCCCAAAGTTCTGGGATTATAGGCATGAGCCATGGCGACTGGCCATGCTATTTAGTTTCATCTTCAGGAGGCTCTTTGCCCTCTTAAACTTTGTATCTGAAGTGGCCTTACTTTGCTCTGCTCCTGTCACTAGAACCCAGAAACCTCTGAACTTCCACGTATTTCCCCCGAGCCTGTCCTTTCTAGTGGTTTGAAATTTAAAACAAACTGGCTGGACTTCAGCTTAGTTAATGGTGGCAGAGAACAAAATAGACATAATTTTCATAATGACTTTTTCATTTTGGGGGACATCACATTTTTCACAGCAGCTTTTGGTTAAACAACAGAGGCAAAACCTTCACTACCTCCCTAACTTCCTGTTTTTCTGAAACTGATATCCTGCATTTGGAAATATATAAATAAATAATAGAGAATCCTGATTCCACTTGGATAAGCCTTGTTTGAAAGTTGAACAGTCTGTCCATTCCTCCACATTAAAATATATTCCTGACTCCATTGTGACTTACTGCACGCTGTCTGTTTGGGCCACATGGTTCTGAGCACCCACCCCAGTCACTTTTATTTTTTTCTATGTACTAGCATTGTACTAGTGGTTTTCCTGAGGAATGTTATTTTGAAACATTGTAACAATCAGTTTGTTTATAACAATCAGTCTGTTAACCCATGTTTTTTTTTTTAGTTCCTTGTTATTAGTTTAGTCTTCTGCAGTGCCCTTTGGCCCATCCCCTGGCCTTTCTACCCCTTCAAATTAGGCAGAAGGCATCCATTGCCTCAGAAAAAGGATGTTGAAAAGAAATCAGAAGTAACAGTAAACTGTAAGTTTCAAAAATCTATTCTGAAACTTACCTGTTAATACTTTGAGAAAAGTAAGATTAAGTCTCAAAGGTCAGGATTAAAATTTTTTGACTTTTATTTTTAGAGACAGGGTTCTGTTCTGTCACCCAGGCTATGGTGCAGTGGTACAGTCATTGCTTACTGCAACCTCAAATTCCTGGGCTAAAGTGATCTTCCCGCCTCAGCCTCCTGAGTAGCTGGAACTATAGGCAAGTGCCATTGTGTCTGGCTAATGGAAGTCAAAATTTCGAGGTTAAAAAATTCATAACTCTGGCTGGGCATGGTGGCTTACATTTGTAATCCCAGCACTTTGGGAGGCCAAGGTGGGAGGGTTGCTTGAGGCCAGAAGTTTGAGGCTGCAGTTAGTTAGAATTGTGCCACTTCACTCCAGCCTGGGCAACAGAGTAAGACCCCGTCTCTCTAAAAATAAAACGAAATAAAATAAAAAAATAAAAAAATTCATAACTCTGAAGAACTAGATTATGAATCTTGTGGCATAAATAATACATTTGGAAGAATACTTGTTGAGAAGAGAAACTAGAAAAAACCTGAATAAATGGAGAATATTCTGAGTTTGACTGAGTTTATCCTGAATCAATGAACACTGCTTTTTTTGCTCTCAAGTGAAATGGGATCCAGCACTCAAGCAATAAATTAATTAAAACATAAGGAAATAAAGAAAATTATATTATTTGTATGTTTGAATTTGTAACTAGGGTTTGCACCCTTACATATCCTTCTGAAACATGCTGTTGCACTTATGGAGAGATATTGAAGCTGTTGTTACTATATTACAGTGTTCTCTTTGTAAGGCCGATAGGAAAAAAATTCTTGGGTCTCATTGTTGAGAGAGCTTTTCTTCCTCTGGGCAACTGGTTTATTTTTAGCCTGGGGAAACTCTGACTCATGAATCTGATTGAATGCCTCCCTTAACTGGCTGCATGAAAGCATGGTGTCAACTCTGAACGCTGTCTTTTGCTGGGATCGAGTTTCATCTACTTACCTTATCCCAGTGACTATTCTTCTTCCCACTTTGTTTTCCTTTTGCCTTTATGTCTTTACTTACTCTCAATCTGTTTGGACTTCCTGGGAAGCAGACTCTGAGGCAGTGTTTAAGGCGCAGGATGCCTATTAAGGAGCACCTTGGGGACCAACACCTGCAGAAGGGAGTGGAGAGGAATCAGTAAGGGGCAGGTGGAGAAACTGAGCTTCAGTGTCGCCCCAGTGATAGTCTCAACTGACCATGTGGAGAGCTCTGCAGGTAGAATGGTCCCTCAGAGTTGTCTCAACTTGGGCCTGAATGTCCAGGTCTTTACACTCTCCCATTAACTGTTCACTAGATGTCAGGTGCCCCAGGCATGACCTTGGCCAGGAGGCAGTCCTTGAGGGGAATGGCAGCTGAAGGCTGTCTGCCAACAGCAGTCCCAGCAGCTGGGGCACCAGGTCCTTCAGTGAGGGATGTTGGTGATGCATCAGTGCCCACCATACTTACTTTAAAAAATCTAGTATATATTTCTACAAGAATTTGGAACAAAAACACCAATAAAATAAGTAATTAAAGTTAAGTGACTCTTGTTCTCATCCTTGCCCATTTATGTTGTCTCATCTTAAGTGTGATCCTGAGTCTTGGCATATGTCATTTCTCTTTTTTGACTGTGAGAGTGTGAAAGGCGAGGTCTAAAATATAAGAAAATTATATTCTTCCTTCAACATCCAGCATATCATCAACTCTTCAGTGGAGGTTTAGTTGACTCCCCAGGCAGAGCCAGCAGCCCCCTCCTCTGTCTCCATCATGCCCCCACATCACAGTGTTGTGATCTCCACACATCTGTTTCTTTCATGGGCAAGATGTCCCTCAAACCTGATCCCTTTTGAATGCTCCTTTTATCATGAATGGAGCTACCGCCAACCCACGGGTGCCGGGATTCTGGAGACAATTCCCGTCAATCACCAAGTCCTGCAATTTGCATTTCTAAAGTCTCTCTCTAACCCTCTATTTCTCTCCATTTCCAGTGCTGCTACTTTCTTTCAAGCTTTCGTTATACCTCTCACCTGGACTATTGTAATAGCCTTCTATTTTTCTCTCAGTTTCTATTATTGCTTTCTCAGCAAACCATTCTCTACACAGCAGGTAGAACCATCTTACGGAATTGCAGATCTAATCATACCATCCCTGTTTTAAACCCAACAGTAGCTCTCCCACAGCCTTCATGACTTGCCCACCTCCCAGCCTCACCACTCTCATCCACCACACTAGCCTGTTTTGGTTCCTCTAATGTGCTACATGCCTTTTCTCTCCAAGGTCTTCTCACATTCAGTTCTTCCTGGTCTGCTTTTCTTCTACCTCTCCCTTTGACTAGTAATTTCCTGTTCATCTTTCAGATCTCAGGCATATGTCTCTTTGTCCAGGAAGCTGTCCCTAACTTCCTAATTAGATCAGACCTCTCCTTTCACAATCTCATATCAGTTGTGCTTCTTTGTAGGATAGGTCGCATGGCAATTTCATAATTAAGATAATACTTTAACATTTTTCTCTTCTACTAGGATACGTATCCCACAAAGTTTGAGACATCTTGGTCACCTCAGCATTTCTAATGCCCAGCACAGGTCCTGCACATAGGAGATGTTTTATGTATGGATTTACTTATTAAATAAAATATACTTATTGTGTTGGTCCATTTGGGCTGCAATAACAAACTGTCTTAGATTGGGTAACTTATAAACAACAGAAATTTATTTCTCACAGTTCTGGAGGCCGAGAAGTCCAACATCAGGGTGCTGGTAGATTTGCTGTCTGGTGAGGGCTTGTTCCTCAGAGCTGGCGCCTTCTAGCTGTGTCTTCACGTTGGGAAGGACAAACAAGCTCCTTTTGGCCTCTTTTATAAGGGCACTAATCCCATTCATGAGGGCAGAACCCTCATTATCTAATCACCTCCTAGAGGCCCCACTTCTTAATACCACCACATTGGTATTGACATATACTACTACCTAATGGTTTTAACATATAAATTTGGGAAGGGGGGTCACAAACATTCAGATCATAACATTTATTTACTGAGTTTGTTAAAGGCATGGACAATTTATTTATCATTTTTGAGTCCCCATGCCCTAGTATATGTTGGATGCTCAGTAAATGGTCTCTCCTTTCCTTCCTTCCTTCCTTCTCTCTCTTTCTTTCTTCTTTCTTTCTTTCTCTTTCTTTCTCTTCTTTCTTTCTTTCTTTCCTTTCTTCTTTCCTTCTTTCTTTTCTTTCTCTTTCTTTCCTTTCCTTTCTTTCTTTCCTTCTCTCTTTCTTTCTCTCTCTTTTTCTCCTTTCTTCCCTTCCCTCCGTCCCTCCCTCCCTCCCTCCCTCCCTTCCTTCCTTCCTTCTTTCCTTCCTTCTTTCTCTTGCTATGTTGCCCAGGCTGGAGTGCAGTGGTTATTCACAGGCACAATCATACTGCACTATATCCTTGAACTACTGGGCTGAAGTGATCTTCCTACCTCAGCCTCCTGAGTAGCTAGGACTACAGGCATGTGCCACCATGCCTGGCTAATAAGTATTTGTTGAATGAATGTTTGAATCAAACTATGTAAAAGGTTGTCTTGGGGAAGAGGGAGCAGACATTATGTCTGGCTGCAGGAGGGAGAACCTGGACTAAAGGTTAGAAATGATGGAACGGCAGAATTTTTCAGAAAATAATTATATGGTATGAATAACCTAATGGGAATTATATTTGAACATTTCTATATTGTTGGGTTCTGAATGATCAGACGATTATGAATAATTTTTATAATTTTAGTAGTTTTTGGTATTTTCTGCAATAAACGTTTTCATAAACAGAAAAAATTTATTTTAAAAAGATGTGAACTGATGATAAATTAATGAGTTCTCTATCCCTAGAAGGGTTTGCGCGGTTGGGAATGCCACCTGCCAATGATGACAAGAAAGGGACTTCTCCATGGGGTGGAGAGGTTTGGCCTGGCAAGTGTTAAGATTCTTCCAACTCCAATAGCCTGTGATACTGTTAACTGAATGATAAATGCCAAATCTCCTTGCTTAGAAGAACTTGGCCTAGTTTATTTGGCTGCCTCACATTCTGCTAGTGGCTTCGTTACATTGGAACCTTACTGTGACACTATTGGCTACAGTGGAATTTGATTTGTATTTACCTGAGGATGGTACAACTGCAGGATTTCTGGAGATGACAGTATTATAGTGATAACAAAAACATGAATATATAGGTAAGAGTTGTTTATGTGGAAAATTACATGATATCCCTCCATGAAGAGTTTGGGGGAGTCGTGATGAAAATGTTCTCAAATCAACACATACCCTTAGTATTATGGTTAATTTTCCAAAACAGGCATTGCCAAACTGTGGTTTTGGCTAAATTTTAAAAATGGACCTTCTGATTTTTGTGTTTATGAGCTAGTTTGGCAAACAGAATCATTGTTTCTCTCTCTTAAGAGAAATGACATTTAGACTATTTCCTCATATAGCAATAGCTCTGAATTAAGAGGGAACAGAACACTCCCAAAGGAAATCTGGTGTATAGAAGTGGATCTCCGTTAAGAATAGTGGAACACACATAAGAGTTTCTTCTGATTACATGAAGTGCCAGCAGAGAGAGAGAGAGAGGAGAGGGGGAGAGGGAGAGAGAGAGAGAGAGAGAGAGAGAGAGAGAGAGAGAGAGAGAGAGAGAGAGGACAGATATAAATAGAATATAAGATAATGAAGTAATAGGATTGATTTCTACAAAGCACATGTGAAAACAATAGTTCTGTTGTCATAATACCTGTGTGATAGTAAATGTGTGTTTATATATATGTGTGTGTGTGTCTTATAGATATTCTACTTAATGTTAGTGAAATGGTAGTTAAAAATAAAACAAGGCAAAGAATAATTCTAGAATAATTCAAAAATGGAAAAATTAGAATTTACTTTTATTAGCACCCACTCCCCCTTAATTTCCAGTGTGGTCTCATGGAGCACTGTTATTCCTAGGCATGCATTAGCCTACCATGTGTTTGAATACTTTACATTTTTACATTATTTGAAAATTTTATAACTCTTCTAGATTCTCAGTACCAAAATGAATTCTAATCCTTTTATTGCTTGAAAGACAGAAAAAATGCATTTTTAAATTTGATGTAAGATTTTCAAAGATTTGTCCATAAAGTCATAAATAAGCTATGTAAACACAATGCATCTGATTATCATTTTATAGAAAGTTCAAAGATTTCCATCCCCCCTGCTCTCAGAAAGTTTTTCTTTGAAGCAGACAAATTCAATAGTACTGGGGTGCAGGGGCAAGGGGCATGAGAAGAATGTTCTTGTGGAATGTCCTCTGCCAAGGCTGGGGTTCTCATGGCGGGACCCGGGAGCTAAGGTTATCATCAGAGCTGGTTGCCTGTTGTGCTTAGCACGTGGCTATAGGGCCTTGCATAACCAGGGACTAGAAGGACATTTATGAGGAGGTGTACCTGTTTCATCAAAGAACATTTAACAGAACCCCCCGCCCCCCCGCCGCCACTTCGCCTAGGCAAGTACCTGTAAAAATCAAGCCATAAGGGTGGTCTTGCTCTTCTGAAGTTCGTGCAACCCTCTGCCCATTCCACTCACTCTGCTCTGTGCCTTTCTCTGCTCTTCCCTGCTTCTCCAACTTCCGACTTGACTCTAGGCCTTGCCTTTCTACTCCTGTCTTTGGTATGGTTGACTTTGAAGGTGTCATCTGAAAATGCTCCTCCTACTTGATCTGGAATTCCTCCTCAGACACCATTCTAAGTTCACCTCTAGGGTCCCCAATCTGTGATAGTGGGTAAAAGACATATCATATTTTTATGGTTTTGGGTTTTATATTTAAATCTTTAATCCATCTTTGGTTAATTGTTGTATATGGGGTAAGGAAGGGGTCCAGTTTCAATTTTCTGCATGTGGCTAGCCAGTTATCCCAGCACAATTTATTGAATAGGGAATCCTTTGTCCATTGCTTGTTTTTGTCAGGTTAGTTGAAGATCAGATAGTTGTAGGCGTGCGGTCTTATTTCTGGGTTCTCTATTTGGCTCTGTTGGTCTATGTGTCTGTTTTTGTACAACTATCATACTGTTTTGGTTACTGTATCCCTGTAGTATAGTTTGAAGTCAGGTAGCATGATGCTGCCAGCTTTGTTCTTTTTGCTTAGGATTGCCTTGGCTATTTAAAATCTTTTTTGGTTACATATGAATTTTAAAATAGTTTTCTTTAGTTGCGAGAATGTCAGCAGCAGTTTAATAGGAATAGCATTGAATCTACAAATTGCTTTGGGCAGTATGGCCATTTTCATGATATTGATTTTTCCTATCCATGAGCATGGAATGTTTTTCCATTTGTTTGTGTCATTTCTGGTTTCTTTGAACAGTGGTTTGTAGCTCTCCTTGTAGAGATCTTTTATCTCCCTAGCTAGCTGTATTCCTAGGTATTTTATTCTTTTTGTGGCAATTGTGAATGGGAGTTTGTTCCTGATTTGGCTCTTGGCTTGACTGTTGAATGCTAGTAATTTTTGCACATTGATTTTGTATCCTGATACTTTGCTGAAGGTGTTTGTCAGCTTAAGAATCTATTGGGATGAGACTATGGGGTTTTCTAGGCACTATCATTTAGGACATAGGCACAGGCAAAGATTTCATGATGAAGATGCTAAAAGCAATTGCAACAAAATCAAAAATTGACAAATGGGATCTAATTATACTAAAGAGCTTCTGCATGGGAAAAGAAACTAACAACAGAGTAAACAGACAACCTACTGAATGGGAGAAAATTTTTGCAAACTACGCACCCAACAAAGGTCTAATATCCAGCATCTATAAGGAACTTAAACAAATTTACAAGCAAAAAACAAACAACCTCATAAAAAAGTGGGTAAAGGACATAAACAGACACTTCTCAAAAGAAGACATACATGTGGCCAACACTCATGAAATAAAGCTCAGTATCATTGATCATTAGAGAAATGCAATTCAAAACCACAATGAGATACCATCTCACGCCAGTCAGAGTGGCTATTATTAAAAAGTCAAAAAACAACAGATGCTGGTGAGGTTGTGGAGAAAAAGGCACACTTTTACACTGTTGATGGGAATGTAAATTAGTTCAACCATTGTGGAAGACAGTGCAATGACTCCTCAAAGACTTAGAGGCAGAAATACCATTTGACCCAGCAATCCCATTACTGGGTATATACCCAGAGGAATATAAATCATTCTATTACAAAGATGCATGCACATGTATGTTCATTGCAGCACTATTCACAATAGCAAAGTCATGGAATCAATCTAAATGCCCATCATTTGGGCAATGATAGACTGGATAAAGAAAATGTGGTTCATGGAATATCATGCAGCCACAAAAAGGAACAAGATCATGTGCTTTGCAGGAACAGAAAACCAAATACTGCATGTTCTCTTTTATAAGTGGGAGCTAAATGATAAGAAGACATGGACACATAGAGGGGAACAACACACACTGGGGCCTTTCGGGGAGTTGAGGGTGGAAGGAAGGAGAGGATCAGGAAAAATAACCAGTGGGTACTAGGCTTAATACCTGGATGATGAAATAATCTATACTACAAATCCCCGATGACACAAGTTTACCTATGTAATGAACCTGTACTTGTACCCCTGAACTTAAAATGAAAGTGAAAAAATAAAAAGACACACCGTGTGCACCCCTGCCTCCATCTCTGCTATCTTGGCCCATTCTTTACCCAGCTTCCCTTTCAGGAAAGGAAACTTGGACAAAGGAGAGCACAGGCAGGGGGATATAGAGACCATAAACATGGCTTGTATGTGGACATCAGCCATCCTTAGTCCTGTCAAAAGAGAGGGTAAGCAACTATAGGCAAAGCTGACCTCACACCTTTGAGGATGGGCGCACTGGGGGCATTTTAATCATTATGTTTTAAAATTTGTTACATTTGCAATATGCTCTACTGTTCACAAAAATGTTAACATACAGTTTTGATTACTGTGAAACAAACCTGTGTGGAACTCTTAATACTTCCTTCTGCTAACTGCTTTACATTTTCTTCCCCCACATTTAAATATCTCTGAAATTAGTACATGTTTTACAATCACTATGCAGTGGGAATGGCTGTGATGGGGTTTCTGTTGTTGCCTATTGATGTGCAAATACTATCTTAGCTCTTTGTGTTGTCACATCCATTCAGATATGTGGATAGTTGACAGCACACGGGCTAATTGCTGTTTACTATGTCTTAAACAGGTTACAATTTGGTTTGACTTTGAAACAAAAAGTTATCATGTACACAGAAAAGCACAGAAGCAGAGGAGTGGAATGAAGTGTGATATTAGTGAACGAAAGAGCCAACATTGAAGTGACCACAGTTCCATATGGTCTTGCAAAGCAACCACTGAATGTTTTGCCTAAAAAGGAAGACATCAACATGTAATTATCATTAAGACATGGTATCATAGTTACTTAATGGTACATAAAAACTGGAGTGTCTTTTTCAAGCACCTATTATGTTAAAGGTTCTCTGCTGGTTAAGGTTATAGGTTTTGTGCTTTTGCACGACATGTGTGTCTCACATCAATTCCACTCTGTGGATAATATTATCCCCAAACCAGGGATGAAGGATGAATAACTGTCTCAGGTTGGTAATCTAGTTTTGATAGAGTGAGGGATTGACTCTTCACGTGCCCAGAGCCTGTGCCCCTTTCCCTACCTTGGTAGACGTCTTCTGGATTTTCCAACCCCTTTGTCTTTCAGGAGCATCTTTGGGAAGGATTTGTTCCAAAGGATCTATACTCTGGTGCTATTCTGAAACAAGATGACAGTTTGTTTTTTTCTTGGTTTCTCTTCTAAAAATTTAGATTTTGGGAACTGGAAATCCTTATTAGGGCATTTAAACCATGGTATTTATTTGTCTGCAATGCACTTTGAATTCAGCTCACATTCTCTCACCTTATCTCACAATTGTTTCCTAAAGTGGGTAATGCTTCCTTAAACATGTAATCCTTATTTATGTCTGAGAATAAGTCATCACCACAAACAGGTCTGTGGGTACCTATGGAAAGTAGGTGAGTTGGAGATGACCCAGTAAATGCCCCTTGACATCACCAGCTAAGGATTTTCTAGAAAGCTCAGTATTAGAAAAGTATTGAACATTTGTTTTTACCAAACTCCAGGTTCTCAAGAAGTAGCTAGATAAGCTTCTCATACATAAACATTTATATTTCCAATGCTATCTGGGAGGGAAAAAGAATAAAAATTAAATTAAAATGAAAGCCACTTCAATTTCGGTCCATGATTATAATTTTATTCATACCAACATTTTTAAAGGTTTAAGCATGTTTAGGAAAGTGGTTTCTTCTTAGATCGGGAAGAAATGGCAGCCCTTTTGGGAAAGGCCGGTCTGTGGTAAACTCACCAGCAACCAGGGTGGAAGTGCCAGAAATATTCGCGGGAAGCTGATGATTCTGAGATTCCTAGTGTGATTCTGAACCCAGGAGAATTTACTTGCATTGGAATTATTGCATCATGGAATGAAACCAAAAAGTTCATTATTTACACTTCACACATTTACTTTTTTTAAGATCTGGCTCAAAGGCACTGAGAATTATGTTGTAGATTAGAGGCATCCAGTTAATTAAATCACAAGGACTTTGTAGCAAGTAGTAAAAATAATTCTTTCCCCACAAATTGAGCTGAGGGGGCCATTCTCTTCTTTCTGAGGCCAAACATTCAGCATAACCACTGTTTTACCACGAGCTCTCTGCTGTGAAAGGTTTAAGCACACTGTTGGCATTCAAATTTTTAATAGCTAATGCAAGGTCACCTAATACTTTGTCAGTGTTTGTCTGTTACCAATTGTTCCTAATTGACTAAAACAGCTAGAGTTATTCACTGACTCTTAAGTATGGGGCGGTAAGTTTTAAAAGAATATTTAGAGAATCATTTACAACTATACTCATTCTCATCCTTTTCGTGCCCAACTTCACAGGAGTTGTCTGTCTGCAAGGTTAGTCCCCTATCTGTTCCCTGAATGTATACATCAAAATTAAATTTACCATCTGCTTATCTCTCAAAATGCTGCTTCTGAATTTTCTATTTCAGTGAATATCATCATTATCATCATCTACCAAGTTTCCCAAGCAAGCACCTAGGGATCAGCAGAAACTCTTTCCTTTCCATTCCCATACTCCAACTCCATCCAATCCGCCAGTGTTCTGTCCATTTAACTAAATCAGTATTTTTCCTGCCTGTTCATTTATCTCTATTTCCTTTGGTACTACATCAGTCCAGGTCCTCACTACCTTAGAAGAACCTCCCAAATGGTCTCCCTGCTACAATTTTTGATATTCTTATAATCCATTCTCTATACCACTATTAAGATTACCTTTCTAAATGCAAATCTGCTTAAAACCTTTTAATGGTGCTTCATCATCTTATTTGTGATTTTTTTTTCTTTTTTATCTTTATTGCTGCCACACAAATTAATGCCTCATCATGTTAAGGAAAAAGTTTAGACCCTTGGCATGGAACCAAGTCCTAAATCCTGTGGTCCTGCAGGCCTTTTCAGCATGACTCTGAACCATTTTCCATACACCCCTTATGTTTCAACCCTAGGGAAAAGCTTACGTTTTGCAAATGGACCATGTTCCTTCTCCCTCTTTTGCATTTGTAGCGTGGTTCACCCTACTGACCATTTGCTCCTTGTTTGTCCACAGCAATCCTACTAGTTCTTTAAGACTAGCTCATTTTCTATCACCTCTGGGAAGCAGTGAGGGAGTCCACTCTGAGTTTAAAGTCACTTACAATGGTGTCTTCTCTTGTGTTTCCACAGGACCCTGTGCATACCTTCATCAAGGCACTTGCTGCGTAGCACTTATATTTCTGTTGTACGTATATGTCTCTTCCACTAAACTTTAAACTTCTTGAAGAGAAAAACTGTGTCTTTTATCTTTGTATCTCCAGGCCAAGCATGGCAACTGTTGCTTAGCACCTGCTCAGTTAATTGCTGCAGAATAAAGGAGTTTTAATCCCTTCCTATCACTTCTGGAAACTTTACTCAAGCAAAGTCATTTTTTTCCTCTTTCTTTCTGTATTTTTAACTCCTTCATCTTTCCCTTAATTCTTACTCATCTTAAAAAGAGCAAGAAAACACTTGCTCCATCTTAGCCCCTTCATCGTAGCCCCATTTTGTTGAAAGAATAGTCCAATTATTGCTTTAAAGTCCAAACCTCCCATTGACACTTCAGCCTACTAAAATTTGATGTTTACTCCCTCACTCAAATGGAATTGTTCTTCCCAATGACACCAATTGCTTCCTGATTGTGGAAGTCAGGCTTTATCTTAAGTGATTACTCTTCAGGATTTCAAATTGTTGCCCTGTTTTTCCTGAAAAATCCTTATTAATTTGGCTTTTGTGACATTGTTTCTCCTGGTCTACATAATCTCTCAACACTAATCAGATACACCAGCTGCCTTTACTTAAATGCTGGTGTCTCAAGGAACCCTTATTAATTCTTTTGTCTTCTTATTCTCTCTGGGTAATTTCATCTAATTTTGCATCTTTGGTGACTACCTATATATCCAGTGATCCTGAATTTTGACCTCCAGAACTCTATTTCCAATGTGTAATAAATTCTGTGACTCACAATACCCTCAAACTTTACTTGTTAAAATGGAATTGTTTCCTTTCGCAAACATGGCCCCTTTTATATTTCCTATCCTAGTAAGTTAGCAGGAGGGTCAAGGTGTTGACCATTCATAATCTTTCTCCAGGTTTCTATACTAGACTACATAATCAATAAATTTCAAGGAAAAAGTTATCCCTTGTATGTAGCCCAACTTAGCTTTTGTATTAGTTAACACTGCATAACAAATCACCACAATTTAGATTTAAAACAGCATACATTTATTATCTGAAAGTTTCTGTGGGTCAGGAGTCCAAACGTGATTTAGCTGGGTCCTCTGCTCAGAGTTTCACAAAGCTGCAAGCAAGGCGTTGGCTGGGGCTGGGCTTTTATCTGAGGTTCAGATGCTTCTTCCAAGATCACATGGTTGTTCACAAAACTTATTTCCTTGCAGCCGTAGAGCTCATGGCAGCTTGCTTATTTAAGGCTAATAGGAGAGAGAGTCTCTGACTGGTTCACTCTCTTTTAAAGGACTAGTCTGATTAGGTCAGGCCCACCCAGGGGATCTCTTTGATTAACTCAAAGTCAGCTGATTAGAAACCTTATGTATATCTGCAACTTCTCTTCACTTTTGTTATATAACATAACATAATATGGGAGAGATGATCCCATCACTTTTGCCATATTCTGTTGGTTAGAAGCAGGTTACATGTCCCACCCACACTCAATGGGGGAGAGGATTATACCAAGGCATGGATTATTGAGAATCACTCTAGAATTCTGTCTATCATAGTGTAATTATATATCTATGTAGTGAAAAAAATAGATGTTTGTAATTTGGAGGTATTAAAAAGTTGAATACAAAGAAAAAATTATAGAACTTTAAAGTCTTAATTTTAACGGAGATGGCACATTATTTTGAAGATAGAGAAAATGGCTTTCTATCCTTTTCCTATATTACACTTAGTGCCTTGGGCAGGATATATGTCCAAGTATCTAAACTGTAGATTATATTATATGAACTTAAATGGAATAATTAAATAAGTAATTCTGAAAGACAAGTATTTAATGACATAACTGGCTTGATTTGGGAACCATTTTACCATGTGTTAGCCTCAGTTGTAGTAAGAGAGGATCATGTAATTATATGTCTATAAGTAAGTTATATGGTTTTTCTCAGTGTACATTAGTTCAACGTTTCTAAAGGTTTTTTTTTTTAAAGTTTTCTTTTAATACCTTTGACAGACTGTGATTTTCATCAGAAGTGCTAATCTTTCCTCAGGATGGAGAGTTCAGGCATCTTTTCATGTTGTTTTCTCACAGTTTTAAATGACATATCTACAGAAGTTCTTTTATCAGTGACTTTTCCCTTCCTGGCCCCACACTATCTGAGGGCATACTCTGTAGCTCCTTTTATTTTATTTTATTTTTGTGGGCATCAGATATATTCTGAAGTCAATACTAAAGCTGTTAGAGTATGACATTTACTAAGAATCCTGCCATTTTAGGCCCTTCTTCTTAAAGGACAACAATTCCATTGGTATTTAGTAAAAAACAACATGGCTTGGTAAATTTAGCTCTTTTTCTTGACATTGGCAATGATAATACAATGCCTGTGGTGTATAATTGTCATGGCTGACTTATAAATCCCTACAGATATGTGGTTACTTCTCTACTTTCCCTTTCTTTGGCTTGGGCAACTGCCACGTTGATGCACTGGAGCCATTCTTCTGCATTCTTCTCATCCTTGGCCTTAAAGACATAGGTTTTATTGTCTGTGAAGATTTCGAAAGCCCGGGGGAGAGAGCGGTCCCTGCGTTTCTTGGCCACAGCCTTCACACTCTGTACTTTGCTGAGTTCTATTGGGCAGTCGTCAGGGTCATCTTTCTGAAAGGCATGGGAAGAAAAGAACATGGGCTGGCTGTTACTGTAGGCAAGGATCTCTGGCTACTGGAGAACTTTCTAAGAGGGCCAGAATCCTTTCACTTTTTATGTCTCAAGACCTTTGTTATTTTGGGTGCTAAGGCCTCAGAATCATTAGAATAACTGAAGGAGTGAGCAATTGGGCCTTTGTTAGAGTATCATAAGTTGACACAAGATAATTAATTTAAAGGATATTATTATAAAGTGGGATTTGGGAAAAATTCAGAGTTCTTTCATTTTCTATTAACGTTATATTAATAGAGCAAGGTGCAACGGTACAATTTGGAGTGCTATTAACTTATAACTTCAGGTAGTTTGGGAGGCATGAAATTGAATTTTCCTTTGTGCTACCTCTGAGAAAGATTTTGCCAAACCTTAATTGAATAGAGAGGCTTCCAGTGTTTGCATAGACCAAACTGTTTTTGAAACTCTCTGCAGCTTTGGAAGCATGCTTTGTCTACAAACAGTAAGAGAAGAAATATTTAATGATGTTACATTTGCCTTTTATTAAAGCAAAAATTTAAGGACCTCTACAATACCAAAGTCATCACACTGGGCTAAGATGAATAATTTTAAGGGGCCAGATATTTCTTTGAAGTAATTTCAGGTCTTTCACATGAATACATTTTGTCTACTAGAGAAAGTACCTGTGGTTGAGAATCTTGCCAATTCTCCTTGCCCACCTCTCCTGTTGCAATCACCCTCCTTTCACTTTGCAATGAAAAAGCATCCTCTTCACTCATCCCATACTTTCTATGATGTTTTGTCCAATGTAAACAAATCTCAGAAGCACCAAACAAAAAAGCAATTCCAACTATTGACATCAGGGAAGTATCCATCAGCCAAGGCAATGTAATCACTCCTCATCTATTTCATTATGAGATACATTTTCAATAATATTTCAATTTTTAATGTTTAATAATTATTAAGCTTGGCATTATACTTATGGATTTTCATGAAGGATATAACTTTTTAAAAAGATAACTAAATCAGAAAAAATAACACTTGGAGACGGATGGTCACAAGGAATTTAAACAATTAAATTTCAATTTATACATATAGTTTTACTCAGTGAAAAATGAAATGCCATTCAGGATAAAATGCTGTGATAGAGGTAGAACAGAAACATGATTTAAAAAAAAAAAGAGAAACAATGTGAACACTTCTATTTAAAAAAGAGTTAATTTATGTATTAAAAATAGTGTTAGGTGTTAAACTGCTATGGTATTTTAATCCAATGGTTACATTTAATGGAGAGATGTAATCCTTTTGTTTTAAAATGTCAATATTTACAATTCAACAGAAATTACAGTCCGGGCAAATGTTTAAACTTATGATAAAAGTGTTGCTGCAACTTAAAATGCTGCAAGGTATTACATAGATTTTTCAAAATTCTTTTAGGGTACACAGGATAAAGTTTGAAGACATACACACTAGACAATACTTTGTTAGCCTAATTTGGTTTACAGTAAGTATCTGACAGTAATAAAATTGCATTTCTTTGAAGTAGTCTATAGTACAGAGATTGATACGAAAATAAAAAGTTACCATAGTAATTTAAAGATGGACAGTGAATCAACTGAGACAGGAATAGATAGAAAGTCAAAGGACACTATTGCCTAGCTAGTTTGTGGAGATCAAGGTCTTAAAAATGCAAAAGTGAAAGATTAGAGTCTTCCACTAGAGTCTTTCAACCTCAGCTCTAATTTTAAAATGCACATTTCTTTCATTTAAAAGGGGCCCTTTTACAAGGACCTGAAGCTTCAGCAGGATTGTTGACCACTGGTAGGTTATTGTTTCCCTGGAGATTAGAGGTATTTTGCTGTGGCCTTCATGCTATATTAAATTATTTCCCACTATTTGAGCCGCAAGTTTTGTCAGAGTTATGGAATGTCAGACCATTATTTCCTGATAAACATGTCAAACAAGTTACCTAATTATAAAATTGCTTTTTCTTTAAACCTTATTAAAAAAGCCATGAATCAGAAAGTATAAAGGTCATTATTTGAGTTCAGAAAAACATTCTCATAGATTAACTCTGCTTTGTCTTAAGGGATCTGGAAAATTACTACGTCTTCATTTCTATTCTTGATTTCTTGAATAAAAACAGAAAATTCAGGTAGTCATTTTAAACACTTTAAACATGCTTTAGTGTGAACCTATGCTAAAAAAATTTCTTTAAGTTTCCAATAGCTGTCTAAATTGAACTGCCCTTTCAAAAAGATGTTCAGCTACAGAAAAGTCCATCTGTATATGTTATAACACACACAGATGAAGAAAGTAGCATGACTACACAGTAGGTATCACAAAAAATATTCTTTTTCATTCAAAAAGTTAACAGAAGTCTTATTAATTAAAAGAGCACTGGTCAGAATACACGATACTTGATTCATACTGATTAAAATGTTCAAATACATTTTATAATGAGTACTCTAAAGATATAGTGCATATGGCCGAGAATGAATTATAATTTTTAACTAATTTACCACTTTTCATTAATTAATTCAGACAGTTTGGTTTATGTGATGGTTAATTTATGTGTCAACTTGACTGGGCTAATGGGTACCCAGACAGCTGGGAAAGCATTATTTCCGCATGTGTCTGTGAGGTGTTTCTGGAAGAGGCTGGCATTTGAATTAGTGGACTGAGTGAAGAAGATCCATGCTCCCCATTGTGGGTGGGCATCATGCAATCTATTGGGGACCTGGATAGAATAACAAGTTGGAGGAAAGATAAATTTGCTTTTTCTTCTTGCACTGAGACATGCATTCTCTCCTGCCTGTGGATATCAGAGCTCCTGGTTTTGGGGCCTTCAGACTCTGGGACTTACATCCCTCCCCCCAGCTCACTGCCATACCCAGGTTCTCAGGCCTTTGGCCTTGGACTGGGAGTTATATCATTGACTCCCTTAATTTTCTGGCCTTAGGACACAGACTGAATTACACCACCAGTTTTCCTGGTTCTCCAGCTTGCACACAGCATATCATGGAACTTCACACCCTCCATAATTTCATGAGCCAATTCCCATAGTAAATCTCGTATATGTCTTTATATATCCTATTGGTTCCATTTCTATGGAGATCCCTGGTGAGTACAGTTTACCACTGACTCTGTATTTTAAGTATACATGGGAAGCAGTAAACTCATTTAAGAACATGCTTTGGTGTAACACTGCCTGATCTTGACCCCAGTTATACCCTTTCTCACCTTATTAGCTTTATCCTTGGACAATCCAATCAGTTTCTTTGACTCAGTTTCCTCATCTGTGAAATGGCAATAATAGCAGTGGTGGCCTAATAGGATTGTTTTGAGGATTGTTTGAGGCAATCCAAGGTGTTGCATAGTAGGCACTGAAAAAATGCTAGTCATTATGATTATTTTCTAAAATAGCCAAGAAGTAGGTCAAGATTTGATTCCTCTTGATCCTGAATCAGGAGAGTTTAATGATACATAAAACCAATTTGAAAAGAAGAGAAGGTAACTTTGCATTATTGATTGCAATGGAATGCTACTTCAGAGGTTTCCCACTGAAAATTCACAATACAAATAATTACTGAACATCCTATTCAAATGGAAAATTATATTAAATATTTATTAATTTGATCATAATTCTATTATATTCATTAACTGAATATTAAATAGATGAAAGACAGTAATATTTTAATCAGAATTAAACTTTGTTGACTATAAAAAGTACCTAAAGTAAATCAGCCTTCATTCTTTCCTCCTTGTCTATGTCCTCCTTTTTTGGACCCCCATTTCCAAATATAAACTATAGCTATAAAAAAATCAGAGCCAATATCATAAGTCATAAATTTGTGTACGTGGTCCACAAGGAAACAAAGGGCACGGTGTCTGAGTCAAGACTTGCAGTCCCTCTGCAGTTCAACTAAAAAGTCAACTAAAACAAGCTTCCATAATAAACTGGAAGGGGACAGTGAATCAACTAACATAGGAATAAACAGACTAGACACAGAAATGTGTGATAAAACAATGCTGTAAGATGGTGAAATGGAGATGGAAAAATTATTAGAGTTTAAACCCAAGACAAAACGTTTAGCTATTGGTGGAGATCAAAACCTTAAAAATGCAAGTGTAAAAGATGATGGAGGAACTTACAGACTTTCCTTTTTGAAACAGAAGTTGATTTCCAGCCAGTGTAAAATAGCGTGTTTTCCACCTTTTGATGAACTTCCATCTGACTTGCTTCTCTTTAAGTTTTCCTTCTATGAGAGGCTGGCCATCTTGATTTACAACTGTTGAAGGTAGCAGAATAATCATGCCATGTATTTTCCAATATTTACTAGGTAGGTGATCAAAAGTCAGAACTGTACAGTGTACCAGAACCCAGTTAGCACACCTGGAAAGTAGGCTAATAAATGATGAATTTGGTTAACCTTTCCTCCTTTGTCCCTAAAAGAATGCACAATTCAGATATGACAATGGAAAACTGTTGAAAGCCCTCATTGCCATTTTCAAAAGAAATTGGTTCACACAAAGAGCATCTGTTAGCAGTATTTAAAGTTTATCTGGATATTTAGCTTTCTGTGCTTGGTTTCTTTGTTTCATAGTGTTCTGTTTCTAATGTTGGAATAACCAAATTAATTTGGAACAGTTTGAAATGTTGGCACAAAGTATCTAGTATGCCATAAGCTTCATTTTGATTTTGCCAGTAACTAGGTAATAAAAAACAAATTTCCATGCTTTATGACACATGAACTGCTGGAAATATAGCTTTATAAATAATCATAAACCCAAGTATATTTAGCTATTTGGCAGCAAAAGTCAATGCAGCACTCCAAAAGACATGGTTCCTAAAGCGGTAACACCAAGCAGCAAAGGCAAACTTACCCAACTCTTGTACATGCTAGTCTCACTCTCTGGAACACATGTACTCTCTTTCCCCTCTCTGTATTCCCATCTTCACCTAGTCAACAACTGATCACTTCACATTTCAACTTAAATGTTGCTTCCTTTGGAAAGCCCTCTCCAAATCCAGATGAGGGTGGCTTTCCCCCATATGTTCTCATGGCACATGGCATGTTTCTTATATATCAGGGATTATCATTTGTAGATAGATATTAGTGCTTATCTGATTAATATCTTTCTGTCTCATTCAGTTGAAAGCTCCACAAGGGCAGGGTCTTTGCTTTGTTCTCTGTTGAATCACCAAGCATCTAACATGGTGCCTGGCAAATAGTAGGAAGTCTATAAATATTTGTTGACTGAATGGACTAATTTTACATTGAAGCAGAGTGTGCATGATTACAAATGATCATAGAATTAGAAGATCCATTGCAATGTCAGAGTTTAGACGCTGAACTGAATAATTTTATTCCTTTTACCAACAACATAAGATTCACTCTTCAAATTCAGATGAAAGCATCTGATTTCAGCAGAAGGGGACAATGGAAAGCTCCATCTGTAGTAGGACAATGTTTATTTATATATATTTATCTTCAATTTTCATAGCACCTTGAAAGTAATAAAATTTGTTCCATCAGTTTGGAAAAATTCTGGACTGTGCCTGTTTGACCCTATGAACACAACCTGCCTTTTGTACACTACCATTTCTTTTTTCTAATATAGGTCTAATAATTGCCTCACAGGATTGTCCACTTTCACAGAGCATTTTCAGGATAAAAATAATAAAATGTATAGTTTTCTTTTCTTTTCTTTTCTTTTTCTTTTTTTTCTTTTTTTTTTTTTTTTGACAGTTTACTCTGTCACCGAGGCTGGAGTGCAGTGGCACGATCTCAGCTCATTGCAACCTCCACCTCTCGGGCTCAAGTGATTCCCCTGCCTCAGTCTCCCGAGTAGCTGAGACTACAGGTATTCGCCACCACGCTCGGCTAAATTTTTGTATTTTTAGTAGAGACAGGGTTTTGCCATGTTGGCCAGGCTGGTCTCAAACTCCTGGCCTCAGGTGATCCATCCACCCTGGCGTCCCAAAGTGCTGGGATTACAGGTGTGAGCCACCATGCCCAGCCGAAATGTAGAGTTTTCATAAACAAAGTACTATTAAGGCTATTTTTTTTTCCGGATGACTATTCAATTGGCTGTTCCATTGTCAACTCCAAATTAAGGCTAAAAACTGGCCAGGCGCAGCAGCTCATGCCTGTAATCCCAGCACTTTGGGAGGCCGAGGTGGGTGGATCTCCTGAGGTCAGGAGTTTGAGACCAGCCTGGCCAACTTGGCGAAAGCCCATCTCTACCAAAAATACAAAAATTAGCTGGGTGTAATCCCAGCTATTTGGGAAGCTAGGCAGGAGAATTGCTTGGGCCTGGCAGGTGGAGGTTGCAGTGAGCTGAGATTACGCCACTGCACTCCAGGCTGGGCAACAGAGTGAGACTCCGTCTCAAAAACCAAACAAACAAACAAACACTGAAAATACATATCAAATATATTGTAAGATAGTGATAAGGACTATGATGAATATAGAATAGGGAGTAAGTGACTTGGGGGCTTGGTGTACATGCATGCATTTCAGTGGTCAGGAAAGAGCTTGGATGTTTGAGGTGATGACATTTGATCTGACACCTCAGTGATAAGACCCCCAATCTTCTGAGAAGCTCTGGTGGAGGCTACTACTGAGCATAGCAGAGGCAAAAGAAAGCAGGAACTCATGAAATATAAACTTACAATTAATATCAAGAAAATAATTTCAGAGTTCTGCTTTGCTTTGATAGGAATTGTCTGATGTGGAGCATTCTTAAAGCTAGTAATGATCTTTGCAAATTTAAATTTTCCATAAACATGGTGATTTCCTTTGTGCAACCACATCTACAGAGACTTCAGTTAAAGTGCTTAGGGCACTGTGTCTCCCCACTGGGTTATGCGTTCCTTGAGATCAGGAACAGCCTTAACACAGTGCCTGCCGGGCTAGAGCCTCAGTAAATGTTTATTAACAGTACACCATTGAGTCACAAAGGGTGCAGCAGACTATCTGGGATGAGGAAAGAAGGTTTCAAGAGGTGATCCAAGAGGAGAAAAAAGGGGAAAAATAAGTTAAAACAAACAACAAAAACAAAATACCAAAGCCAAAATTAATTTAAAAAATTTAAAAGCACCCATTTTTCATATTTTCAGGTGAGAGAAAATGGTAATCTAATTGTAATATCTGAAGGTTTTTAATATTAACTTAGAAGATTTAGATTTGAATCCTCTAAATTACAATTTTCTAATCAGCAAGAGAAAATAATAATGCCCCCTGGGATTCTGGGAGGTCAAAAATCAAAAGAAAGAAATTTATGTGAGGACACTAGGTAAATAGCAAAGCACAAGGCACTGCTTCTCCCTCACCCTAGCCCCACTTCTAGGAAAGACTTGACTTTACAGTTTTTTTGTTTTGTTTTCCTAAGACAGGGTGTCACTCTGTCACCCAGGCTGGAGTGCAGTGGTGAGATTTTGGCTCACTGCAACCTCTGCCTCCCAGGCTCAGGTGATCCTCCCACCTCAGCCTCCCGAGTAGCTGGGACCACAGGTGCACACCACCACACTTGGCTAATTTTTTAATATTTTTTTGTATAGACAAGGTTTCATCATGTTGCTCAGGATGATACCATGGTTTTAATGACAAGATGATTTAATGTAATGCTATTTAATAGTGATACATTTTTCCTGTCTCAGTCTTTCATATTTACTCAAAGAAACATTTGAAATAGTTATGATATCTGAGATGATTTGAAATAATGATTGACTTAGGTAATATTTAAGTACATGGATCCTTTTGGATCTGACATAGAGGATTAACTACTTTATTTTTTCTCAAGGCAGATCCAAATGTTTCACTTGAAGAGTAATGTGTGACAAAAGTTTACAATGAACACTGGGCAAAATTGTTGGAGTCCTTAAAGACATGGGTGAATGGGATATAATAACTATGATGAGACAGTCAAGACCAAATGATAGGCTTACTAACAACAAAGGATGAAGGACTTCAGAGACAAGCTGGGAAGCAAAGACTTTTCACCGTAGCCCAGTGAAAATCAGCCCTAGGGGAAAAAAATCAATGAAAATGGTTTTAGAAAGGAAACATTAGCAGAACTTTAAAGTAGCTGAATGTGAGGCCCCAAATTTAGGTGTTAGAGTCAGTTTCAGAGAAGTCAGTAAAAGCCAGGCTATTTGGAGCTGTGAGATTAATTTAAAAATAATTTCAAAAAACAAAACAAAATTTTTATATCCCGTATCTTAAAAAACTGTTTGTTTGTTTGTTTTTTGTTTTTGTTTTTGTTGTTTTTTTTTTTTTTTTTTGCTATTACATCTAACATATGCATGGCTGGGGACGTGTCATTTTAAAGGTCTATTGCCCATAGTACGTCCTTTTAAGCAGGTGATTCAGATATGTTATCACAGCCTCTTCACAGCTAAAACAAGAAACTATTTTTCTAAGATCATCATATTCCATTTGAAAAATAACATGTGGAATGATCTACGAGGGTATGATCATGTATCATCTAAAATAAATTGTTTGCATGTAGAACATAGAGGATATTCAATCATTTTCTCACTTTCCAATTAACACATTATTTCATTTAAAGCACCACAATTTGGCCAGGTGTGGTGGCTCATGCCTGTAATCCCAGTGCTTTGGGAGGCCGAGACAGAGGGATCATTTGAGGCCAGGAGTTGAGACCAGGAGTTTGTGACCAGGCTGAGCAACATAGCGAGACCCTGTCTCTACAGAAAAATAAAATAAAATAATTAGCTGGGCACGGTGGCATGCACCTGTAGTCCCAGGTACTCACGGGGGTGAAGGGGTGCAGAGGTGGGAGGATCGCTTGAGCCTCAGAGGTCAAAGTGTGCAGTGAGCTATGATCATGCCACTGCACTCCAGCCTGGGTGACAGAGTGAAATGCCATCTCTTAAAAAAAAAAAGCAAAACAAAACAAAACAAAACACCAAAAAACAAAGCACCACAATTTGGCTAGGACATTCTCTACTAACATGGATCTGTTTATTTTTTAAAATATCAACTGGCTATAAAAGCTATGGGTTATTAAACTGAATTTTCTAGTGCAATTGGAACCCAAACTGTTACTGTGTTTGTCAACTTAAAAGTTTTTCAGAATGCTAATACAAATGTTTATATGTTAATTTTATCCCTTTTCTGCACCAAGTTAAAAATATTTGTTGCTAAAAAAATGAATTTTGAAGGGGTTGGTCTTATTCAACATGAAGTTGATGAGTAAGTATAATAATAACAGGTCTCCCAGAGCTGAGAAGACCCACAGCAGGAAGAATAAAAAATAAAGAATATTCATCTGCTCATTTATCAATCATCCACCCACCCCGTATGTATTTTCGAGCACAGATAAGCTGTAAGGCACTATATTTGGATCTGAGGGGTCATAAAATCACCCTCACAGGGAGCTTTAATTTATCATCTAGGGAAGATATGGCATTTTACAAATTCTACTGCTCAGTGTAGGGTTTGGCAAGTGCCACCGAGAAGTACAAGCCACATGTTACAGCATTTGAAGAGCAGAAATTCCACTTCTAGTTGAGACAAGGTGACATGAGAGCTGGGACCCTCATGAAGAAGAGAGAATTTTCCAGATAGAGTGCAGAAAAGGATCAGATAGGATTTTCCAGATAGAGTGGTAGCAAGGTAGGTGTGTGGGGGAAAACACACAAAAGAACCTGAAGAAGCCGGAAGAATCAGCAAACTCAGAAACAAGTAAAGCAGGTGCTCTCGAACACCCCTCATGGGCTGAGGGGTGAAGGGAGAAGTCAATTCAAGGCTTTCTAGGTGTAAGATCCAGGAAAGAGATTGAGTAACAGTCACAGAGAGGTCATATTGGACTTTATGGGAAAGTTTTTCTGAAGCCCCTTTAGAAAGGACTAAGAAAGGGCCTAGAGCCTGCGAGGGTCCAGCTAGCCCAGCATGAAGCCTCATGGGCCCCAGATGGGATCAATGATGTGTCAGGCAGGGTCTTGGCAGGAAACAGATGGCATCTCAAACTGAGCAGTGGAGGAGAGTTAATAGAGTTACTAGATTATTTACTCAGATGTGGGCAGGGCGTAGGAAAAGCGCCATAGTACTCTGGGGCCAGTAACCATGCAGGCCTAACACTCCTCCGCCTGAAGAGGAAAGGGCAGAGAACAGTTAGGACTTAGTGGGAGACCTGTATGGAGAGCACCGTTTGATAACAGCTGTGGCCTGGAATAGAGGACACTGTCGACCCTCGGTGTCCAAGCAGGGAGGCAGCCAGCAAATCAATAACTCAACCTCTCTCTCCTCCCTCCCTCTGCTTACTGGTGTCCCCAGTGGTGGAAGGTACCTGAAAGCCAGAGCTAAAAGAGCCTATTGAAACAATCACTACATGGCAGCCTGTGGGACATGGAGCTGGGCAGGAGAGATGGAAAACAGAAGCGATCAGGCACTGATTATATGTCAAATTCAACAAAGTTCAGATATACGAGGGAACTTCAAAAGTTCATGAAAAAAATGGAATTAGAAGATAAAAATAAAAAGTGGAAACTGTATTTCTCAACATAAACTCCATCAAGTTCAAGACACTTTGGTAAGTGGTAATATCAGCCATTTAGTCCATTATTAAAGAGCTAAGGGTCCTGGGAATTTAACCATGTTGATGCAGTCGTTTTAACATTATTAACTGAAACAAAATAAGTGCCCTTTGCAGATTTTTTAAGATTAGGAAACAAAAAGTCAGAAGGAGCCAAATCAGGACTGTAAGGTGGATGCCTAATAATTTTCCATGGAAACTCTTGCAAAATCGCCCTTGTTTGAAGAGAAGAACCAGCAGGAGCATTGTCTTAGTGGACAAGGACTCTCTAGTAAAGTTTTCCTGGGTGTTTGTCTCTTTTCTTCTTCCTTCCTTCCTTCCTTCCTTCCTTCCTTCCTTCCTTCCTTCCTTCCTTCCTTCCCTTCCTCTCTCTCTCTCTCCCTCTCTCTCTCTCTTTCTTTCTTTCTCTTTTTCTCTCTCTTTCTTTCTTTCTCTTTCTTTTCTTTCTTTCTTTCTTTCTTTCTTTCTTTCTTTCTTTCTTTCTTTCTTTCTTTCTTTCTTTCCTTCTCTCTCTCTCTTTCTTCTCCCTTTCTTTTTTTTTTTCAGGGTCTCACTCTGTCACCCAGGCTGGAGTGCAGTGACACAATCATGACTCACTGCAGCCTCCAGATCCTGGGCTCAAGTGATTCTCCCACATCAGCCTCCCTAGTAGCTGGGACCACAGGCACGTGTCACCACATCTGGCTGGTTTTAAAAATTTTTTATTTTTGTAGAAATGGGGTTAGGCCATGTCGCCCATGGTCCTCAAACTCCTGGGCTCAAGCAATCTGCCCACCTTAGCTTCCCAAAGTTCTGGGATTACAGGCATGAGCCCCTGTGCCTAGCCCCTGGGTGTTTTTCTGCTAAAACTTTTGCTAGCTTTCTCAAAACACTCTCATAATAAGCAGATGTTGTCATTCTTTGGCCCTTTAGAAAGACAACAAGCAAAATCCCTCAAGCATCCTGAAACACTTGCCATCACCTTTCTTCTTGACAGATCTGCTTTTGACTAGACCAAAGTACGCCTACAACTTGCCAATTTGCAGGTAGTTTGTACTACAGACATGGTGGTGATTCCCTTATTATGGAAGAAGGGTAGAAAGGAGTTAGAGGGGGAAAACCATGGGTCTAAAGAATAGAGAAAAATCCTTTTATCTCCTGGCGGTGGAATTGACTAGAAATGAATAAGATGCCCCCAGTGGTTTCTTCTCAGTTAATAAGAGAATTTAGCATTCATGTTATTCTTGTCATGGAAGACTGAGTTCCAGTTTTTATTAATACCCATTGCCATTCATTGATTCTCCCATTCTTCTATTCAAAATGCCTTTATGGTTACCATGCACTAGGCACATGCCAGGTAAAGGGGATATAAACACAAATATGACAGTCTCAATTATTGAGATGCAGAGAAATGCAGTAAGCAAGTGAGTACAGAGTGGGATAAGTACCAGGCTAGATCTGTGCACAGGGTCTAACTGGAACACACTGAGAGGCACTTATTCTAAACTGGGGCATACAAAGCAGAAAAGCTTGCTAGAGTAGATGCTGTCTGGGCTGAATTCTCAGGGACAAGTTGCAGCTATGAAGGCAAAGGAAGGAAGGTCATTGAGCCAAAAAAAGAAGTAAAAAAGAATAAAAGTTCATAGCAAAGGACCAAAGCTGAGGAAGGGAGGCATAAAATGCATTCTAGGAACTGTAACTCATTCTGGGAGGGAGCAGGGTGGGAGAGAAGAGGCAAGAGATGAGGTGTGAGAATCAGAGAGACCAATCCTAAAGAGCCTTGGGCACCATGCAGAGTGGAATGTAATGCTTTGTAGTGTAACATAATGAAAAAAAGCTTGTATAGTCATAGACCTCTTTTATTTCAAGAGCACAAGAGTTCAATAATTCACTCTCTACCTGGTTTTAAGATTTGTTGCAATTCTGAATGTCTTTAACCAATTATAATTTATTTAACCAGTGTGCTGAATGCCATGTTTACTCTTTATTATAATAGATCACATGAGACTGTACCAAAGACTTTCTCTAGTATAGGCCTATGGTTTATGTGGTAAGAGCACTGTCTTTGGAGGCCGACCTCAGTTGAAGTCCAGAATCTGCCACTTACCAGCTGACTGGTCCTGGACAAGCTATTTAAAGTCACTGAGCTTCCCTTTCCTACTCCCTAGAGTTATACTTAACACAACACAAATGGCTGTGGGGGTTTTGCTAGTGAAGCCATACATCCCCGTGAGGATTACATGCACCATAAATGAAAGCACATAAAAGTGCCACAACAGTTGACAGTGGCCTTGCTTAGCTGAGACCTGGTCACAATAAAGGATCAATAAATAGTAGCTACTGTCATCATGATTGACATCATGGATCAATGCAAATCATAATCATCTTTTCACTGTGATGAACAGGTGGTTTTAGAAATACCATGTCCTAATGGCCTATATCAAAGTGTGAGGAATAGTAAGAGAATTCAGAGTAAGAGAGGGACTCCTGCAGTCTTTGAACTTGGACCTTTAATAAAAATGGAGGTATGAAAGGCAATTCCAAGTGTCTCAAATGGAAGGTGAACTCTCTGTCTCTCTGTCTGCATGTGTGTGTGTTTTAAAGACAGGGTCTCTTTTGTTGCTCAGGCTGGAATACAGTGGCTTGATCATAGCTTACTGGAACCTTGAACTCCTGGGCTCAAGCGATTCTCCTGCCTCAGCCCCCCAAGTAACTAGGACTACAAGTGCATGCCATCACACCTGGATAATTTTTAATTTTTTTTTGTAGAGATGGGGTCTTACCATGCTGCCCAGGCTGGACTTGAACTTTTGACCTCAAGTGATCCTCCCATTTCTGCCTCCCAAAGTTTTGGGATTATAAGCATGAGCCACTGCACCTGGCCCTCTTCTGTTTTTGAGTAACTCATCCACGTATTCATTGAAACTTCCATTTACAAGACAGTAAACTGCCATTTACAAGACTGTAAACTTCCATTTACAAGACAGTAAATCAATCTACAACCCAGTAATAGATTGAGCTGCTTTGGGAGAATTTCCTGTTATCTGTGGTTGCTTCCTTCTCTTCCTAGACTTTCTGCTTGTTTCTGCTTGTTCTCGTGACAGTCTGGAAGGAATGACAATAGACAATAACCTCCACATAACTACTGTTCACATGGCACACTGACTTTCATCCAGACTCAGAAATTACTCATACTGTGTGCTTTTTGGCTTATGCCAGTTTTGTCTTGAAAGTATTGCACTGTGCATGAATAACTCATATTTGAGACTGTCATGAGTTTAATTTGTGATATTTGAATTTCTAGATACTCTTTTCTGATTGTTAAAGATAAATGCCTTCAAAAGAAAACATATTCTGGAAGAAAAAATATAAACCCCAGGCCAGGCAAGGTGGCTCACCCCTGTAATCGCAGCACTTTGGGAGGCTGAGGCGGGTGGATTGCCTGAGCTCAGGAGTTCAAGACCAGCCTGGGCAACATGGTGAAATTCTGTTTCTGCTAAAATACAAAAAATTAGCCGGGTGTGGTGGCATGCGCCTGTAGTCCCAGCTACTCGGGAGACTGAGGCAGGAAAATTGCTTGAACCTGGGAGGCGGAGGTTGCAGTGAGCCAAGATTGTGCCATTGCATACCAGTCTGGTGGCACAGGGACACTCCATTTCAAAAAAAACCAACAAAAAATATATATATATAATGATTGACATGTATAGATATATATCAATATATAGATATGTAGATATTGATTAGATATTGAAATATAAATTAACTCCAAATTCTTAGTTTTTAAGTAAGAACTGAGAAAAAGTATAGTATGTCATTTTTTCCCCCTTGAAAACACTGCTTCTGGGAATTATGAATCCTATACAGTCTATGGGGAATTTCTTTGTATGTATTTAAAGTTTCAAATTTACTTCAATCTCCTTCCATGGTTTTACTGATTTTTTTTTCTTTGGTGTGTGTGCCAGTTCTAATAAAGCAAACTATAATTCCAGAGGATATGCAAAAAGAGGGCTAGAAGCATTAAATGAAGGGGTCGTAGGAGCCACATTTACTAGACTGAGTGTCTGTGGTTTTTGAAATTGCTAAGGATCATAACAAATGGCATGTTTCTTAAGAATCTCCAGGCAGCGTTTGAGAGTGCAATATTTCTCTACTGGCAGTGAATAAACCAGGAGGCATGATCCTCACTGACTTTGTAACATCCTACACAATATTGTGGGGACCAAAATTGGACAGCCAAGCTAAGTTTGACAGCAGCCCTTTGAGGGCACTGCCACATGTGACTGAATGGCTTCCTTTCTCAGTAATTTCATACCCATCAAAACATATGCTTCTCTGACCAATTACTGATGTACTGATGCAAAAAAGCTTCAGAAATACGGTGTTGTAAGCATTTAGGGCTATGTTTCCTGAACTGTGTTGTGAGAACCAGAGAATCAGAATTATCTGCCAGCTTGTTAGAATGCACATTTCCAGGAACCACCCTAAACTCACTGAATCAAAATTTTGGGATAGGGTGAGAAGCCTTGCATGTTAAACAAGGTCCACAGGTGATTCTTATGTTGCTCAAAAACTTCTAGGAAATAATTAGTATCTTCGTGGTAGATGACAGTAATAGGTTATATGATATACGAAAGAGTAAAACTGCAAAACCAATTGTAGGGAGAAAACTATGACCTTTTGATAAAATTAAAGACAAGGATGGCAGTATAAGCTTACATTCATGTTCTTGGTTTCAATCAATAGGGTTACAGAAAAAATGTTCAGAATTAGTGTTTGTGGAATTTTGCTTATTTTTTTATTGTGTTAATAGTGAGACAAAAATTTTAAGGGCACTTTCCAAGATGGTAACCTGTTTAATAGTTCTGAGTAGTACATGTCTTTATGAGAAACTCATCAAAGAAGATTTGCCTGGGACTGCTGTGCAATGACTGATAGAGACCAATAGGAAAAGATCAGGAGAGTGGCAATGAAGAAGATAATTTTTTTTTTTTTTTTTGAGATAGGATCTCACTCTGTCACCCAGGTTGGAATGCAGTGGCATGTTCTCAGCTCACTGCAACGTCTGGCTCCCAGGTTCAAATGATTCTCTCATCTCAGCCCTGCAAGTAGCTGGGACTACAGGCATGCGCCACCACAGGCTAATTTTTGTATTTTTCGTAGATATGGGGTTATGCCATATTGCTTAAGCTGATCTCCAACTCCTGGGATCAAGTGATCCACCCACCTGGGCCTCCCAAAATGCTGGGATTACAGATGTGAGCCCCTGTGCCTGGCTGATAATTGTCTAATTGTAAGATTAACTTTTAATAAGAAAGGGTTTCACACATATCCGATGTTGGTCCTACTGAGTCTCATTAATAAGATCGCGTGGATAGATATTACTGATGGGATCTGGCCATAGGACTTTAGTTTTAAATGTTGAGCACTTTCCCATACTGCCTGCAGATTGTAGAGTTTGCCTGGGGTTGGAAAAAATAGATCTGACAAGCTTGTGCCCCGTCTGTGATAAGGAGGACCAACTTGTTTGGGTTGTACCATTTGAACACATTGTAACCATTGTCCTACCTGCCTGTAAATTCTTGTATTCTGGAACATATTAAGGTGTTACCTACACCACTTTTATGGAATTTTTAAACAGGAGTTCCATCTGTTGTGGTTCAGCACTTGGCCTCAAACCTTTTGACAATGAATAGATGTTTATAATGTCTGCACTGGAAGCCTTAGCAGTTACATAAACACCATCACATGCTGTATGTTATATATGAAACACACACATGTATATACACATATATGTGTACATATCCATGTGTATGTATATTTTTAATACACATATATATGAATATATCACACATTCTATTAACATGATCTGTTTATTATAGTACTTATGAAAAGAACTTATTTAAGAAGAGACTGCTTATATAAAGAATATATTTGGCACAAAAGAGATGCTGTAAATGTCATCATATGAATATCTACCTTTTTCTTGTAAAATGAGTCATTGTTAATTCATTTATCTGTTTTTTGTCATCACTTGACTGAGAAAAAAATTATTACTGAAAATTTTCTGAGAAGACACTAACTTTGGCCATTCGTTTATTGGTACATATTTATTGAGCATCTGTTGTGTGCTAGGGGCTGAGGATAGATGGATGAGGAGAGTCCACTTCATAGAACTTACTATTTACTGGAGGAAGTAGACATTGATCTAAAAGTCACACATAAAAGAACAAGACAGCAGCTGTAACCAATGTTATGGAGAAGAAGTTTGGGGTGCTTTGAGGACCTCAGTATGCATCGGGGGGTTACAAAAGGCTTCCAATACTGAAGCTGTGAATTTGATTTGTAATAAGAAGGCTAAGATCTACTTTAACTAAGTGAAGAAGGGAGAGAGGGAATTCTTGGTAGAAGAAAAAGTACATATAAAAGCATTGTGGCAGGAAGAAGTACAGTGAGTCTGAGAAACTTTAAGAGTGTTCTTCTAGGCAAAGCAAAGAGAGCAGAGGGAATGTGGGACAGGATAAAGCTGGAGAAGCTGGGAGAGACCATTCCATGTGAAACCGTGAAGGATATGTTATGAAGTTTGGTCTTTAAGAGCTATGGGAAGCTACCTAAGATTTCATGCAAGGGGTGGCACAACAGATTTGTGTTTTGAAGAGTTCACTCTGGCTGCATCGTGGGAGGGAGATTGGAAGGGTTCAGAGTAGTTCAGTGAGGAGGCTATGGCCATTATTGTAGGTAAAAGGTGATGGCAACTTGCACTAGTGCTGTGGAGAGAAATGGACAGATTTGAGAGCAATTGAGAAAGTAAAATCCTCAATCTTGTGGTGATAGATTGGATGGGGGTGGTGGAGAAGGCAGTGAGTGGGCCTCTGGTTGGTACAATAGATTGAGTGATGTTGCATTCACTGAGCTAAGGAATGCTGGAAGAAGAGTAAGTGTTTGGGGGAAGCAAAGAGACAATCATGAGTTTTAATTTAAATGAACTGATGCTGGGGAGTGGTGCATGCTTGTAATCTCAGCTACTCTGGAGTCTGAGGTGGGATGATTGCTTGAGCCCAGGAGTTTGAGAGCAGTCTGGGCAACATAGCAAGATCCTATCTTAAAAAATAAAACAAAATAAAATAACTGATTTTGGGGTGCCTTAGAAGCAGTCAAGTAAGTGGTAGGTGATGTAAATCTTGAATTCAGAGGAGAGGCCAGGCCAGGACCGCATATATAGATCTGGAAGTTGTTGCATAGAGGTGATTACTGTAGTAAGAGCGTTACTCCAACAATGACTAGCTAGGTAAAGAAAGGTGGGATAAGAAGGAGTGTCCAGAGAGTAGGAAGGAAGCTAGAGGAGTGTTGTGTCACAGAAACTGAAGAAGAAGAATGCTTTAAGGAGGAATTGGTTTACGGAATGGAATATTGCCAAGAGACAAATAACATGAAGACTGAACCATGTGCAGTGCATGGGTGACTTGCAGGTTGTTAATGACTACAGAGAGAGATGATAGAGTTAGAAACAAGGTTAGAGAGGGTTGAGTCATGAGAAGGAGGCAAGGCAGTGGATAGAGAGAGACAACTCTCTTGGCTTTAAAGGGGAAGTGAGAGATAAGGCAGTAGATGGAGGGAAAGGGGAGGATAAGCCACTTAATTATGTTTAGAAGCCAATGGGAGGACTCAGTTGGAAGGGGAATATTGAATAGAGAAGAGAAAAAGGTTAATCTAATCTATACTGGGAAGTTTCTGAGAAGGTGGGAAGGATGAAATCCGAGGCAAAATATGACCATCCTTTGATGACTTTATTCTCTGTGGCTGCTAAAAAGTACCAGTATGTCAGTTGGGCCTGGTGGCTCACGCTGGTAATCCCAGCACTTTGGGAGGCCGAGGCGGGCGGATCACGAGGTCAAGAGATTGAGATCATCCTGGCCAACATGGTGAAACCCTGTATCTACTAAAAATACAAAAATTAGCTGAGTGTGGTGGCGCATGTCTGTAGTCCCAGCTACTCGGGAGGCTGAGGCAGGAGAATCGCTTGAACCCGGGAGGTGGAGGTAGCAGTGAGCAGAGACTGTGCCACTGCACTCCAGCCTGGCGACAGAGCAAGACTCTGTTTCAAAAAAAAAAAAAAAAAAAGGACCAGTATAGTACCAGTATTTCTTTTAAATAGGTGTATTTGTGGCTGATAAACAAATTTCATTCTTAGTGTACTTACATAGGTCAATACAAAAAGGATTACTCTGCAATATGATGGCTAGAGCTCTTTTAAAATATACTAAGTATTTTATTTTAAAAACTGCACAAAATTCTTGAAATCAATGTCATCTTATGCTTGTATGATGATGAAACTAATGTACTCACATTAGTCTGCCTTTCCAAAGCTTCTCCTCATCTATATATTGGCTTGACTCAGCTTGTTCTCTATGTGGAAAAGGACACATTACTACGTATAGTGATTTGTTAGTGGATAATCACAGAATGACTGATGCTTTGTTGCAAGTATATGGCCTATCTGACACTTTTCCTCTGTATCAAGACAAGATTGTTGACCCAATATGGAAAGGCAGAGGAGTAGGAAAGTGATGCTGGATGAAAAATAGAAGTTAATCCCTGAGGGGTGTTAGGTTACTGATCTTAGCTTGTTTCTCTTCAAGATTTACAAGTTATTAGCATGTTTACTATGAGCTCTTTGCCTATGTGTATATTGTAACATTTTAGCATAATACTAAAATTCAGTTTCCACAACATGTTGAAACCTTGTATACAGCAATGTTTTCTTCTCATGAAAGCTAATTTTCCAAAAGATGCTATTTCCAGGTTTCAGTTCAGTTAGTTGTTTTTAATTTTGAGAAAGAGTTAGATTTTTAAAAGTTAGATTTTCAAGTTGCATTTCAAAACAAATTCGATTTTTTCCCATGGGTATTCTATCACTTAAGTGATTAATGAATTTCTCAATCACTCATCTATTTGCCAAATGCTTATTAAACACTATAATGTGCCAGGCACTGGTTAAGATGTACAAAGATGAGGCATAATCCATGGTTCTTCTTGTAGTTTACTGTCCAGAGGGAAAGACTGATGGCCACATGCCAAGTGCAATACAGAAGTGTAGGCAGAGGATGGAAAGGACAGAGAGAGAGAAATTAATTCTGCTTAGGGGTGGTATGTAGGTGTGTGTGCATATGTGTGCGTGTGTGTGTGTGTGAGAGAGAGAGAGAGAGACAGAGAAAGACAGAGAGAGAAAGAGGGAGAGAGAAATGAGAGTGTGTGGAGAGGTTTAAGAGGGAGAGAAGAATGTTCATACCACAGAGACATAAAATAGGAAGATGGAAGATGGGGAAAGGGAGAAAAGGAAGATTTCAAGATAATAAATTATCTGAGTTTGTAAGTGTGTTTTTATTTTGTCTTTAAGTATTGCAAAGTATCTGAACAAAAAGCTGAGGTTCAATTTTACATAATCAATATATACTCAGTAGTCCCAGTATATCAGTGTGAAAATGTGAAGTTATTGTATAAAAAGCATTCCGTTGTTTTTGGTGCTCTACCAACACTTAGCACGTAGGACAGTGCTCTAACACATGTGGTAGAAGAAAAGACATCATACTACAATGCTAGCCACCACATACATCAAAATCGAGTTTTCTTTTTTTTTTTTCTTTTGAGATGGAGTCTCGCTTGCCACCCGGCTGGAGTGCAGTGGCATGATCTTGGCTCACTGCAACCTCCAACTCCCTGGTTCAAGCGATTCTCCTGCCTCAGCCTCCTGAGTAGCTGGGATTACAGGCACACACCACCACAGCCAGCTAATTTTTGTATTTTTAGTAGAGATGGGGTTTCACCATGTTGGCCAGGATGGTCTCGATTTCCTGACCTTGTGATCCGCCTGCCTCGGCCTCCCAAAGTGCTGGGATTACAGGCGTGAGCCACTACGCCCGGCCAAAATTGAGTTTTCTTTTATCACTTTTAAAGTTCTATGAAAGTTGACATTGAAATTTAATGGAAAAGCTTCATATTCATAGACTCACAAGGCTATTGGTGGCCTTATGGGCTAGGTCCTCTCAGAGGTCATTTAGTTCATTTTCACATTGGCATCTAGAGTGGAAAAATAATCTAGCTCGCATGAAGGGTGCCCCCAAAGGAGACCCACAACTGCTGTTACCAATTCTTTTGACTGTCTGAAAAAACTCTCCTGACACAGGAGGCATTTTGAAACCATCTCCATTTGCCCATGTATTCATAATCTAATATAATATAATAAATAGCACATTCTTTTTTTATTCATATTTATTTATTTAGTTAATTAGTTTAGATTTAGAGACAGGGTCTATGCTATGTTGGCCAGGCTGGAGTGCAGTGGCTATTCATAGGCATGATCATGGTACACCACAGCTTCAAACTCCTGGCCTTAAGCAATCTTCCCGCCACTCTTTCCTGAGTAGCTGGGACTACAGGCACGTGCCATTGCACTCAGCTTGACAGTATGTTCTTATAACACAACTATTTGAAATCAAGTTCTAAAGATGAATCATGATAGAAAGTTGTTTGAAAAAATTGTTCCATTTTCTTTTAGAACCCAAGAAGACCTTCTACTGATGATCACATTCAAATTTTAAATGTCTAGTGACTAAGAGACTAATCACATGGGGCTGCTTAGATTTATCGAGGAGGACAGGAGTGCCAAAACTCTAAGTTGTTTTTTGTAGGGTGTAAGAACAAAGGCATCTCATGTGTCTCGAGAAATGAGTGAAAGTCATGACCCAGTTCTTCCTCCTACTTTAACAAAATGTGACTGAAGAGGAAGCCAGATGTGTTCTAGGACAGACCAGCTGACTAACTCTTACTGTCAACATACACTGTGCAATTCCAAGACACAAGGGCAACTGATAAAG
The DNA here is from genome assembly GCF_000001405.40 of Homo sapiens. Taxonomy (NCBI): domain Eukaryota; kingdom Metazoa; phylum Chordata; class Mammalia; order Primates; family Hominidae; genus Homo; species Homo sapiens. The sequence goes on from NC_000003.12 coordinate 157,282,787, forward strand.
AAGATTAGCTTGGTTTTCCAGAAATAAGTTCTGCTCTGTTCAATCTCCTTGCTCAATCTCCATTCTCTCATTCATGTGGAATAACAAGATCTGCAATAAACACCACCAGGCAAGTCTCTGAGGATTACTGAGTTATTTCAGAAATTTTCTAATCTTCTACTCTGAACTTTTATAAAATGATTATCAGAAAATGAATCAGCAGTTGGAAGAATAGGAAATAGATTCTACTGTAATCATTTCCTGCAAGTAATAATTTCTCACACATTATCATAATAAAGTCTCTGTTCTTCTTTAAGTAGAGTAAGTCATCGAGGAAGTAGATCACTTCTAAAAAATTAAACTTGTCTCTGGGTCTTTATAATATATTATAACATTACTGAATGATTGCTCTTGAAATTTCCAATATTTCATGTCCTTAACTTGAATTTTCCCTACAGGTTGAAAAGTCAGGTTCTGGAATTGGCTGTCTGGATTAAAATACTGGTTCCATCACTGAGAAGCTGTGTGACCTTGCGAAAATTACTTAATCTCTTTGTGTTTCAGTTTTCTGATCTGTAAAATGAAGTCAATAATGGTGAGAAAATGAGAAAAATGCATGCAAGCTTAGCATATTATTAGAGTGATAAATGCTAACAATTATAAATCATGTCAGGGCCTCTACATTATTTTAGCATTTACTTTCCTCTGACTATCTGTACATTACTGGATAAAAATATTTTATTGATCACCAGATATTAAACTCCTGTGAATTTCTGTGTGTTGATGGTGAAGTTGGTGGGAGGATGGTGATGAGACTTACTTGAAGACAGGAATGTATGTGAGTTGACCATGTCAGTAAGCTGAGATACTGTCAATTTCTGAAGGATTCCTCTGGCTGAGTCTACACAGTTAAGAAGTATTATATATTTCTTGATGTCTTTCCTAATGTCTAACTGAAATTCTCTAATTGTCTCATGTTTTATTCCTCATTTATGGAGATGCTGGACAGCATTAAAAAATATTGAAACGTGAATACTTGAAAACAATTACTGTATCATTTGTCAATTCTTTTAAAAAATATCAAAAACCCAGTTTATTTGGCCTTTTGTTCTAGACTTCAATTCTACTTCTTTGGACCCCTTCTCCCTGAGGCTGATAGGGCAGCTGGCCCCTGTGTGGGTGTTGATGAAACCCAGACCAGTACATAGTACTCAGTTGGGCATAGTACATTCTAGGCGCTAAGACAGGCAGGTAAGTGGATCAAGCCTTTACAAGCGGTGACTTCTCTCAGGGAGGAAACAGCCCTAATCTTCATTTACCAGGTTCAGAATGCTTTGGGTATGGTATAGTGATGAATTTGATATCGTTACCATATAATCACAATCTTGAAACATCACATTTTAACATTCAAGGAATATTTGACATTGCCATTTAAAAATATTATTCATTCATTCATTCATTCACTCACTCAACAAATATAGCATGCTAAAAACATAAAAGAAGTATGCTAGATTTTTTCGAATACACCTTTTGGCTCTAACTGGATTATGAATTTCTTTTAGAGCAGAGACACTGTACCTTATTCATATTTCTATCCCAAGGGTCAGCCTGTAGAAGACACTCACCTAATGCAACAAACATGCATTGCATAAATGAAAAATTGGATGCAAGGAATATGCTAGCTGTGCATGACCAATAAAGCATTTGTTGCTATGTCTCATCTTTAAACTTTGAATTTAAGCAGAACTTGAATGCAAATACTGTCTCCATGAAAAATATATTTGGCAACAATATTATGTTAGACCTTTCACTTAGATTAAATATATAATTTAAGTGCTTATATAAAAAAGAAGATGAAATCAACAACCTATATAAACTATCCAGGGAGTCAAGGGTTTTGGTGAAAAAAAAAAAAAACAGTTTAAAATAGGACTTTTCTTAAACTCAAATCCTCTTTCATGTAGCAAAAGGAAATGAGCAAAGAAATCCAAACCCACTGAAGTTTTCAGGGCCAAACATTTTGATTCAATATGCTCTGCTATAAAATATTTGGCCTTGTTTGAATTTTTATTGCTATATGTTCTCAGTCTATATTTAACTGTGAGGAACACAAATAAGAAAGAGTAAATGTGCAGAACGTTCATTTCAAGAGCATGGCAGTGAATTTGAGAAAACATGTATTAAAGGAACACTTTGTGTTTTTAACTTTCAGCCCCTTTTCTGAGGCCTCCCTTGGCCAGATATGATTAAATATTTATCAAACTAAGGACTCAGCTTACTTGGAGTGAAAACTCTTCAGGGCCTCTCAGAGATACCTAAGATAAGTACCTTATTTTAGTAGCTCTCAAATAAAGCTTCTTTTATGCTCTGTCTTTTTCATATATAAAATAAGGTCTAATTAGAAAGTTTTATAATGGAGGCAGTCAATTCCCCAATTCCTTATTTGTTTGAATTAACTTTTAAAAAATTGGGGTGTTCACTCTGGCGTTGGCTCAATCCAGACTCTGTAATCAGCCAACAATCTGTGCTTCACAAAGGCTGGCGTCCTAACTGCCAGCTTCTGCCATCCGCACCTTTTCCGTGGGGTAATACATTTTAATTGGTACTTCTCTGAGAGCCCTACACATCTCCATCTGGCCAAATAAACATACTTTTACTATTCAGCCTCAACATCTTGGCAGTTAACAAGAGGACAGACTTGCCACAATGGGTAATCTTTAAGATGCATAAAATCCTAAAATTAAAGGACCAGGTACAGGTGGTATAATCAATGGCTGCCTAGAAGATGGCTCATCTACAAAGTGGCTTTGTGTTCCACAGTCTTTTTAACACTGCTCTTGTGATCCTAAATGCAGTTCCTGAGCCGAGTCAGCATTGAGAGCTCTCTCCTCTCAAAGGGCACATTAGTGATGAAATATTTCACTTCCAATGACAGCATAACTTTTTGGATATAGGCTTATTAGCAACGTGTTTCCACTGGTTGGATTGAGCAAGTGTAACCAGAAGGCAGAATGGTGAAATGGTTAAGAGCATGGGTTCTAGAGTCAGGCTGCGTTCAAATTCTGCTGCTGTTAATTTATCTTTGTGACCTTGGGCAGTTACCATACCTCTCTGTGCCTCAGTTTCCTCATCAGTAAAGCAGAGATAATGTCAGTATTTTCCTCATAAGAGTATTGCAAGGACTGATTAAATGAGATAAGGTGTCTGATATGTTTAGCACAGGGCATGACTTGTATTTGCTAACAATTATTTTTAGGCAAGGTCAGTAGACCAAATAACTTGAGCAGCAGAAAGGAAGTGGAAGGCGAATAACCAGCTATGAGGTTATTTCTCAGATAATTTCTTCCTATTTCAATGCTTCACTTTTTACAGTTTAATCATCAAGCAACAGTGTTAGGGATTACGTGAGATAATATGGTCTGTGTGCTGATTCACTCATTTAGTGTGGTCTCATTTCCTTAAAGAACACATCTTGAGAGAACACTTTTTTTCTCTCTAACCCTCAGGGTCATCTGGATGAAATGAATACTTTTAGGGCAAAATGGCTGATACTGCTTCCTTGATAACCACATATAGGTAAGGGATTGTTTCTCTGCCTCCCAAAGTTTTCCCTTTTTCCTACGACCACTTTGGTGAGACGCCTTTCTCAGCACAAAGCAGGGACATGACTCTGTGCATTATTACAACTGGGGATGTTTATGCAAGAGGAAGGCCACCTAGAAAAATGGAGCTGACAGATCCCTGTAATTTGGGGCACAAATGGTTCTTAGCAGCAGGTAAGGGTCTCTCACCAGTTGCTTTCTCAGGATTGTTGCACATGAAGCATTGCCATGCTCCTGCTGTTTCACTGAAGCCAAACACGTCAAAGAACCTCACTTCTTCCAGATGGAGCTGTACCTGGTCCAGATCCTGTGTCAGGAACACAAAGCACAAAGAACATAAGCTGCTCTGCCTGCTACCTAACATTCTGAGACTGGGAGAAGGGGATGTGGATCAGGATGGTCAATGCTCAATCTCAGTACTAAAGACTAAGAGGCAGCATTGAAAAAATTTCTCTTGGCCAACCTTAAAAAAAGCATTCAGCTAAACTTTTCCAGAAGAGTATTCATAAATGCAGCGGGAGCGAGCACAGGCCCCAGGGCTGAGTGTCAGGGTTGAGGTGTCAGAGCTTGAAATGGCCCAGAATTTTCTTGCATCTAGCAGTGGCTCCAGATTTTCTAAAAAGAAGGGATATCCAAGTGGCAATGTGGTTGGAAGACATGCTGCTGGGGGATTTACATTTATATAAAATTGAGAACCAATTATCCATATCAAAAAATATTATTGGCCGGGCGTGGTGGGTCATGCCTGTAATCCCAACACTCTGGGAGGCTGAGGCAGGCAGATTGCCTGAACTCAGGAGTTCAAGACCAGCCTGGGCAACATGGCAAAACCTCGTCTCTACCAAAAATACAAAAACATTAGCCAGGCATGGTGGTATATGCCTGTGGTCCCAGCTACTCAGGAGGCTGAGGTGAGAGGATCGCTTGAGCCTGTGAGGCGGAGGTTGCAGTGAGGCAAGATTGCACCACTGTACTCCAGCCCGGGTGACAGAGTGAGACCCTGTCTCAAAAAATATATATATATATAATATTTATTATGTTGGCTTTACAGGGGGCTGATGGAAAATATGGGGGTGGGGCTTAATCCCTCAGCCCTTGGCTCCAGGACTGTTTAGTTCTTTTGCTTTATTCTAAAAGTGTATGCAAATTTTGCATTCTATTACATAATATAAGCTACATTGATTTTTTTTTAATTTTTACTTTTATTTTTTTACTGAGATAGAGTCTCACTCTGTTGTCCAGGTTGGAGTGCAGTGGTGTGATCTTGGCTTACTGCAACCTTCACCTCCTGGGTTCAAGTGATTCTCGTGTGTCAGCCTCCTGAGCAGCTGGGTTTACGGGTGCCTGCCACCACACCTGGCTAATTTTTGTATATCTAGTAGAGACAGGGTTATGCCGTGTTGGCCAGGCTGGTCTCCAACTCCTGATCTCAAGTGATCCACCTTCCTTGGCCTCCCAAAAGGCTGGGATTGCAGGCATGAGCCACCGTGCATGGCCTGCATTGGTTTTAATGGAAAATAATGCATTGAATTATTTACCAATAAATTAGTTAACTTTTTTCCTCCAAGTGGTTGAGTAGAATTGACACTCCAAGAAGACTGCACATGTTTTATGTGCCCTGTGGCACCATGCCAATGAGTTCCTCTTTAAGGGGCAGGGCAGAGAGGTTCTGTTAGACTGTAAATGGATGGAAAACTATTAGCCTAACCAAATTAAATAGCTCTACTGTCCTCCTGAGGCTTTCCTCTTATGTAAATGACTTGTATCCTTTGGTATAGGATGGATGACCAGAAACTGCATTCTTAAAAGGCTCCTCCTCCTAAGAGGGACTTAATGTTCTTATTGGCCTTGCATGTACCCAGCCAACTAACATGTTTGTGCTCTGTTGAGCTGTGATTTTATTTCCTTTCCTTTAGCCTACACACTCTTATCTTCTCTCTGTATAGGAATAGTTCTTAGAATTTTCAAGGCTGAGGCGTGTAGGCACTGTTTGCACTGCTTATAAGGGATCTAAATAGAGAATGATCAAGTGGCTATCCTGATTGCATCCCAAAGCTCCTAATTCTCAGTTCTAAATTTCTTGACAGAGGTAAGAAGTATGTCCAACTATCAGTTCACTGAGAACAGAAACATATTTTTTTTTTTCATAATACCCCCAGAGTCCAGTCCAGCATCATTAATGGATTAGCATTGGTTTGTAGACCCAGCACAAAGTTTTTTACTAACGAACTATATAAAAGATAGTACAAAAAGTTAAAGGGAATTTTTAAAGAGAACATTTACACTCCCTGGAACATAAACACAATGAGGACAGATATTTTGTCTGTTGTGTTGGCTGCTATAAACTTGGCACCTGAAAGTGCCTATCACATAGCAAGCACTAAACAAATATTTGTGTAATAACAAAAGGCATGCCCTGGGCCTAGAAATGGATACTTTTCCGCATCCTCTATTAAGACTCTTATGGCTTGTGTTCTGGGGTTGGACATTTTGGAGGTTTGACATGGTGACTGCAACATTTTGGGTTGCTAACCTTTAATACCGTATCTCAGGCATTCCAATAGGTGCTGTATATCTAGGAATATTGTTTTGACAAAAATGATTTTGAATATGTTCAATGGAAAAAAAGACTTTTTTTTTAAAAAGTATGTTTTCCAAGATAAAGACTGAAGAAGCACCTGGGAATTTTGTGAGTTTCAAAGGATACAATCCATATTAAAATTTATGGGGAAAAAGCAGATGTTCATAAGTATCAGTTTCAAAACTGTGAAGTCTCTGAAGTCTGTACTTGGCCATTGCCATGCACATTACTTCTCTGTTTCCCACACAATTAAGGATCAATTTTTCATTCACCACAAACACTACTAGCAAACAAAGTACTTAAAATAATACTTAAGGGTTCCTTTATTTTTCCTGTTCTGAGACCAGAAAATTCCCAGTTTGTTGCGCATAATCCACATTTGTCTTGGAAAAAAGTTTAAACGTTTCAGACAGATGGTAAACTACCTTCCTGCGTTCAATTTCTGAAGCCAAAAGCAGGCTTACCTCCTCAGAGGATTTAGGTGTTGTGCTAAAGGATATCCACGGTAGTTGTATGAACTTTGAAGTTGGTGATAATAGCACACTTCGAATGGAAAGACAGATGAAACACATATAGTTTCCAATATTTGTGAAAAATCAAAGCAAAATAAATCACAAAACAAGCAAACACAAACCAACAACCAGTGACACCTAGATTTTTGGAATTTTGACCTCTTAAATGTGCTTGAGGTCAGTAGTTCTCTCTCCTACTCAACCTTCTTTACCCTTCTGGGTCCTGCAGCTTCCCTAGGGCTTGCCCAAGAATTGCTATATGGCTTCTATTTTTCTAACAGGAGAACAAAAATAGATTTGTTTAGAGAATTACAAACTTTCTTTAAGATAACTAGACTCCAGAAAAGTGATAAAAATAACTTATATCTAACTGTAAGTCACTGTCTGAGTATTTTTCAGTTCTAATGGGATTGTGGCAGACAGACCCTAAGGTGACCTCCCAGTAATTTTCACCTTGTGGTGTTCATCTGTTTGTATACTCCCATTCCCTGTGTATGGGAAGGACTTATGAATTGCTTCTGGCCAAGAATATGTCAAAGGGGATAGGATATCAATTCCGTTGTTATTATACACAAACACACACACACACACACACACACACACACACACACACACACACAACCTGTCTTGCTAGCAGATGCATAGGGAGACCCTCCTGCTGTGCTTGAAGGAACCAAATTGCCACATTATGAACTGCAGGGACTATGCGTGGCTTTTAGGATCTTAAAGGAGGCCTTCAGCTGGTAGCCAGTAAGAGTTCAAAGTCATCAGTCCTACAACTGCAAAAAAATGATTCTTGCCAACAAACAGAATGAGTTTGAAAGCAGATCCTACCCATTTGAACCTCCAAATGAAAACACAGCCTAGCCAATACCTTGACTGTAGCCCTGTGAGACCCTGAATGGAGGACCCAGCTAAGTTACAACTGAAATCCTGACACTCTGGTACTGTGAGATAATAAGTATGTGTTGTTTTAAGTTGCTAGGTTTGTGCTAATTTGTTACGCATTATTGAAAACTAATACTGAGATTGTGCCGTGAAGAGGAAGAAAAAATGACATCCTTTTGCCCAATTCTCCATGAAAGTGATGATTCTACTTAGAGGAGTCACATTCTCCCAAGTACACTCCAAATCAGGCCTCAATAAAACATATACACACAAAATAAAACACAAAAGAATGTTGAAGTTCAAACTATTTTCATTGATGTAAAAAAAAGGATACATATTCATAGTAGGCATGCACTAATAAGGGTTTTCCTGATAAACATCATTTAATTCAAGAAGATTAAAACTCACTGGAGGAAAAAATAGTATTTTTAAACATTTGGCTAAGTGAGCATTTCTCCGGTTTTAGAAAAAGAGTCATTAATGAGGGTAGGAATTTGGAAAACTCTATAATAAGTCTAAGCCAGGCAGCATAGAAAGATGAGAGATTTACAACATCATTTCACTGACAAATGACAGCATGAGTCAACGCAATGGATTTTGTAAAAGTGCATAGTGGCCTCTGGATTTTATAATGTGGTCTATGTACTTTGAGAGGGTACTGTGAAGCAATTTTCCAGAAATCAGTGAAAGCATACATCTGGAAGAACTTTGGGTTTTGGCACATTTAAATTCTGTCCTAAAGCTATTTGTGCACAGATACAAAACATAGGATTGCCTTATGTGCACTGTGTGCCTGTGGTTAATAGGATCACTCTAGGCACATATTTCAAGTATGTTTTAAGACATGTAAGCAAGTATTTTTAAAAATTCCCAAATATTTTCACATAATAATAAGTTTATGTTTGTATAGTTATTTTCAGTGCACATACTCTAATGATATGGAGTACAAGGTGTGAAATAAGCTTGCTTAGGGAATATAATTAATGATTGATCTTCATATTGTCTTAAATTGTTATAGGCATAGTGTCTAGTAGGAAATGCTGTTTGTTGAATAAATAAACAGCAAAAGAGACTTTAAAGAATATCCATGCCACAATTTTTTTATGTTTTTCAACTTGTGAAAAATATTACTATTGGATTCAATTTATGTAACACAGTATTCATAGCACCTGGTATCAGGAACCATGGATAAAGAGATGAAAGAGACATAGTCATCAGTCCAAGGAGGTGAGAAGGTAATTCATTGTGTCTGCAGTATTCTTCACAGAGGAAACTGAATACAGCTTCATTTGTGTGAGGTGTGATTGTTACTAAGCTTCTTCTGGTGTGATGTTTTGGCTCTCAACTGGATTAAAGCTCTTACCATGAAGACTGACTTCCATATTGTTTTGCAGCTTTTAAAAATACTTAGTATGGCACTTTGCCCATAGTAAATGTTCAATGAATTATTATGCATTTTTACTAATTGAAGCACATAGATCTTATCTCTAATTTATATCAACAGTAGCATTTAGGTTTTCAGTGTTCATGTCTATTCAACTATGACCATTAAGACTTTCCAGACTACATTTGTTAAAAAAATCTATCTCTCTCTCTATATATCTATCTCTATATATCTGCATATCTATGGGTATTACAAAAATTCATTTTATTTAACAAGTTTTTAGAATAAAGTGTTAATAATTGAACAATGATGTTTGTCTTAATTCATCAATATAGTATGTTGACTACTTGTTCTCAAGACCCTCAGCTTTTTCAGATCGTCTGTTCAGAGTTCTCGCTATGTTGCCCAGGCTAGTCTTAGATGCTTGGGCTCAAACAATCTTTCCACCTCAGCCTCCCAGAGTGCTGTGATTAGAAGTCCTGAGCCACTGCACGCCATCTACATTTTTACACAAGCTCCCCGAGTTGCTCTGGTGTGCCCTGACTGTAAAATTAATCCTATGTCTTTCAAAGCAGTTGTGGGGATGGCTGATTTGTGTCCACTGATTGGTATTTGAGGAATTTGTCAATCTCCATGTGCATATGCTCATTCTTTTCCACAATAGTTTGGTTTCAAGGGGTCAGGTATGGTGGCTCAAACCTGTAATCCCAGCACTTTGAGAGGCCAAGGTGGGTAGATCACTTGAGGTCAGGAGTTGGAGACCAGCCTGGCCAGCCCGGTGAAACCTCGTTTCTACTAAAAATACAAAAATTAGCTGGGCGTGGTGGCAGGCACCTATCATCGTAGCTACTTGGGAGGCTGAGGCACAAGAATTGTTTGAATGTGGGAGGCAGAGGTTGCAGTGAGCTGAGATCTCACCACTGCACTGCAGTCTGGGCAACAGAGTGAGACCTAAAAAAAGAAAAAAGAGGCCGGGTGCAGTGGCTCATGCCTGTAATCCCAGCACTTTGGGAGGCGGAGGTGGGTGGATCACAAGGTCAGGAGTTCAAGACCAGATGATGAAACCCCCTCTCTACTAAAAAAAAAAAAAAAAAAAAAAAATTAGCCAGGCACGGTGGCAAGTGCCTGTAATGCCAGCTACTTGGGAGGCTGAGGCAGGAGAATCGCTTGAGCCCAGGAGGCGGAGGTTGCGGTGAGCTGAGATCGCACCATTGCACTCCAGTCTGGGCAACAAGAGCAAAACTCCACCTCAAAAAAAAAAAAAAAAGAAAAAAGAAAAAAGTTTCATTTCATATGACAAAACAGGTAGACTGGTCACAAGAGCAAAGCTTTCATTTTTAAACATCAGAGATGTTATTATTCCAAATTGTGCAATACGGCAAGAAGAGATCAGGTGTGAAAATTGAACTCATTGGGCCCAATTTGAAACTTGGCAGAAGGCTGGAGTGGGTGGAGAGGGAGGTAGGCCATGGGGGAGCAGACTCTAAGCAGAGGCAGCAGGGCACTGATGTGGAAGGACTCATAGTGCATTTCAGTATTCTGCATGAATGCCATGCATGTGCTATGTCCCATTGGCTCTCATATTTCTATGCCTAATTAGTAAGGGAACTCGAGGTACACATGACTATATGAGGCCAATGTGGCAAACTCCTCACTATCACTACATATCACTAAATAAACTTATACTTCTATCCTTTGAGTCCCTATGTGTTGGGAAGAACTGAATTTCTTCTTGGAAAATCATGGCAATTCTATGTGTCTGGCTCCAAGTGGCTGGAAGAAAACACTATGTTTGATTCATTTCAGAGAGAAGCTCTGAAGAATACTTTAATTTAAGAACAAATATGACAAAATAAAAAAAAGCCAAATTCACCAAAATCACACTCATCTAAAAATCATGAAAAAATAATCTGACTACAGGATATTGGCAGTTAACATGACAAGAGTTTAAGTAAAACAGTTTGTGAAAAATTTAATGGAAGTGTATGAGTTGAGTAGAAAATAAAGGTGGCAAATTGCATGAAGCTATATAACAAGTTTTATAAATGTTTGATAAAACCACAATTATCTTTTTTACAAATACAATTTCTTTGAAACTTCAGTTCATTAAAACCAGCAAATTATTAGAGTGGGAGCAAGGCCAAAACACTACCAATGTTCAAAAGGTCAAGAAAACTTTAAGATTTTTACAGTGGTTCAGCAGTAAAATGTAATCACAGAACTTTTGGCAATTATAGCCAGCACTTACATATTCTCCTTTCATAGTGCAAAGCAAAGAATTGCAGTGATTTTTTTTTCTAATTGATTACTGCCACCTACATTCAACAAATATTTAGTACTACTTGTTAAATCTATTTGTGGTACTATACTACAGAGAATGCTGATGTTAAAGAGCTAATTTGGAGAGGCTTTTTTTCCTTCCTTTTGAAATCAGATAGCAGGAAAACCATGCTCCTAACCATGTAGGTTATTTAGTTGGAGCCAAGGTGCTTCTCTCATTCTCATAATTTTATTTTTTTTCCTTTATCCCTAATACCACTTTAATTCTCAGACTGTTTCTCCAACTTCCCCTTTTTATAAGTATTCACCTTTTGGGTTTGACACATGTCTTGGAACAGATACGTATTCTTGAAAAATACGTAGCAATGTTTATTTTTCATTTTTGCAAATAATGGTATGCTGTGAACCCTATTTGGTTTCTTGTTTGTTTCACTCAAGATCTCTATGTGGTATTCTATGCATATTTAGCTAACTGTTGCCTCTACAGCTGCACAGTGATTTAATGGTGTGCATCCACCACCCCCAACATTTCACCTAACCATTTCCTTAGTGTGGGCACCAAGGGTGCCCCCATCTCTGAACTTACACAATGATGTAATGATGAATATTCTTACACGTGTTCCCTTGTGGATGTGAGCAAAAATTTTTCTGTGATAATCACTCAGGAGTGGAATTGCTGTGTCATAGTGTATTAGTTTAGGGCTGTGAAAATATTTTTGTGTTTCTGCACAGTTAGGGCTTTTTGAACAAATTTTACTGAAACTTGGGACCTGGGCTAAAAAAACAAGCTTTAGAAGTAAATTTATGACTAATTAGAAAGTGAAATACCATCTAGAGAGATTTATTTTCCCAGAGGTATGTTTACATTTTAAGATGGGGATGAGACCCAGGATATAGGAGCTTGGGTTGTCAAGCTGGAGACATTAGTCTTCCCTTCAACCTGGAGGGGTTTATTTACATTCTAAAGGGTAAAAGTAAGAACCCAGACCCCTTCCCAATGAGCAAAGATTTTTGTTCTCTCCTTTCAGGGACAGCTGTTCCACCCCCTATGTAAATACTCAAATTCACATTGTCAAGGTTCCTTGCCTACAGTACAGACCCTAGGATGTGTAAGATGACATCTGGTTCTCATCATGTTGCCCCAGGGCTAACAACTGAGGCAAAAGGAAACTTAGGAGGTTATTTGTTGCTAAGTAAATAATAGTAATCTGTGATGCCCCCAGAAACCTTGTTTGCATGATACATTAAAAATTTAACATTATTCATATCCTCAATTTCACTAGGTTCTGCCAACTTGCTATTCAAGCTACCCAGGAGGCTGAGGTAGAAGGATCACTTAAACCCAGGAGTTCGTGGAGGCAGTGAGCTATGATGGCACCACTGCACTCCATTCTGGGCAACAGAGCAAGACCCTGTCTTGAAAAAATTAAAAAAAAAAAAGAATTATCATTTTGTTGACATGTTTACTACTTTGTATAGTTACAGAGGAAATAAAACTGACTCTACTATGGACTTAGAGAGAAGGTATTACTTCCCATGATGCTGGAATTTTAAATGTCTCCATTTAGTCACTTCACACAGCAGAGAGCTGGTGTTGGAGGCAGTTTTAAGAAAGTTGAACCACCCCTCAGTAGAGAACTGGATAAAGTAAACTACGGTTGGTCAGGCACAGTGGCTCATGCCTGTAATCCCAGCATGTTGGGAGGCTGAGGCAGGCGGATCACTTGAGCTCAGGAGTTGGAGACCAGCCTGGCCAACATGGTGAAACCCCATCTCTACTAAATATTTAAAAATTAGCTGGATGTGATGGCACAGGCCTGTCGTCCCAGCTACCCAGGAGGCTGAGGCTGGAGAATCGCTTGAACCTGGGAGGCAGACGTTGCAGTGAGCCAAGATTAGGTCACTGCACTCTAGCCTGGGCAACAGAGTGAGACTCCATCTCAAAAAAAAATAAATAAATAAATAAATTATGGTCTATTTACACAGTGGAAAATTTTATAGATGCTGAAATGAACGAGCTAGCTCTACATGTATGAACAGATATATTTAAAAAACATAACATTAAGTGCAGAAATCACATTGCAAAAGATATGTGCCATCTGATAACATTTAGGTAAAAGTTTAAAACAACAGTACAAAAGCATTCATGGAAATAATACACAACAACCTCAGGAGAATATTTACAACAGTTTCTTTTTGTAAAGGGAGATATCTGATGCAAATATGGAAGAAATGTAAACATCTATCTGTGGCAGGAATGGATATCACATTTCTGTACTTTTCTGAATTTATGAGCTATTTCATAATTTGATGAAAAATAAAAATGAGGCAGAGAACACAGTTTAGTGAAGCAAAGAGACTAGCAAGGGTCAGACTCTGTGAGGAAGAAAGGTTCTGCGTGTGTATGCGTGTGTGGGCTTCCTTGGTACCCCTCAAACTCCCTGTAGAGGAGTCTCCTTCTTTTGCCTGTGTTGAGACTGACCTTGGTGGTGAAAGTCTTTCTCCTTTCTCTTGTTAGAAGGCTCCATGTTACAGTTTCTTTTAACTTTTAGCTCTTCAAACTTGGAGATAAACAGGTCTAAAGTACTAAGTGTTTGAAATATGTTCTATTTTGTTTCAGAAAACCAAACAAAACAAAGCATGCTGACACCAAGTTCTGTCTTAGAGAATTATTACAGCATAGGCTAAGTGACAGAGAGGATACTTAGAAATAAAAGTTTTTCTGCTGAGTGGTACAGAATGAAGAATATAGATTTTGGAGTCAGAAGATCAGAGTTTGAGCCCTGCCACTGCCATTCACTGGCAGTTCTTGGGAAAATATTTTAATTTCTCTTTGCTTTTAATGCACTCCTCAAACTATAAAATGACTTTGATTCCTAACCTGTCTCTTTCAGTGACTTTTTGCCACAATCAATTAATGGATAATTGCACTACTTTGTAAACTGTGGAGAAATAATAAAAAGTAGTGATAATGGCCAAGCACAGTGGCTTGCACCTGTAATCCCAGCATATTGGGAGGCTGAGGTGGGCAGATTGCTTGAGCTCAGGAATTTTGAGACCAGCCTGGGCAACATAGTGAGACCCCATCTCAAAAAAAAGCAGTGATGATGATAATTCAAATCAAGCAAAATAAGAAGCTCCTTTTTATGTGTGTAAAATATAGTGTTTTTTGTCTCTCAGCTAGATAAATGTATGTAAATCTTTCTGAAATGAATGACTTCTTTAAGAAACACTAATGCTAGGTGCCTGAGAAACATATTTAGTTTTCTAAAATCAGGTAACATACTTACCTGTCTGTTTTTGTTAGTTTGTTGTCAAACCTAGGAGCGCTGGATTTAATGAGATGCAAACATAAAGAGATGTAATGCGACGTGGACATGAACATTTCAGAGGGGAATAATGACATGTGCATGCTTGATGAGGCCATAATGTGATGTACAAATAGAAAAGCATAGAAAAATGTGCATGGGTAATGGTGCAATGAGATGCATAAATAGATGAGTGTAATGATAAAGACATGGGGGGTGTAATGTGATTTACAAATGGGAGCATTAAATGGGAGGGTGGAAAGGGCAGGTTGTGGTAGATAAGAAGCAGAGAGAAAGAATGCAGTACTAAGCATGAATGGAGGAGCTAATATGTGCATGATGAGGATGTGATGAGATAGAAATGGGATGGCATAAGGCAGTTCACAGATGGAGGGGTGTAATGAGTTGTGTAGAAAGGAGGGAATAATGACAAGCATAAAAGGAGGGATTTAATACGACGAAGAAAGAAATAGGCATAAGAAGATGTGAAGACTGAAAGGAGGTGCAGAAAAAAGGGACATTAGTGAAGAGACGGGAAATAACAAGGTGGGCCAATGGAGCACTCTAATGAGGCTGAAATAAAAAGGTGCAATGAAGTGTGTCCATTCAGGGAATAATTAGACACACACACAGGATGATAATGAGGTACCCAGGCCCTGATCAGACATAGACCATGGCACTCAGTTCTTACTGAGGAGGCCAAAAATTGAAAAAAATTCAGGGCAGAACCACAAAGATATCTACACACAGAAAAGGGAAGACTAAACAGGTGATTTGGTGCCAGCCTTGCAGTTTATGAAATAATAGTTTTATAGCTGCACTTACTCTGTTCCAGGTGCTCTGCTAGGTGTTGAATTAAATGCATCATCTCATTTTACCTTCTTAACAACCCTATGAGGGAGGTGGATTCTTTCCTAGTTATAGATGAAGAAATCAAGCTGTAGTGAGGTTAATGACTTGCCCAGTTCCCAGAGCATGTCTGTGGTAGTGATGTCACTCAAACTAAGTCAGCTGGATCTCAGTTGCCTTTGCCTCTGTTTTGATGTTTTATCAGAAGAGGCTGTGGGACCTCCTGCCCCAGAACTACCAGGATAACTTGTCAAAGATCTAGAGTCACAGGATTACCCAGTGAATATTATTTGCAAAATCTGCAGAGGCCCTAAGAATTTGCATTTTTAACAAGCGCCCCAAGGACACTTGCATAAACTAGGTCTGAGAACTACTCCATGAAACTAGCACTAGAGTGTGTGGTGGTCTAAGGCTACTCTCAGTCCTAGTGAAAGACCATAAAGAAAGGAGATTGCATGCAGCATGAGGACTTTGGGTTGGCTACAAAGTAGACTGTCTGTTGGCAGAAGAAATTACCAGACCCAGAAATGAGGCATCAAACCAAAAATTATATTGAATGAAGGATAAAAATATAATAATACATGGAACATAATTAGATTCTAGGAAATAGTTTTTTTTACTGAATTAAAAAAAACATAGAAATTACTCCATATTCATGGAATCCCTAAGGGGGAAAGGGTAATATGTCCCTACAACCAACATTTTTCCAATCCACATGCAACTTTCAGGATTCTAAAATTAAAAGCTGATAGTGGCACTGACTGTTCTCTTTCTTGGTATGTCTAGTATTGAGATATCTAAATTGCTATGATTTTTAAGGTCGAAACCAGAATTTATATTTTGAAATAGTGTTAAGTGTGCATGACTACTCGCATTTTAGTGATACAGCCTCTGCTCAAAACCTTTTTAGATGTGTCTTTTGGAGTTGTTTGTGGTGTATATTTGTGAGCCATACAAGAAAATAATGCTCATTACTTTAGTGAAACTTAGCTTCTAACATGGAAATTTATTATTCAGTTTGAGCAGTCTCTTTTTATAGTACACATGGGCTCAGATAAATGTTGGGCTATTTGTGAAAATAAAAATCATTCTCAAAAAATGAAACATGGCCAAACGCAGTGGCTCGCACATACAATCCCAGACCTTTGGGCAGCTGAGGTGGGTGGATCACTTGAGTCCAGGAGTTTGAGACCAGCCTGGGCAACATGATGAAACCCTGCCTCTACAAAAAAATACAAAAATTAGCCAGGTGTGGTGTTGGGCGCCTGTAGTGCCAACTACTAGGGAGGCTGAGGTAAGAGGATTGATTGAGCCTGGGAGGTCGAGGCTGCAGTGAGACATCATTGTGCTACTGCAGTCCAACCTGGGCAATAGAGTGAGGCCCTGTCTCAAAAAAAAAAAAAAAAAAAAAGAAAGAAAGAAAGAAACCTTTATCATGACTGAGAATATAAAGTCTCAAAACATTTACTGAGTAGCTGCTCTGCCTCAGGCCATGATGCCATGATAGATGCTGGGACATGCAGACATTAATGGAAAGAGCCTGATCCCACAGCCTATGAGAGGCACAAAGACATCAAAATCAAACAATTTTGTTGTTGTTGATGTCTTTATTTACATTTGTGAAAGATTATGGGAATATGGCTGAGGGAGTCATTCATTTTGTTTGGAGGGGTCTTGCAGAGGAGGTGCAATAAAATAGTACCAGCTACTGTTTATTGAGCTCTTACTATATGGCAATCACTGCTCCATGGACTTTACATGTATTATGTCTTTTGAATCTCACGACATCCCTGCGAAGTGTTTACTGCTATTTTCTGCACTTTGCAGGTAAAGAAGGTAAGGCACACAGGAGTTAGATAAAAGCGCTGGTAAGTAGGTGGTAGAGGCAGGATTCAAACCCAGATCCTGAGTTTCTAGTTACCACACTTTCTTCTTGCACAAAAAGAGGTGCTATTTATTCTAATAGTATAGTGCCTGGTGTTTGTTGGCATTCACATAATATCCATGATAGCAGCAAAAGAAAAAAAAAGGATTTTACTCATGCACTGATTATTTAAGAAAAGAACCCAACCACTATTAGATTAGAACAGACATTGCAGAGGGATTGCATACCTCTGTTCCCCCAGGAATAGAGTTATTTCGTTAACTATTTTCTAAAGGTTTTTCCTTTTTTTAAAAAATTTCCTTGACTGATGCAGAACATCTGGCTAACTGTGAAGGAATGTTCACGACAGTAGTAAAATTGACATGCTTCATTATAGGACAGTCTGGCTTGTGAAATATGAAAGAAATATAATACATGTGATAAACCAGGATTTCAACTAAACTGAGAAAACATTTCTATGCCAATTTAAATTTGTTAAAAAAGCATATGTATAGTATAAGTACAGTGTATGTGGACAGTGGTTAGAGAGTTACGAATAGTGTATATTAATTAGCCAAGAGTAAAGGTAATAATTTTCTAAAGGAGATAAGAGGATTAAAAAGAAAGAGTAAAAAACAACAGACAAGTGTATTACAATGAAAATAAATGTTTCTTAATAGTAAATAGAACTGTCAGTTAAGTTCAATGTATTTACAAAATCATATGCAATCACTTAATATAATGGATTGTGTGTACAGAATTGTTTAAATGAGGGGCCCTCATGTATATCTGTTAAGGAAAAGAAATGAATCCAAATGAAGGTAGAAATAGTATTTAGGGAGGCAAAGTTTAGAATTTGGCTGAACTTCCAAACTCAGTGGTCCTAAGGCATCAATAAAAGTCATGCTTGTGAAAAGCCATGCCACTTCTCTCAAGAACTCTTCACATGTGAACCTCTCCTCTTATGTTAGCCATATTAATCCCGGATGAACTATCGTGGCTCTGGTGGAGGAGTGTGAGTCTACTGATACTACATAAACTGTGATAAAAATCCATCTTTTGCTTAAGCTGAAAATTCTCCCGGTGTTATCTAGCATTGCAAGCCTTATCCACGGAGCATGCTGTAAACATAGCCGTGGTCAGTTAACTTCATCTTGCCCTAGTGGCTATTGTCCTAACCTTGGCCAGTTGCTTGGTGGGTGTACTTGTTCTGTTTTTTGAAGGCGAAGAGTAGAGTGTGTATTGGGGCTATGAGGAGAAGCAGAGGGTTCTTATAAAGAGAAACTCAGCACAAATCCATCATTTTCTTCACTCAGGAAATAACCTTTTTTTGTTTTGTTTTGTTTTTTCCTGGGCCTGTTTCATCAATCTCAACCTCTCTATTGCATCATCCCGGCAATTTACAAACAGGCTCTGAAGGCTTCCATTTTCACTCATCTCTACAATCCCCCCACTTACCAACCCATTCAGCACCAAACTGCTTAAAACAGCTCTCTACATATGCTATGTTTCCTTCTTTACTCGTTCCTTCTTGTTCCTCCACCTACTTCTGTTCGTACCTTGCCCTTAAAACTCTATTAAAACTGCTCTTTCCATGTTGCCCAGTTGAATGGACACTTATCTTGATTTGGCTATCCAGTCCCATACAATTCCTTTCTTTCTCCTTCTTGGACACTTTCTTGATATCTGTGATGCCCTCTACACTTTCTGAGGTTCTTTTATTTCTTGGCTGCCGTGTGGATGCAATCCTGAACTGGGACCATTTCCTCTCTAAACTCTCTTCCTAGATTGCTTCAGTCTTCCCATGGTTTTCATCATCTGTATGCTGATGATGTCCTAATCTATATTCCTGGCCTAAGTCACTTCATATTTGGATATCCAACTGTCTAAAAGACAATTCCACTGGGACATCTGGCAGGTGTTTGAAACTTCAGATTCGGATGTCTGAAAGTCTTGTGTGCCAGCTTCATTCACTTGCCCCTCCCCAGAGCTCATTTTCTCCCAGTTTTATCCACCTTAATAAATGATACCACCATGCCAGAAACTTGACATCAGCTTTGATTCCTCATTTCCCCTCACACTTACATGCCATTCATTAGTTTGTTATGTCACTTTTACCTCCAACCGTTATATTGAATATGTCATTTATTTCCATCCCTACCAGGATCATCCAAGTTTAAGCTACTCTCTTCTCTTACCTGGATTAGCAATAGTCTCTTTTGTGATCTCCTTAATTTTACTTTTGTCCCTTTCCAATCTAGTCCCCACACAGCAGACTGAGCAATCTTTTAAAAACAACCTGGTTGCAATGGACTGAAGGCTTATGTCCCCCTACCATCACCAAATTCATACACCGAAATCCTATCCCCCAAGGTGATACCATTGGGAGGGGAGGCCTTTGGGAGGTATTAAGTCTTGGGGATGGAGTCCTCATAAACGGGATTAGTGCCTTATTAAAGAAGCCCAGGAGAGATCACTTGTCCCTTCAACCACGTGAGGACACAGCATTTGGGTGACATCTGTAAGCCAGAAAGTGGGCCCGCACTAGACACTGAATCTGCCTTGATCTCGGGCTTCCCAGCCTCCAGAACTGTAAGAAACATTTTTGTTGTTTATAAGCACCCAGTTAATAGTATTTTGTTATAGCAGCCCAAATGGACAAAGAAACTGAACTAAGGACTGCTGCTCAAAACTCCTCCGTGGCTTTCCATAGACCACAAAAAAATCTAAGCTTCTTGCCATGGTCTAAAAGGCCAGGACAGAATTCCCCAGATTAACTCTCCAGTCTCCACTCTCCCCTTTGTTCACTGGCTCCACCAATGCTGTGAAAGGGGAGTGTGCTCACTTTTGGGTAGGTGTGACCATCCACTGTGATACAGGAGGAAGAAAATATAACTTTCATTTCTATTTATTTTTCATCTCGTCCTTTAAAATTTCTATTTTTCAATGTTTTATAGTGAAATAACAAGTATGTAAAATAATGTATGTATATAGTTTAAAGGTAAATAAATGTGCACATATTGAAGGTACTTGCTCAAAAAAATTTTTTGATGAGATGTGTGACTTACATTTGAAGAGAATGCTCTAATACACCAAAGCTTTTCCTTTCTCTTATTCTTCCTTTTTTGTTTTTGTTTTTTTGTTTCAAGGCCTTTGTGCAAATTGTTCTCATTGCCAGGAAAACTTGTCTGACATCTGCTCAGAGAAGGCTTCCTTGACCATCCAACAAATGCTCATTTTCTTTAAGCATTATCTTTTACAGTATCTATCAGTGTGGAATTGTGTATTTGTTTCTTAGTGTATTGCTTGTTTCCATCAGGGTAGGGATCATGATTGTTTGTTTAGTCTCTGCACAGTGGTTGGTATAGAGCAGGCATTTGCAAAAAATATTTTTGACTGAATACATGAACTTAGAGTCATATTTACCATGATTTTGCTGTGATTATTTTGTCTCCTCCGTGTTATTTCTCATGCCATTCTTTCTATATGGAACCATTTTTCTCTTTAAAGATAAAAAAGCCTCCGAACTCTGTATTTCAATTTCTACCACTTTCCAGCCAGCTCCCTGCCTGAGCAAAGAGTGTCCCAGACATTTGCCTCTGCATCCACATTCCACCTTCAATCTGCCCTCCAGGTCCTTCCATGATTTGCAGTCTTCATTTAGTTTTCCCCTTAAGCACTGGATTAGCCCCTTGGTCTGGCTTCTTAGGGTAGACTCTCATTCACATTTTCTGTTTATCTTTTTACCTCACCATTGCCACTTAGAAACTGCCTGTCAGATTTTCCTGGTTCTGAGCTCATAGCCTGAAAGCCTAGAATCCTCCGCCCCCACTGGGGTTCTGAAATTCCAAACCCCTTTCCCCTCTAGCTTGCCCTGAAAGGAAGGTTCTCTTGAACATATATTCATACGGCTCTTCTGGAGACTGACCTTCCACAGCACTTGTCATTTCTATCACACATGTAGACTTAAATTTCTCATCTTATATTTTTTATATATATATATATACACACATACTGTTACATCTTATATATAATAGGCCTACCTTTTATTTACTTACTTATGCATTTATATACTCAAGCACATTAACACTTTAACCCAAAACACTAGATCTAAGCCTGTGGGAGCATCAGAAAGTCTCCTTGGGTTCCACCCAGAATTAGTGTTTCAGTTTTATTTATGCCTTGACACTCCTGTCAGTTATCCTGGGAACTATCAAGTGTGTTTGTAGCAATGTGGACTGAAAACAAATCACCAAATGTTAGCCAGATGGGGCACATTTTACTTCAGCAGAAAATGTAGTTTATTTTATTTTATTTTTTCTGTAAGGGACATAGTTTTGAGATCCCATTTCTGCAGCATACAACATTTCCCTATGCTTTGGTAACTGGAACACGTGTTAATAAAGGCCTTTTCTTTCTGAAATTCTGGCCCTTTAGTAATCCTTCAATCAACTTTGTCAACTCTCTGGTCCTCTGATAATCAGAGTGCCATTCCCTCTGAAGTGTTGGGTAGCACATGCACTGAAACGAAATTATTAATAGTAATCTCTACTTGCTCCATGGTGGTCTTTCTCATTTCTTCAATAAATCAACTGCTTCTCCACCATCTTTCTAAAATCCTTATTTTATAATGGAAATTAATTATCTTAGAATCTATTTTTCTTCAAGTAAACTGCTCATTTACATAAGGCAATATAACTTAAAGTAATATTTTTTCCTTGATTATAAAAGAAATATATAGAGAAAAGAAAATGCTAATCCCATCAACTAGAGCTATATCATTAACATTTTATTATATTTCCTTTTGGTTGATTTAATGGGCAATCCTCCAAATAATATTCTTTATAAAAGTAATTTTGTACCCTGAAATATGGTATTTACTGTAAGTGTGTTTCATATCATTAAACATGTCTCATAAACATGACTTTTCAGGATTGGTTAATATTTTTTGTTCTCTCAGCAGAGAGAGCCAGGAAATAGTTGTCTCTCACTGTGTATTGTTATATCTATCTATCTATCTATCTATCTATCTATCTTCCTATCTCTCTATTTCATCTATCTATCTGTCTTTTTTTTTTTTTTTTTTTTTTTTTTGAGACGGAGTCTCGCTCTGTCGCCCAGGCTGGAGTGCAGTGGCGGGATCTCGGCTCACTGCAAGCTCCGCCTCCCGGGTTCACGCCATTCTCCTGCCTCAGCCTCCCAAGTAGCTGGGACTACAGGCGCCCGCCACTACGCCCGGCTAATTTTTTGTATTTTTAGTAGAGACGGGGTTTCACCGTTTTTAGCCGGGATGGTCTCGATCTCCTGACCTCGTGATCCGCCCGCCTCGGCCTCCCAAAGTGCTGGGATTACAGGCGTGAGCCACCGCGCCCGGCCTCTATCTGTCTTAAAAATATTCTTTTACCTGGATTCAGGACTAGACCTACAAAAAATATTCTTTTATATGGTTGTATAATAATTTCATTCTCCTATCTTTAGACATTTAGGCTATTTATAAATCCCTCTGCAATACTTTTTGTGTTTGTTTATCTTAAGTTTTGTACATGTTTCAGATTACTTCTTTAGAACAGATTCTTAGAAGTGGAATCACTGTGTGAAAGGATATGAATATTTTTAAGACTCTTGAACTGCATTGCTAAATTGCTTTTTAGAAATGTTGAAATAATTTACACTTCAACTTAGAAACGTGTGAGTGCCTTAACTCTTGCTCAAGCCAGCACTGATTATTGTATTTTAAAAAATGTGTTAAAAAGGGTAACTTATTTTAACTTTGACTACTTTGCCTACTAATAAGGCTGAATATCTTTTACGGACTCAGTCTCCTAAGTATTTGCTCATGTTCTTCGTTCATTGATTATTGATTTTCATGAACTTATAGTAGTAGCTTAAGGATATTAAACTTTGTTTTTCATGCTTGTTACAAATATTTTCATTTAAAATTATTGTGCATAAAAGGTTTTGCTCTTTACAGACTTTATATTTTATGTAGTCAAACCTACCAATTCTTTACTCTTTGACATTAGTTACAGGTTAAATTAAATTTAAAAAACAAAGACAGAAAAGCATCTACAAAAGACACTTTAACAAATACCCATGTACCTGCCAGCCAGACTTAACAAATGCTAATATTTTGCTTCTGGTTATTTAACAATAAAATTACAGATGAAATTGAGATCTCCTTAATTCCCTTCCCCGGTAACATTTTCCTCCTTCCTTTCCTCACTTTCTCCTTACCCAAAGGCAACCTCATCATGAATTTTGTATAATTCTAAATATAGTGTATTTTTATCATAAGTATATGTATGTATAAATAATGCATAACACTGCTTGGTGTGTTTTAAAAATTTATACAATAACATTTATGCTATCATAGTATTCATATCATAGTTTTGCAACTTGCTTATTAAAACTCAATATCATATTTTCAAGATTTATCCCATGCTATTACATATAGGTCTAATTAATTCACTTTACCTGCCTGTATAACATGACTATACCACAACGTTTTTTTTCCACATTCCTCTATCAAGGGACATTTGGGTTGCTCCTGATTTTTTGCTGCAAAAAATGCTTCAGTTAGTATTTCTGTACATGTTTTCTGATGCACATATGTAAGAGTTCATCTAGAAATAGAACTGCAGAAAAATAGGGCACATGAAATTATAATATAACCACTGATTATATTATAAAGAGCAGATTGCTCTTTAAGAAGTCTGAAAATGAAAATTTGTGGGTTTTGGTTACATGGATGAATGAAGTCTGAGATTTTAGTGCACCCTTCATCTAAATAATGTACACTGTACCCAATATGTAGTTTTTTAGCTTCCAAGTCTCCAATATCCATTATACCACTCTGTACGCCTTTACATACTCATAGCTTAGCTCCCACTTACAAGTGAGAAAATACAGTATTTGGTTTTTTATTTCTGACTTACTTCACTTAGAATAATGGCCTCCTGCTCCAGCCAAGTTGCTGCAAAAGACATTATTTTGTTCTTTTTAATAGCTGAGTAGTATTAGCACATTTTATATACTGTAATACAAAAACCTTCTTGTATTTAAGCATTTTTATGATCAGCTTTAAATGGAATTAAGACTTCAGAAATAAAGTTACTCACCCATCTTAACAGTAATCTAGCTGTCATTTTTGAGTCTAATTAATGACTATATATATATATATGTTCTTAAGTGTTCTTTTTTCTAAACAGGTATACCTATTTTCCTTCCATCAAGAGTGTGTGAACATTCCCACTTTTTCACATCTTTGCCAAGACTTGTATTGTCACATTTTTCTTATCCTGGAGCTATAAAGATAACTTTCGATATTTTCTTCTAATTGTTATAAGATTTCATTGATTACATTTAAGCCTTTAATTTATGTGGAGTTAATTGATCTATATGGTGTCTGTGAAGGATCTACTTTTATCTTTTCAGCTTGGAAAAGTTACATGTCCTTACATTATTTAAAACATATTTTACTTTCTCTTCGCTGATTTGTAATCCCCCTTCTATCACCTACCAAGCTTTCATATATGATTGGGACTGTTTCTGGGCTCTTTATTATTTACCATTAATTTATCCCTGTGGAAATAATCACATGAGTTTTCTCTTTCTGTACCATAAAAATTTCCTCCCCCACAGTCTTTCTTAGGATTTTGTTTATTCTAAATTTAGGACCAGTTTGTCAAACTCCATGAGAAAAGTCTGTTGTCATTAGGATTGGTTATGAAATTGTAATTACATTTTAATTTGGGAGAAAATTTTCATTTATATGATAATGGTTGTTCTTGACCATGAAAAGATCATATCTTTTCATTAATTCAGGTCTTTAAAATTTTTTTCATTAATATTAAAAAATTTTTTATCATTAAAGAGTTTCACAGCTTTTCTTATATTTATTCCTAGGTCCTTTATAGTCTTTACTGCTATTATAGATGGCATGCTTTTCTACATTTTCTATTTAGTTATTACTCACGTATAGATTTGTTATTGATTTTATATGTTGATCTTATATCAAATAACTTTATGGATCTTTTATATAAGTTCTAAAGGTTAGATTCTTTTGAACTTTCCACACAAATAATCTTATTGTCTATAAATAATTTCTCTTTCCCTCATCCTCCCTCTCATCTCTATCTCTTTCTCTTTCTGGTTTATTCTTTTAATCCTTATACTTAACTGCTTTTGTCTCCCTGCATTGGGTAGGATCACTGTAAAATGCTAAATTTTGAAGGTGATGACAGGTATCCTTGTTTAATTTCTAATTATAGCAAACACCTTTACATTTTTTCTGTATGTACAAAATTAGCTCTAGGGTTTTGATATCATTCTCTTTTATGTAGGCTTTTTAAAAAGGATTCGTTTCATACGTAGCTAAACAATTGTATATATACATTAACTGATTATATGTATATATTTGAGTTGGTTTCTGGACTAGTCTGTTCCATTTATCTGCATTAATTCTTTCCATAAAAGTGGAGTAATTTAATAATTGTAGGTTTTATAGTGTGCTTAAATGTTTTGGAATGTCCTTTTTTTTGCCCCTCTCAAAAATTTTCAAACTAGTCTCACCTATTTATCCTTCTGGCTGTATTTTACCATCACTTCATAAGAGATAAAAAATAATTCTCTTAGAATTTAAATTGGAACTCAGTTAAAGTGCTAATTAACTTAGGAAGTATTAACATTTTTGTCATATTTGCTATTTCCAATCAGGAACGTGGTAATATCACTGTTCATTCAAGTGTATTTCTCTCCATTGCTCTGTGACTTTGAGAAAATTAATCTTTCTTCTACTTAGTTTACTCATTTGTAAGATGATAATAATAATGCTGTCTATCTCATAGTGTTGTCATTGGGATTAAGTGAACTAATTGATGTTAAATGAACAGGACAATTAGTGGCACATTCTAAATGACCAGTAAAGTTAATTATTATTATTAATTCTAATAGTGTTCCTTGTATTTTCATATTAACTAAAAGTAATGTTGAATTTATCTTCTTATTTCAAATAGTATACTCCTTATTTCTGTCTTGTGTTCTATTTGTTGTTGTTGTTATTATTATTATTATTATTAATGCCTAGTATGAGCCAGGCATGCTCTTTAGATATCCTGGATTCTGTAACAAACAAGGAGACAAGATCCCTGCTCTCATGGAGCTTATATTCTCATGTTGGCTCATGCTTTCAAGCAATACTAAATTATAAAGATTATAGTGGATATTCTGGTTTTATTTCAGTATTTTAATAAAAAATCTTCAGTTGTTCACCACTAGGCATAGTTTTTCTTTTGTTATCAGACAAATATTTATCATGCTAAGAACACATCTTTCCATTTCTAGTTAGTAATAGTGCTCACTCACTTTGTTCAGTGAACACATATCACTGAGTGTCAACAGTAAGCCAGGCGATGCTCTAGGTGCTGGGTGTACAATGACAAGCATATGTTCTCATGGAAACCCAGTCTAATTAGTGACACAGACATTAATAAAATTTTTATACAAAATGTGTGTTAGTAAAGTGATTGTTGGATTTTATCAAATGTCATTTAAGTGATAATTTTTAAAAATTTGAACTATTGAATTCATGCATTTTACTAAGTTCACTAATATTAAACTTTTATTTTTATATATTAAAAATATTTTAGCATTATATTACATAAGCATTTCCACATTTTGATGCCTGTGTGAGATTGATATATAGTTTGCAAAAGATAATTGATTGAATTTATTTATTTATTATTTTATTTTATTTATTTATTTTTGAGACAGAGTCTCACTCTGTTTCCCAGGCTGGAGTGCAGTGGCGGGATCTTGGCTCACTGCAATCTCCACCTCCTGGGTTCCAGCAATTCTTCTGCCTCAGCCTCCCGAGTAGTTGGGATTACAGGAAGGCACCACCATGCCTGGCTAATATTTGTATTTTTAGTAGAGACGGGGTTTCCCCATGTTGACTAGACTGGTCTTGAACTCCTGACCTCAGGTGATCCGCCTGCCTCAGCCTCCCAAAGTGCTAGGATTACAGGCATGACTGTACCTGGCTGAATTTACTGCACCTGGCTGAATTTGATTGAATTTTATAATGAAAATTCATGATTGAAATTTGGAAAACGTTTCTGGTAATGTTGGTCTGATCAAAGTAGAAAAGTACAATAACTTGAGAGATTATCAATCAGGTTCATCTTCCTACCTCCACTCTCAACCTCCCTTAATGTATGTAAGACGGGTTTGAATTTGTGTTATTTGAGGTGGGGTGCTGGCTAGGGATTAGAATATTAGCTAACATTTATTTAGAGATCACAATGTGTGGCCACTGTTCTGAGAGCTCTGTATTAACTCATTCAAGTCTCAAAACAGTGCTATGAGGTAGGTACTAATATTATCTCCACTGTACAAGTAAAGAAACTGGGGCACAGAGACAAAGGACACACAGCTGGTAAGGAGCACAGCAGATCTTAAAGCCAGGTGATTCAGAGCCAACATGCTTAACTACTCTGATAGGTGTATGAATCAAGAAAGGCAGGTTACGCTGCTATAACTAACACCAAAATTTCAGTTTCTAACAAAACAACAGATGTTTCTTTCTCATACAAAACGTGTGGTGGGACTGGGTGGCTCTCTAGAGCAGAAGCCCTCCATGTGGTGGCTCAGAATTCCAGGCTGTTTTCATCTTCTGGCAACTCAATTTCAACTTTTGCTCCTACAATCATCATCATCATGGTAGAGGAAAAGAGAAATTGCAGAGAATAGTACACTGGCTTTTAAAAGATTCCTCTTGGAGTGACACATATCCCCTCCCATATTTCATTGGCTGAAGCAAGTCACATGGCCAGCCTTGCTTCAGTAGACAGGGAAATGTGATCCTCTCCTGGGCCCAGAGGAGGGAAGTACCGGATTCATTTGTGACAACCCTGATATCGCAAGGGTATGTGTATCAGTTCTAGTTCCGCCACTGACCTTCAACAAGTTCCTTTGCTTCCGATTTTAACATCCAGAAAATGATAGAATTTTTAAACTTCTTCAATTGATATGTATTATTTAGAGAGCCTAGTGTGTGCCAAGCACCTTGTAGCTCTGGCAACACAATGGTCAATACAGCAAAATCCCTGCCCTCAAGCAGTTTGCAATTTAATAGATATCTCACTGATAATTTTTAGTTCTAAAATTCCAAGATTCTATTAAAAAGCAACCACAATAACAAACTTCTCTTCATATTGTCCAGAATGTTATATTCTAGATACTCAGGCATTAGGAGTTTCTTCCTTCTTTCTTGTGTGCATTTCGCTGCAGTGAAACTCCGTCACTGCAGCCGATACACACATGGCCATCTCTTTCAAATCACTAATGTATGTCTATATGGCACCTATTATGAAAATAAAGCAGACTTTGCACCATTCTTACAGCTATTTTGAATTTAGTACAGAGAACATTTCAAAAAAATCGGAAAAAATCTACTTGAGAAATACTTGGGCAGATAAATTTGCCACATAATGTACATTGCAGATATCAAAGTTTTTTCTATTACTCATGAACAAACCAAATTATAAAACTTTAAAAAATTTTATATTTTGTTTACAGTTAATTTTCCCTTAGAGAAATGTTTATTAGCATGAAACACAAGAAATGTGAATAAGTATACTTGTGAGTATGCACAAAACTAGTTTGCCAAGTATTTTTTTTTAATCTCTTAGGATTTGAAGCAGCCTGCCAGGTTTTAATTTACTGGTTGCCTCTAGTTAAAATACAGTTAGCAATAAAAAATTTATGAGAACTTGAGGCATTGTCTTCAAATATGATGCAACAGTTGAAAATTTGAATGAAATGTACAAAGAATTCCATTTTACTCTACACTGAGGCAATTGTGGCATTTCCTTTATTTTTAATACTGCATGTTGAATTCCTAAACACAAGCCAAAAAGTAGTGATGCAATCGTTTCATATGTCTTTAGTGTCTTACAGAGCATTACAAATAAACTTCTGATAAATCATGCTCATTTTTCATATTATTAGAATTCTTCATCATTTAAAAATATTATGTTAGTTTCACAAGAGACCAGTTCTGGAGTACTTAATTTGCTACTCATTTGTATTATGAATTTGTTTAATATTGGCATGCTTGTCTCCCTTTTCAACAGTAAAACAAGGACAGACACCATGATCATTTATTCTCAGAACATCTGGTTTGCTCAGTAAGCATCCAATACTTATTACTGGGCTATCTAAAAGGCAAAATAAGAATAATCAGAATATTCGAGTTTGGGAAGGGCTAAAAGAGAGAAGCTGATAATATTTACTAGAAGAGATTAATAACCATTCTTTTCTCTCAATGTACATATTTCCCTTGAGCAATCCAGTCTTCTGCCATGACAGTAAGTGCTAGCTTGTGACTCCCAAATCCATATCTCCAGTCATGGCTTTCTTCCTGAAGCCCACATTGGTATTTAACCACCACCACCACCACCTAGTTAGCCATATAAACAGCTTGGATTTGAAATATGTAAACCAGAATGCTTTATCTTCTTCTGCTCCATCAGATTATTTTGTGATTTCTCATTTTCAGAGTGATATTATCATCCAGTTAGCCAAACAATGCACCTGGAGTCATCCTGGATTCTTCTATTTTTCTTATCAGGCTGTCAGTCCTGTTGATTTGACTTTCTTAATAGCTCTCCAATCTTCCTATAACTTCTAACTTTAGTTCAAGCCTTCTTTCTTAGTCACTGTGCTTCTATAACAAATACCTGAGACTGGGTAATTTATAAATAATGGAAACTTATTTTTTATAGTTCTGGAGCTAGGAAGACCAAGATCAAGGAGTAGTGGAACTACAGGCATGTGCTACTATGCCTGGCTAATTAAAAAAAAACATTTTTTTTTTTTTTTTTTTTTTGAGATGGAGTCTCGCTCTGTCGCCCAGGCTGGAGTGCAGTGGCGCGATCTCGGCTCACTGCAAGCTCCGCCTCCCGGGTTCACGCCATTCTCCTGCCTCAGCCTCCCGAGTAGCTGGGACTACAGGCGCCCGCTACCACGCCCGGCTAATTTTTTGTATTTTTAGTAGAGACGGGGTTTCACCGTGTTAGCCAGGATGCTCTCGATCTCCTGACCTCGTGATCCGCCCGCCTCGGCCTCCCAAAGTGCTGGGATTACAGGCATGAGCCACCGTGCCCGGCCAACATTTTTTTTTTAAGATGGAGTCTTGCCATGATGTTCAGGCTAATCTGGAACTACTGGCCTCATATTATCCTCCTGCCTCAACCTCCTGAGTAGCTGGGATTACAGATAAAAGTCACCACACCCAGCTGTAAAATCTTTTCTATTTCATACTATGCATGCAGTTATTGTGTGGTTCTAGGAAACTGTATTGTGTCAGTATACAGACCTCAAAGGGCAATGTCCTTGTTTACTGGTACCACTCTATTCTGAATCTACTATACCACGTGAAAATAATTTCTTACAAGTGTTTTATGATAATAATAAAAGAAAGGTAAACGAAAGAAGGATGAAATTTAATTGCTAAAAAAAAGGGAAACTGTTTCAAGACAATCTTAAATCTTGGCCTGTAACATGGCCAAGGAAAGGAATATTTACCTTCTGCTGTGGAAACGTGGACTCCATCATGGCAGTTTCAAAGCTGTGAGCACCCCCTGCCTGGGTCTTCTCCCACAGAGCTCTGAGGAATTGCACAGAATGACTCTGAATGGACAGGGGTTCAGGAAACAGGCTCTGAAAGGGCATTAAAGACAGAAACAGAATATACTATGTCTTGTCCCAATAGTATTGTTTGATTGATTTCAAGGCACTGTTTAGGCTTGGTTTGAACTTTAACATGATTTAATTTTAAATGAAACAAGAAAAAGATCTGTCTTAAAGATCGAACATATGGGGTTGGGCATGATGAATGAGCCTGTATTCCCAGCACTTTGGGATACTGAGGCGGGAGGATCGCTTGAGACCAGGAATTTGAGACCAGCCTGGCCAATATAACAAGACCTCCACCTCTCTTAAAAAAATTAAACGAGGCCGAGCATGGTGGCTCATGTCTGTAATCCCAGCACTTTGGGAGGCTGAGGTGGGTGGATCACGAGGTCAGGAGATCGAGGCCATCCTGGCTAACATAGTGAAACCCCGTCTCTACTAAAAATAAAAAAAAATTAGCCGGGCGTGGTGGCGGGAGCCTGTAGTCCCAGCTACTCGGGAGGCTGAGGCAGGAGAATTGCTTGAAGCCGGGAGGCAGAAGTTGCAGTGAGCCGAGATCATGCCACTGCACTCCAGCCTGGGTGACAGAGGGAGGATCCGTCAAAAAAAAAAAAAAAAAAAAAAAAAAAAAAAAATTAAACGAAAAAGATCAAACATATGATATATTTCAGGATTTTCATTTTTTAACAGAAATTTAAAATTATTTCATAGTATTTTCAAGGCAGTTGATAATGATCTCCATAAATATGCCTAACCTTTGTAATATAGTGTTTATCTCAGTGATTTCCCAAGGATGTTCTTTAACTGGAACATGGTTAATATAAATATTCATATTTATTTTCTCAAAGATCTGGGAATTAAAGAATAAAATTCAAATAGAGTACAAAAATCAAGTCTATTTATACAGAGTAGATCATTAAGAATAGAAATTAAATAAGTTCATTATGAAATTAATCAAATATGAACAGTATGAGTGGGTGTGTGGGGGACACAAAAACAGTTTTAATTCTAAAATGTATAATAGATGAATATTCTTAAAACTTTAAGATAATTTCTCTAAATGTTGATCAGTAAGAATGTGAACATAAAGAAAATCACATTTACATATATTTCATTCAAGCCAATGAAAATAAACTTTTCAAAGGAAGATTTTAAGTTGTGTTTGTATATTTACTAATCAATGATGTGTCTAATAATCATTTACATGTGATAGTGTTATACCTATAAATGTAAGAAGCTTTTCAATTCAAAGGAACAATTTTAAAAAAATGTATAGAACATCTATAAAGGTATAAAATACCATTTACCTACATACAATGTGATATAAAGGATCCTTTATGTATAATGTATAATAAAATAATGAGATTGGCTTATGAAATCATATGTTCTTTTTATGTCAATGACTGTCTAAGCACTGGTGTATGAGACTAAGTGGTTTGTATGTACAAAGCTTCTATTTAGTGAATGAAGATTAATAAATACTATTCCAGAAAAATTTTATTATTATCAAAATAAACTATTTCTAGTACTGAATGGGAAAAGATGGAGGATCTTAATGCTCAAGTTAGTGATCCACAGATTTAAAAAGTTTAAGAGCCAGCAATAGATAAATTACATAACCCATAATGTGAATACATCTGATAAATTATTATTATAAAAAACTGATGAAGCACCCAATTTTTCATTTAAACAACAGAACCTGATTTAATGAATCATCAATCTAAACAGGAGCATTTAGACTGGAATCTGTGAATTTGGGAACTTTATAAATATATGTAGTTGACAGAAAACGGAAAGAATTTGGCCCAATGCACAAGAGTAGTCAGGTTGTAATTATTAATATCAAGTCAAAGTTTGATTTTTATTTACCCGAAAGCCAGAATTCAGGCAGAAAATGACACAATATCATAAGTGTGGAAAAAGAAAGAAACCATTACCGTAAAATGAACACAGAAGAAACATAGCATACACAGATACTTTTTGGTGATTTTGCTTAAAGAGAAAGACAAAGAATCAGACAAAATCAATAAAATAATACTGAGGGGCAAAAAAACCCATCAAGATTTCTTGTTTTTTTTTCAGAAAACTGACAACTGTTTAGAACAAAGCCAAAGATGAAACCAAATATAAAACCACTGATGAAAACTAAGTGAAAAATATAAGCAAAATAGAAGAAAAATAAGGTCGTTATTTCAAGAAAACGAAAGACAGTCAATGCTGTTCTTTGTATTCACATACAATTTGGTTCACACCAAAATGTGAGTTGTTCTCTATGAGATGTTATTAAATGTTCCTAAGAAGACTCGCTTTAGAAAAAAACAGTATTCCTAAGGCATGTCCAATCTGTCTCTTTTCTTAATTGCTATAGTTCTACTTTATTATTATAATGTATTCAGCATTAAAATTCATTATTTCCCAATAAGCTTGACTTTATCTTATAATGAAATACAACTGTCTTCTTGGTGATTTTTATAGGAGATATTATGGAAATATTTTATTAACAGAAGTAAATAAAGTGTCATATCATTTGGCTTTTCAGCCGTGTTATAACATTTGCATTTTGTTTTTTCTGCCTTTACCCTCCCTGCTTCTAGCTGCATAAAATAATGCATTTTAAAAATAAAAATACATTATTTTTCAACATATGTGTGACAATAAAAAGATCACTGGGTCAGGGGTCAGACGATCTGAGTTCTGCCCTTTCATTTTCTTATCTGTAAAAATGATTCCTAAGATTCCTTCTATTACTAACATTTTATAATCTACATTCAAATTTTATGTGAAAGTTTAGTGCATCCGAGATAACTATTTTCAAATAAGAATCTCTTTTGATGCTAACATCTATGCATCAAATTCTTCATTCTCAAGTTGTAAGTTGCTCTTTACATAATTTCACCTATGTACATATATTCTATAGAAAAAAGAGACATTCCAGTATCTTAACAATGTCAAAAAGGATATACTGACACTAACATTAACTGGAGATTGGAAGACTAGACAAATCAAGGCTAGAACTACATAAGGGAAGCTATTCTCCCAAATACGCTGTTTTTGCTGTTGTTTAACCAAAGATATCTTCCCTTTCATTCTTCTTTTTTAAAGCTAAGGATATTTAAGACATTAATATGTTTGGCTAACTGATTAATAATTCCTTCTTTTATAAGGAAACTATCCTAAAATATAAAAAACCGAGGTTAAAGTTATTAATGAAATATGTATGTATTGCTGTTATCTACATATCAACTCTGGCCAAAGAATAATTCAATAAAAATGATTATAAGCCCATATCCCAGAAGCTCATTAAAGAGCCTGATGAACACAAATTATACAAACCTGCTGAAATAGAAACATGATCTGGATCCATGGCTGAGGTTCTTGGCTGATGAGAATAAAACTGGACTTACTGTATAGGCAGTAATGACCCTTCAGGGAGCAGGTGAAGAACAACTTTGCTACACAACTTCTCACAGTGTCTAGAAACAAATACATATAGCGTTAAACGTTATGGTCTTTCCAGAGTTACACTTTATATTGATACTTCAACACACAAATGCCTTTATAAAATATCCTTCAGTTTTCAAACTGTGAGCTAATAACTACAAACAACTATATATTTGAGAGGGGATCCATTTCATGGAAAGTAGATTTAAATAAAGATTTTAAATTATTATTATTATTGTTTTAATTAACAATGTTTGAAGACTCAGCAACTCCCATGGGGGGAAAACCCTCTCACCAATAAAATGGGAGATACTATATCATTTTCATCTGATGGGATACCTTGAAGTGATAACCTGGGAAAAATAAACAAATGGATTAAGAAAACCCAGGCATTTTCTGGGTAGTAAATGACTTGCCATGAACCATGGATGCTGTTCTCTTGGTTGTGCAGGGGCCTCAGAGATAGCTTCCAAAATAACTCTGGCTGAGGTGTAGCTTCCTGTGAACTGTACTGGTCGGGTTTGAAAAGGTCATCTCGCCTTGAAGGATTTCAGCTGGGAGTCTTAATGAGATTATCCTTTAGGGACAAGGAAGTAGTGGGTGAGTGGTGTAGAGGTGGTGAGGCACCATGTGTAGAGAAAGAAATAATGAATAAATGAATGAATGAAGCAAATATGGGTTGAGATTCTATGGGCTAGGCACTGTGTTAAGTACTGGATAATAAACATTATAATTAATTGACTTCCACATGTGTTATGTGTTTGACTTCATTTAATTTTACCCTACAAGATGGGTATTATTTCTGTTATAAAGATGAGGTAACAGCACATTAGAAAGCCAGTCTAGTGAACCACTGTGACTGTGTTGTTCCCTCTTATAACCTTGGCACATGAGATAAATATTAATAGATGACTAATGTCTGGAGAGATGAATGATGAATGATGCTCAGAGATCCAGAAAAAATGGCTCAAGCCTGCTCAATCTGTGGCAGAGCCAGGATTGGAACTCAGCAGGGCTGATACCATGTTGGAATGTTTTAGGCGCTACTATACTGGGGATTTTTTTAATCTGTAGAGTCATACTGATAGTTAATGGGGTATTTTTTGTTTCAGAATTAATCTGACATTTTAAGTGAAATGTTTTGAAAATTAATAGAGGCCAGGCATGGTGGCTCATGCCTGTAATCCCAGCTCTTTGAGAAGCCAAGGTGGGCGGATTGCCTCATCTCAGGGGTTTGAAACCAGCCCGGACAACATGGTGAAACCCCTTCTCTACAAAAAATACAAAAATTAGCTGGGCATGGTGGCATCTGCCTATAGACCCAGCTACTTGGGGGGCAGAGCAGGAGGTGGGCTTGAGCCCAGGAGGTGGAGTCTGCAGTGAGGTGAGATCATGCCACTGCACTCTAGCCTGGGCAACAGAGAAATACTCCGTCCCAAAAAAACAAAACAAAACAAAAAAAAAAAGAAAGAAAGAAAGAAAGAATGAAAGAAAAGGAAAGAAAGAAAGAAAGAAAATTAATAGATTCAGTGATCCAGTATGCCCTACTCTTACAATGGAAATGGACTAGAGTTAGTTGAAAGTCGATGAGAAAAGCCAGGCACAGTGGCACACACCTGTTAATACTAGCTACTTGGGAGGCAGGAGTGGGAGAATCCCTGAGCCCAGGAGTTCAAGGCCATCTTGGGCAATATAGTGAGACCACGTCTCTAAAAGCAAACAAACAAAATAATAAAAGCTGATAAGGATCCTAGTACGGGCGACAGAGTCAGTCCCCACCTAAGACAGAGTGTTGTTGAATTCTCTAGAGAATGGGGGAGGAAGACTTGTCTGTGCTCTATCAGAGGTCAGGTATGAAGGAAGTGACAGGCTTTCAGGAAAAGTTTGAAAAATCTTAGAGCGGCCAATGAGAGATTAGAGGAGAAGGTCTTGGAAACCAAACAATAATGTGACAGGGCAAGTTAGAGATATATACAGAAATGTTAATAATTAATAGCTTTCTGTGATTCTGAAACATTGGTACAGAAGAGGACTAGTTTTTGTGAAGGTAATTGTTTCAGGAAATTAAAAAGATTTAAGTTGAACATACAGTGTTCTTGTATAAAATCAGAAATCATGTCTGTATTCTGTGGGCGAATGAATCATGAGATGTAAAGAGTGCTTGAAGCCTCAGTGGACAAGACCAGGAGGTCTGGCACTGAGAAAGACCTGGGAGAATAGAATGGAGCATAATATCAACTTAAAATTGCCCTATCAGAAATTGTTTGACAATGATATACTTTTTTTAAGTTGGCACATATGCTCGGAAAAATTGAATTTAATTTATGGTAAAGAAATAGGAAACCTATTATCTCAAGAGCACATACAAAAAATGGTATTTGAAATAAATCTAAGTGTAACATATATATTGAGATAGCAATATGTTTTGTTTTAATGGAAAGTTTCAAAAGGAAACAAGTTTTCTTTTCCAAGAATTCATGTAGTTAGCTTGAGAGTTGTAAGTTGGACTTTAGGCCTTTATCATGAAAAAATAGTTTCTGTCTTTTTCCTCCCTCTAAATTTTTACTGCCAATTCATGTTTTCTTTTGAAAATAAACATTGATTAGATTTATTTCACTCACTCTGAGCCTACCAGCTTTTTATACACAACCCACAGGAGTCTCAGATCACATAAAATGGTCAAAGTAGTATAAGAGAGAGATTCTTAACTTAGAAGCATATACACTGGCTATAAAAATACATCAGTTCTGTGATATAAGGCTTCTGTGAATGCTTTCAGTACATCTGGTCTGTACCAATATTTTTATCCTTATTTTTTTCAGAGCTTTCTTGGCTTGCAAAATTCTCCCCATGACATTAAGACTTAGTTGTTAATTTTTCCTGTATTTCCCTCCTGTTTATTCCATAGTATCAAACAG
Source organism: Homo sapiens (assembly GCF_000001405.40). NCBI lineage: Eukaryota > Metazoa > Chordata > Mammalia > Primates > Hominidae > Homo > Homo sapiens. The sequence continues at coordinate 157,320,088 of NC_000003.12, forward strand.
CAGGAATGCAATAAATTGTTGTTGGATGAATGAATGAATGGATGAGTGTCAGATATGTGTTGAGAGCAATAGGGGCCATGATGATGGTCCTGCTCTTAAGAAGCTTGCAGCCAAATGGGAGAAACATCTGAACTTACAACAATGGTTATAAGTTGTTTTAAGTTTATGAGATAATGGAGGGACACATAATAATGACTGCTCACAGAAATAAGCAACTCATTCTGACTGGGGAACAAGGGGAGGCTTCATGGAGAAGGAGATATTTGAGGTATACTTTGAAAAATGATCAAGATTTTGAACTTAAAGTGTGAGAGAAACAAGCACTTTAGGTGTAGAGAACCCTGAAAGCAATCACATAAACATAAATGTTTAAGGTAATTCCAGATAGTATGTTTAGTTTATCTCAGTCATTGAAATATTACTTATATAATTGTATAATTGATGCCAAAAGGATTATTCATTTTTCTAGACTAAATGTTGAAGAGAGAAGTCATGCTGTCTTAAATATAGAATGCTTTCCATATTCAACCAAATCTGAGAGTAGTTTCTTTATTTTTATTGGAATGTGGCTTCTTTTTCTAATAATCAAAGGATTTGGTTTGGTCTTTATAAAGACTAAAGTTAACATGAACATAAGTAATTATACAATATAATGTGTTATGTGTTAAAATACCAAATATATTACACAGATAAATAAATTTAAAGACATGATACAAAAATACAAGAATATTTGGTCTTCTTTGAGTCAAAATCTTTAAGAATCATTTTGGAATTCTTTGTTTCTTCTGCCACTCCTCCTCCACGATGCCATTTATATGCCGTTATTCCTGCAAGGCATTCACTAGACAGTATCTGAGAAACACATCGTTCTTCTTGGGAGACTAGACACTTATAACCTATTTCTCAGGTGGCCACTCATAACCTATGCCATTATATATATATATTTTTTGGTTTAGAGATAAGTGTCTTAAGATTAAAAATGGAATATGGCTTTGATTTTTTAATAGCTAGTAGAAATATCAAAGAATTGGCTTTATGTTTTGGAAAAAAAGAATAAATTAGGTCTCATTTTGAATTCTTTACAAAACTTATCCTTTGAAATTTCCCTCCCAGTGAAATAAAGGTCAGATAAATGTATCTGGCTTATTTCCCAGGGTGTTCAACTGAGCATTGTAGAAACTGTATTTCTACAATGATTTATAAAAGCTCAAACACATGAATATGTTTGCTGAAACTGCCAGACTATAAGTATTTACACACTGAACATAGCTTATAAATAAACAACAAACTCAGAGAAGCCATTTTGAGAGATTTAGGAAAGGAACTAATTTTCACTGACTCCTTACTTTGTACCCAGATGTAAGTGTAACCAATTACATTTCATCTTTATGAAGCAGGCTTTGTTATCTCCATCTTACTGAAGAGGAAATCTCAAGATCAAACTTCCAGGAAGCAGCTGAGCTGAAATTTGAACCCAGATGCCAGAGCCTATTCTCTTTCTAGTACATGAGTGAATGGCTCAGATAAAACAGAGGTAATAGAAGTACCTCAAAAAGAAGTATAATTCAATAGAAAGAGCATTGGCTGAGGATTCGGACAGAGTTTTATGGGTAGATTGTGTTTCTTTTCCTCTCTGTCCTTGAGTTTCTTATCTTTAAAGTGGGAGCAGACCAAAAGCTGATCCAGAATGAAACAAACAAACAAACAAACAAAAAAAGCTCATCTACTTAAATGATTTTTACATTTTAATTTGCTTATTAACTTTCTCTCCTAGATTGTGAGCTCCATGAGGGTAATGATTTTTTATTGTGGTAAATTATATAAAACATATAATTTATGTTTTACGTTTTATATAATTTACCACTTTATGGATAATATGGTTTAAAATTTAAACCATTTTTAGGTGCACAATTCGCTGGCATTAAATACATTCACATTGTTGTGCAAACATCACCACCATCCATCTCCAGAACTCTTCCATCCTTCCTAGTTGAAACCCTATACCCATTAAACCGTAACTCCCCATCTTCCTCTCCCCTGAGCCCCTGGCAACCAGCCACTCTATTTTCTGTCTTTATGAATTTGACTACTCTAGGTACCTCATACAAGTAGAATCATATAATAGTTGTTCTTTTGTTCTGGCTTATTTCACTTAGCATAATATCTTCAATGTTCATACACATGGTAGCATGGGTCAGAATTTCATTTCTTTATTAAAGCTGAATTATTTTCCATTGTATGTATATGCCATGGTTTGTTTACTCATTTTTCTGTTGATGGACATTTGGGCTGTTCATACCTTTTGGCTACTGTGAATAATGCTACTATGAACATGAGTATGGAAATATCTCTTTGAGGCTCTGATTTAAATTCTTTTTGGTATATACAAAGAAGTGGCATTGTTGGATCATATGGTAATTCTATGTTTAGATTTTTTGAGGAAATTTCGTATTAGAAATGAAATTTTTATCTCTGAAATTCTACAATTTACTAATGGCCTACAGAGGCCTGTGAAGAAATGTGTCTGTGAGGGCTGTCCAGAGCAGGGCTGGACATTTGCTCAGGGCTATGAGGGCTTGCACTTGGCACTCACGACAAGCTAGATGACAACAGGAGGAGTTTTCTTCTGCCTACTTGACACTAGCGTGACAGGAACCCTTGAAGCAATTTCCTTCATTTTCCATTTAATTCTTCTTTATTGTATTTCAAAGACAAAAAATTCAAAACATTGACGCAATGAATAAATAATACTGTCATTTAATTGTATGAATGTCCTAAATTGGACAGGAAAAAAAAGTAGAAGAAAATGGAACTGGTAATTTGTCTGATGAGAGCTTTCCAAAAGTAGGTAAAATAAAGTATGTTTTTGAAGTCAACCATAAGTTCCAATTTGGGGAAAAAGTGCAGAACAAACTCATTACTTTAAAATACCATTGCTTTTGACTGAAAAAAATGGAAGAAGGCATCACAAGCCAGTGTGGACCACTTGTAAAACTTTGATTCCATGTGATTTGTAAAATATATTAGTATTTTAGACTAAAACTCTATTCCTCCTCACCTCCAAGTTAAAGTTTAGAAGTTTTGAATAGAACAGCAATTATTTCATAACTTTGATGGAGTAAATAGAAGAAAAGATATTTTAAGGTAAAAACAAAATTAGATTCTCAAAAATAATAATGAATTTGAAATAACTGTTTGAAATTACATCAAATAATTATTCATGAGTGGACACTGCTTTAATCATTTGATGTTTTCAGAGCTCGGTTCTGTAGAAGGTGTTCAGAAGTGTGAGTTGTTGAACTGACCTGCACTGAAGGAAAAACTGCCAAATCTCTCATTTGTTGAGAATCTAGGACACGTAGGTAATGGAAAAGAGGACTTGCCTAGTGTTTACTAAGTTCTATTTACAACAGTATTAGTTGAGAAATATGTGTTCCCTTTACAGCAGCTGGTGGGCCCCTGGCTATATCACATGCATATGTGTGGGACGTCCCTACCCAGAGCAAAAGTACTATGCTCATTTCCCCATTGTGGCAAAAATCCAGCCAGTTGTCAAATGGGCATGTTGGATGCTTTTGTTTTGACTTATCCAGAGAATAAAACAATTCTTTTGCAAGTGATTACTTTAATAACACAAATTTGGTAATTATATATTCAGAAATATACAAGCCATAGGTGTACAAAGACCTATGCTTTGACCCTGATTTTGAGGAAAAAAATAAAAATTTTGTATTGTTATGTGAAAACATATATAAAAGCATAAGAAAAGGTCTGTAAAGTTATAGATCAACCATCGACAGTGATTACTTTCATATTGAGAAGTGGGAGTGGGGTGAGGAGCATGCACATTTTACTTCATATACTTCTGTATTATTTTAATTCTCTCCTTATCAGTTTATATTTATGTATTACTTACATAATTTAAAAATATACAATGAAAAAGTGCTATTTGTTAAAGCAGGCAATTTATTTATCTGTATTTTTTGAGACAGAATCTCACTCTGTTGCCCAGGCTGGAGTACAGTGGTGCAATCTGAGCTCACTGCAACCTCCACCTCCCAGGTTCAAGGATTCTCCTGTCTCAGCACTCCCTGAGTAGCTGGGATTACAGGCATGCGCCACCATGCCTGGCTAATTTTTTTGTAGTTTTAGTAGAGATGGGGTTTCACCATGTTGGCCAGGCTGGTCTTGAACTCCTGACCTCAGGTGATCCGCCCACCTCAGCCTCCCAAAGTTCTGGGATTACAGGCATGAACCACTGTGCCCATATTTTTAAGTTCAGGGGTACATGTGCAGGATGTGCAGATTTGTTACATGTGGCATGGTGGTTTGCTGCAGAGGTCATCCCATCACCTAAGTATTAAGCCCAGCATCCACTAACTATTCTTCCTGATGCTCTCTCTCCTCCTCCCCACCCTCCAACAGGCCTCAGTATGTGTTGCTTCCCTCTATGTGTTCTCATAATTCAGCTCCTTTTTATACGTGAGAACATGTGGTGTTTGGTTTCCTGTTCCTGCATTAGTTTGCTGAGGGTAATGGCCTCCAGCTCCATCCATGTCCCTGCAAAAGACATGATCTTGTTTTTTTTTTTTTATGGCCACATAGTGTTCCATGGTGTATATGTACCAAATTTTCTTTGTCTAGTCTGTCACTGATGGGCATTTAGGTTGATTCTGTCTTTGCTATTGTGAATAGCGCTGCAATGAACATACACGTGCATGTATATTTTTAATAGAATTATTTATATTCCTTTGGGCATATACCCAGTAATGGGTTTGTTGGGTCATATGGTATTTCTGCCTCTAGGTCTTTGAGGAATTGCCACACTGTCTTCCACAATGGGTGAATTAATTTACACTCCCACCAACAGTGTAAAAGCATTCCCTTTTCTCCACAACCTCATCAGGATCTGTTGTTTTATTGACTTTCTAATAATAGCCATTCTGACTTGTGTGAGATGGTATCTAACTGCGGTTTTGATGTGCACTTCTCTAATGATCAGTGACATTGAGCTTTTTTTCATGTTTGTTGGCTGCATGTATGTCTTCTTTTGAGAAGTGGCTGTTCATGTCCTTTGCCCACTTTTTAATGGAGTTGTTTGTTTTTTTTTCTTGTAAATTTGTTTAAGTTCTTTGTAGAGGCTGAATATTAGGTCTTTGTCAGATGGATAGATTGCAAAAATTTTCTCCCATTCTGTAGATCATCTGTTCACTGTGATGATAGTTTCTTTTACTGTGCAGAAGCTCTTTAGTTTAATTAGATCTCATTTGTGAATTTTTGCTTTTGTTGCAATTGCTTTTTGCATCTTTGCCATGAAATCTTTGCCTGTGCCTATGTCCTGAATGGTCCTGCCTAGATTTTCTTCTCGGGTTTTGATAGTTTTGGGTTTTTCATTTAAGTCTTTAATCCATCTTGAGTTGATTTTTGTATAAGGTGTAAGGAAGGGGTCCAGTTTCAATTTTCGTCATATGGCCAGCCAGTTCTCCCAGCACCATTTATTGAATAGGGAATCCTTTCCCCATTGCTTATTTTTGTCAGGTTTGTCAAAGACCAGATGGTTATAGGTGTGCAGTCTTATTTCTGGGTTCTTTATTCTGTTCTGTTGGTCTGTATGTCTGTTCTTGTACAAGTACCATGCTGTTTGGGTTACTGTAGCCTTGTAGTATAGTTTGAAATTGGGTGCCTCCAGCTTTATTCGTTTTACTTAGAATTGTCTTGGCTATTCAGGCTCTTCTTTGGTTCCAGGTGAATTTTAAAATAGTTTTTTCTAATTCTGTGAAGAATGTCAATGGTAGTTTAATGGGAATAGCATTGAATCTATAAATTATTTTGGACAATATGGCCATTTTCATGATATTGATTTTTCCTATCCATGACCATGGAATGTTTTTCCATTTCTTTGTGTCATCTCCGATTTCTTTGAGCAGCAGTTTGTAGTTCTCCTTGAAGAGGTCCTTCACTTCCCTTGCTAGCTGTATTCCTAGGTATTTTATTCTTTTTGTGGTAATTGTGAATGGGAGTTCATTCATGATTTGGCTCTTGGCTTGCCTGTTGTTGGTGTATAGGAATGCAAGTGATTTTTGAGCACTACTTTTGTATCCTGGGATTTAAGCAAACAATTTAAATGATGTCTCACTAATTACCATGTAACAGGGCTAACATTTATGATTTTAAATATGTTTTTCTTTTTTGCCTTCTGAGTACATAGCCTTTGCCTGAATCCAGTTAAGTCTCCACCTATCTGGCTGTCGAGTGATGGTGGGAATGGTGATAGAGTAGATATTCAACAGTTATAGGAGTACCAAAAAAGTAAAATGGAATTAATTTTTTTAACTGCCAAAATTGGGTTATGCAGCAAGATAATAGCCTTGCAAGTGAGGCTTTTGTCTCAAGAAGGAATTTTCTAAATTTCCTTACCTCCCTTTAGCCTATCATTCCTGAACATGGAGGATATACATTGTAGGACCTGTAGTATGAAGAGGGTGACAGCTTGGTCAGTTCTATGGTTGTTAGGTAGGAGAATATAGAATGGAACAAGTAAAAGAGAACAGGTTTTAGTTCTGGCAAGGAAAATTATGGAGAGAAGGAGAGAGACAGAGAAGTGTAAAGCCATCAGAAGTGGGTCCTGACTTCCCTCACATTTGGGCTTTGGCCTGGAGAAGGAGAAGTATATTAGATACATTATGGTAACACCATGGGCAATGGTCACCGCTGAAGATTCACTCCCAGGTGGCCCTCAGCACCAACACAGGGTAGCCAACTTAATTAAAAGCACAGCTCCTGAAGCCAGACAGAAAGGAATCTCTGAGGTTCAGCTTTCATGGTCACTCTTTCCTCTGTTATGGAGTAGAGTGGAGCCAGTAGTAGCTGAGGATCTTGCTGGTCAGCATTTCAGAGAATTCACCATAGTGAGGCAAGGAGTATGGTGTGGCTCTGCACAGTAGACTGCAGAGAGAATTGTCCAAGCCAGGACTCAAGAGGGGCATCTCACACCAGTGGGCACTGAGATGAGGTCAGATTGGCAAGGGAGACCCCTGGACCGGCCCATGTGTAGAGTGAAAAAAAACCATTATCCTTCAGGCAAGAAGACACACCACACCCCTATCCAGGGACATTAATGCTTTCCACCACCACAAGGGAGCAGGAGCCACTTCCTAATGCTCCCAGATGCCACCTTAGGGAGATAAGCATAGGAGAGATGAGAGAAAGAACATTTTTATCCAAAGGAAAGATTGTCTCCTAAAGTACCATTCAAATGAGCAGTTGGGATTAACTTTAGGCAGGGACTCTTAATTTTCTTCCTCACTACCCAGTGGTTGGTTGCTCTTGATCAGCTCTAGACATAATGATGGCACATTTTCTCTGCAAATCTAAGTTGTAATATAAAATAAATTTTATAATATTACAATAAGTGAAAAAGTAATCATGGAGAATAAAACTATGGTACAGTGAAGAAGACGACTCAGGTGGAGAAAGAAATCTTGTCCTAAAGAATCAGGGAACTTTAGAAACACTTATAAGAGTCACACAGCAAAGGGTAGAGGATGGGGAGTGAGCTGTAGGAGGACGTTGAGGGTTTGCATGTGAGGGCGAAATCAAATAACACACAGTGGTATGTAGTGTCCCTTGGTGCATATAGACTTGCAAATTTCTTATATGAAAACTGTTAAAAACTTGTGCCTGCTTGCTGCTTTATGTTACTATTAAAGAACAGAGTACGACTTGCCCATTAACCTATTCAAATCAGGTGTTGAAGAGCCTTGGATGCTCTCACAAGCAATGTTTCTGCCCTGAGAGAGGGAACAAAGAGCCCTTCCTCTCAGAAGCCACTCTAAAGCCAACTTCTCTGATCCCTTATCCAAAGTTCAATTCTTCTCCAAGGTGGTGGTTAGGAACACAGATTCTGGAGCGAGACTTTCCTATTTACCAGCTGTGTGTCTTTGGGCAAGTTACATAACCTCTCTGTGGCTCAATTGGGAACACTAATAAGAGCTCCTATTTCTAAGTGTTGTTTAGGGTGACCGGCCATCCCGATTTGCCTGAGATTAGAGTGGCTCCTGAAATGCAAGTCTTCCAGTGCTGTCACTAGGAAAGTGCTGGACAAAGTGGAATGAGTTAGTTATGTGAGCATAAAGAGTTAATTCATGTAAGGCTCTCAGACAGACATGTGCTTGGCACAGAGCATGTGTTTAATAATGTTCATTATCATGATCACTGTTACTGCTACTATTGTATATGGAAAAAGAAAAAAAAAGGATCCCTAGGCCAGGTGGAAATGTTTGAATGTTGCTGTAATGCTATTTTAATTAGAGGAAAGAGACTGCATAATGACCCTTGGCATCTAGGTTGCTCAGTGTCCTGAAATGTTCACCTAATTGCTTATTTTAAAATGAACTTACTACACAGCTAATAATGATGTGTAAGCCAAAATCCCATTCTATACAATGAGAATAAATTTCTCTGGGGACAGGGCACAAGTAGAAGGTCCAGCAAGAAAGAAAACCTCATAACAATGCATGAAACCATCACTTGCTCTCTGAGCGTCTCCAAAGTCCTAGGACTGTTAAGATATGTGCAAGTGAGACTTTTGATGTACATGTCGTTTTGAGGCTCAGAAGCACAGAAATGTTGCAGGAATGCCACCAGGAAGCTCAGGAAAGGCTTGATATTTTGCTCTATTCAAAGCTTCGTGGCAGGAAGATAAAAAAAGCTAACATTAATTGATTAGTTTTTAAGTACTGGGCAATGTTCTAAGAGTTTTATGTGTGTATTGCCATTTAATACTCATGCCAATGAAGTAGACACTTCCAGTTTTGTGGAAGAATCTGAGGCTCAAAGATGTCAAGTAATTTATCTAAGGTCACATGGCTAGCAACTGGCAGTCCAGACAAATCTAGACTGTTTGACTCTAGTGCCCGTTATACTCTGCAGCTTACATAGGTTATGCTTAGATGAAGCAGCAATTATTAGTCCCCCCTTTTAAGTCGAAGAGGGATTTAATTTATACCCATTTATTTTTAATGATTTAAATCTTATAAATTATATATCACTTTCATTTATTCTGTATGTAGAGACTTGTTGATAATTTGCTTTTGGTATTTATTGCAGTTTTTATCTTTATCGTATAACTGAATGAGTTATGTGGCACATTCCCATCCATGCCCAAACCTCTCTTGAGAGAAGCCCAAGTGATTGACCCATCAAATCCCAGCTCAAGATATTACTGTTTTCCAGTGGGAACCACCTGAACTGAAGGCAACAGGAATCGAAGAACAACTCAAGGAAATAAATTGCCTCTGTCAGGTTAGCCATGGAAACCAGAACATCTACAGTAAAAGCAAATGTCATAATCATAAAATTATTTTTCTATAAATTCATGCTTTACATGATAGAGGTCAATATATCTTTGAAATCTTAGTTTCATTTATTGCTTCTTTCAAGTTGTCTTCATGTATAACTTATTTCATTTTTATGTGACCTAAAATCCAATGATGATGACATCAATCATCATAATTAATATTAAACAGAGTTGCCTTTTTTTTTTTACTATTTCTGATTAATTAGTTTTACTTTCACTTTCTTACTGCTGCTCAGATGAAAAGTCATAAAATAATGACTAGTAATGTTATTCAGCTTCCAGAAACTCAACCTTCTAGCAGTAAATTGGAAACAGCTGGTTATATATTTTGTCCTATTGAAGGAAACAGAAAGATCCATCGAAAAACTAAAGTAAAAATTTAATAGAGTTGAATTACCTCTGCCTCAACTGACTATTTCCCAGTGGTCCACAGGGTAGCATGAACTTCGGGATGAGAAGGCAACATTAATTCAACAGAGGCTGTAGGAGTGTCTTATTGTCCCCAGAACCTCTAGAAGCTCAGAAATTTGCCTTGTGGAGGAATTCTGATGTTAGGTGTCAGTTCAAAATCTTATGTCCCAGAGCTGGAATGGACTTTGAGTGGTGGTCTCTCTTTTAATAGACAGGATTGCAATGGAATCAACTCAGAAAGCTCTTCTTTTCTTTCAAGTCTTTAGATCCCAAACTCTTAAAAGCATGAAGAAGCTCACAGTTCAATTTTCCCTATTCTTTACATCATAACAACTTCACTTTGAAATTAAATAAAGTGTTTTGAGATTAGCAAGACCTCTATAGTCAATTTTTCTGCTTCACTGAGAACCCTCTCTTGTGAAAGGGAATCTGGAAATTAGAAAGTCAAGATGAAGGCATTTATGACCCAGGGCCTGCTTGAAAATAGTTGAAATACTTAAAACCCATCTGCACTGTATGATAGCTTATTGCTCAAAGGAAATCTCTTAGCAGAAAGCTGTTGAGCTGTTGCCCCCAGGAGAGGGCCTTCCACATTCATGAACACGCAACCATCTGAGCAGCCACATAGTAACTGGGATTGTTCTGTATGAAAAAACTGTATCATAAAACACTTCATTATTATTGAGTCCTGGACTGGACTTCTGGGTTGATAGAAGTAGCAGCAAATGGGATAAACAATGAAGGGTCTTTCTCAGGATTTCGATGGCAAAAAGGCAAGGGGTAGCTCAAGCACTAAGTTTCAGTAAGGAGCCTAAAAAGACCACGTGCTCCAGCTGTAGGGATCATGGAGCCTTGTCTTGCTTATGCCAGCCCTCGCCACCTATCAAGAGCAGCAATCTCCTTCCCATGGCAGGTTTTGCCCCAGCCACATCCAGAACCAAGGGAGGCAGGCCTGGTGGTTAACTGAGGTTCCGAGGCCACTATGTTAACAGGCTGGAAATAGTCTGGGTTGGGAATAAACAAAGATGGAGATACATAAACAGTAAGCTATGGGTCCTCATTCTTCTATCCTGGTGGGACCCACCCCATCCTTTTGTTGGAATAGAAGCCACCTCTGAATCCTACCTAGCTGCTGCTAGTGCTCTCCTATCCGGAGATTGGCCCTGTGCATGGATATCCTGTGTTCACCTGAATGGATCTTGCTGGATGGATGAAACATGACTTGCAGCCAAGAACTGCATCTGTCCTGGAGCTCTTGCTGCCCTGAAAATTTCATCCCTTCAGATAGGATGCTGGGGCTCATCTGCAGGGCCATTGCTAACAGCCACACAGGCTTTCCACCACATGAGTCCAGGAGGGACATTATTCCCACAGGCCACAGTGTAAGTGATACCGTCTGGAGTTCGGCAATACAGAAGCTCTGTTTATCCAATGCAAGTGAGCCACACTCCTAGGACAGTGTGATTTGAGGTGGTATGGTGATCCTTGGGGGAGACTGACATTCTATTCTAGTTAGTCTCTTCTCATACAACACTTCTTACCCCCATTGCGTATGCCTATGATATTCTTTACTTCTTTCAGCCCCATGCATGCCTTGTGGCCAAGACTCTGCTTTACGATTCAACCAAACCTCACTTCACTTACTAAATCTAGCACCAGGAATGAAAGACAGGGAGAGCGGGATATATTTGAGAAATTGGATTTAACTCTTCTTCCAACAGAAGATGACTGCAGAGGACCGCAGGACACCTCTGGCCAGGGCAATAGCCTAGCATAGCACAGTAAATTTGCACTGAGAGAGAATTACACTTCTTGCAGCTCTTTCATGGTTTGTGTATGTTCAATGATAATCAGGCAAATAAATAATAAGATAAATAGAAATATGGTTGTACTTGCAGATTTGAATAACAATGGTCTGTTCTTTAAGGTCTGAAACTTTATCAACATTGTTCTGAGAGCTGAGAGCACACTTCCATTGTACATAAGCTTTATTATCACAGGACAAGGTCAGCTCAGCCCACAGTACAGGGGCTAATAGGAAACACCATGCTGCTACACAACCTGGGCTCAAATTTCAGGTCTATCTCAGGTCTGCCAGTTATGTGATCTTAAGCAAATTTTGTTTTCTATATTTCAGTTTCCACTTTCACAATTTGGGAATAGTAATATGTACCTTACAGGGTCAAATAAAACATTTAAAATACTGCCCAGTACATGGTGCTTGCGGCTACTGCTGGCATAGAAGGGTTAACCCAGACCATTCCATAATTACACTAATTGTATGTGTTTATTTGTGGAGGATATGCTGCATATTAAGTATGGAGTTTATCACAGAATATGTAGTCATATATTTAAAACAAATTCTTATTGCAGTAAAATACATGTAACATAAAATTTACCATTTTGACCATTTTAAAGTGTACAGTTCAGTGGCAGTAAGTACATTTATGATGTTGTACACCTATCACCACTATCTAGTTCTAGAACTTTTCCATCACCCTAAATGGAACCCCCACATCTGTTAAGCAATTATTCTTCATTTCCCCTCCTCCTAGCTCTTGGCAACCAAAAATCTGCATTTTGTCTCTATAGATTTGCCTATTCTGGATATTTTATATAAATGGAATCATATAATGAGTGGCCTTCTGTGTCTGGCTTCTTTCACTTATTATGATGTTTTCAAGGTTCATCCATGTTGTAGCATGCATCAGTATTTCATTTTTTTTGCATGGCTAAATAACATTCCATCATATGAATATACTACATTTCATTTGCCTCCTCATTCATTCATGGACAATTGAGTTGTTTCTACCTTTTGGTCATTGTGAATAGTGCAGCTATGAACATTCAAGTACATGTTTTGGTTTGAACACTTGTTTTCAATTCTTTGGAGTATATTCCTAAGAGTGGAATTGTTGGGTGGCATGGCAATTCTGTGTTCAACTTGTAAGGAATGGTCATATATTTTAAAATAATTATTTCCTTATTCTTACAATGTCCAAACTTAAAAATAAAACTGTCATATTAATTATGAAGGAGGTGAATCTGAAGAGTGACATTTGCCATCACTTTTCCAGTCACCTGATTGTACACACAGATGAGGAGCAGTGCTTACAAACAATACTCAAATCAGGATCATTTCTGATTGGGTGGCTGACTGCTTACAATTACAGAAAAGTGTTATTGTGGCAATGCTGTTCATATTTTTGGATTGATTTCAATGTTGTTTCTGATATTTCCAGGAATTTGGCCAGTAATACTTCCCAAAGTAGGAATAATGAAAAATATAAATTATGAAACTAACTGAAAATTGAACTTATCTTTAAATGACTATATTGATACTTTTAGTTCTCCAGTGAATTTTTGGTATTCCCTAGGAAGAATGCACCTTCCAATAAGTGATGAGTGTCACTCAGTTCTGGGATGAGGAATGTTTTGCAGTGCTTATCCGATCACAAAATCCGCCAGGGGAAGTTCACTCGGAAGACCTCAACTTTTTCCTACCAGGTACTCTTGATGGTTGCCAAATACAAGTTAGATGTCCAAACATTAAGAATACAAAGTAGTCAATGTCAACATGATCAGAAAGGAATCTGGGATATTTTCAGAGGAGTTAGCACAGTTTCTAGACATGAAAGTAATTTTGGAATTTACATGAATTTTAAATCAAATACACACACATACCTCTCTATATATTTGCATGACACTAATGTAGTTGATTTCTGGCAACAATACAGAGCCACTTTGTGGTCACACTGAGTCAGTGGAAGCCCATATGGTAGAAATAAACACTTGGCTCTTCCAAGCACAGATTTATCAAAAGTTGTACAGAGGCAAATAAGGCAGGCAAGCCGTGATCCCCTGCAGGTACCATTCCATGTGCTACCAATTACTTTGCAACTCTGCAAAATGCATAACAGTAACCAGATATAGGGCACAGAAAATTTTAGGAAATTCTATTAATAAACTCCACTAAAATGGGTCCGTTTACATTTTTTTTTCCCCAGAGGAAGGAAGGATAAGCCTAAGATCATGTATATGTGAGTCACCCATTGCATTGCTCTCTCTGGTTGGCAGTTCTGAACTAAGACCTTCTGGGCTGGCCACCATCAGGCATCAGAAGAACACTCATGGGAGAGTTATATGTATTTACCAGGAGGTTTATTATGTCCGATATGTTGGTGCAGGGTATATAGGACCTCCACATAGTGTATATCAACTCCACGTAGTGTGTATCAAACTCATTGACGCTCCTGTTAGAAGTGGCCTTTAGCAACTACTAACTAAGCCTGACTTTCCTAAGATGCCAACCGTCTATTCCCTGTTGACTTCATGATCATGTGGCTGACATGAGAAAGTTAGGGGGCATTTTATTTCAGTCACTGCTGCTAAATGAGGTGTTACTGAATAGAAAGCAACTAATTTTGTGCAGCCAATTCTCGGGATATACCATGAATTTGAAAGCCAATTTTAGAAAATAATTCTAGTCTTAAGGAAATTCAGTTCTTCAGGCTACAGGTAAGACTGGAAGCCTCTGAGGAAGGCATTTTCATGTGGCTAATTGTACTCTTAGAGTACAAGTTCTGAAAAATGTTACAGATTACTTGTCATTAATGCAGCTGCTGTAACAACATGAACAGCCATTAAGCTTGAGGAAGGTTGATTTCATTTGTTATCCTGCACTGGGGAAATGTCTACCAGCATCACCATCATTAACAAATACTCTGAGGACTTACCAAGGATGAGACATTGGGCTGAGTGTTAAAACTATAAAAAGATTCAGAGTTTTACAGCTTAAAAAAGAGATGTCAGAAGTATATGAATATTTAAAAAGAGCAATCCATGATCAAGTGCCAAATGAGAAGTACTGGGAATCACGGGGGTGTAGAAAGTAAGAAATAGGCTAGCCCTGATGAATGCTAGGCCTAGATAAATAAAATAGCGGGCACCTAGAGGAGCAAGAGTTTGGGTAAAGGCATGGAGGTGGGGATGAGAATGGCATGTCCGAGAAGGCAGTGTGGGATAAAGAAGCAGTGGCAAGATCATAGAGCCAGGGCCAAGTCCTGATTCTGCCTTCTACTGGCCATATTACCTTGGACAGGTTATTCGCCTTTCTATTTTCTCATTCATAAAATGAGGACAGTGCTAACTACACTACAGACTTGTCACCAGGATTAAATAAAATAATTTGTTCACCTTTTTAAAATTATCTATCACCTTCATCAATATTATAATGCTCAGAGTCAATGAAATTATCTCCAAAAAGCTGCTGTCAAAAAGCCCAAAGTGTGTTGGCACTGGGAAATTGGGAGGTGTTTTTTTCTTTGACATTCTCAAATACAGTAGACCACTGGGCAACATAGTAGGACCACATCTCTATGAAAAAAAAAAAAATGCTGGGTGTAGTGGCCTGTGCTTGTAGTTCCAGCTACTTTGGGGGCTGCGGTGGGAGGATGGCTTGAGCCTGAGGGTTGGGGCTTCAGTGAGCCGTGTTTGCATCACTGCACTCCAGCCTGGGCAACAAGGAGGCCCTATCTCAAAAACAAAGAACAAAAAACAACTCCCCACAAGAAGGAAAGGAATGTGCATGGGATAAGGAAATGCAAATACAGAAAACTGAGACAGGAAAGGAGAACAACAAAGAGAGGGAGAAGACAGGAAGATTTATTATGAAGAAAGGTAGTCAAATCAAAGGAAAGACAATCATGGAATAGTGGTAGTAAAAACCCAAGAAGACCAAATGTTTTCCCCTTTGAATACAGCATATAGGATCTGAATATAAATAGTGTCTAGTGTGGGACAGAAGAAGGAATAGAGTACAAAAAGTGTCCATCTCTACAAAAAAGAAATCAGTCAACTATGCGTACTTTTTTTTTCTCATCAATTCTCCAAATATTCTGCTGGGAAAAAGATGGGAGTTATTGGCTCCGAGTTAGTGAAGCCTCTTATATGTGACTCCAGTGACCCTTGAAGTTTGCATCTGTTACAATCAAGCACACCATTTCCTAACACACTGCCTTTGTTTGCTGGACTCATGCAGGGCGGTGGAGTGAGTCACTACATAGCCCACTAGGCACCATGGCTACCAGCCTCCCTCTGCCTGCTGTTTCCTTCCTGGACCGAGACCCTGACATGCAAATCAGCATCGTAGAATCCTCCTTCTGGCATTTCTTGTCTTCTCATTTTCTACTCCTTCCTTACATGATAGCTCCTCATCAATGAGTACTAAGAGTGACTGAAAATACTGCGAATATTTCCTTTGGGTCTTAGAAAGCAGGCTAGAGGGAAAGGGTTTCAGAATAGCTTAATAGCAGTAAAAGCAGTGAATGTTAAACTGCTAGTTATTGTTGGCACTATTCTTGTCTAAGTCGTCTGAATACCAATATATTTACAGTTAGAGTTAGGGCCCCTTTCCCCCAAAACCAATTACTTTGAGTTTTACAGATGAGCTAAGGGTGCCAACTCAGACAGTGACTGCATCAGATTATAACCTAGCATTACTGAGGAACCATTTGCTGCCCCTCCAATGATGCTTAGAAGACCTCAGCAGAACTGGATAAAATGCTTCCTATATGGCACCTCTCTTGGACCACAATGGTATTACCTGGGCACTGCTTACCGCTAGTTCAGTGAACACTCTTGCATCTGCTTCACTCTGCCCAACATTGTGTTGATTCATCTCTGTCTGCTGTCTTCTTCTCCATTCCCCTAAGCGTATACCTTTTATTTCCTTTATTATCATTTAAGTGGGGTTTTATTGCTAGTAGAGATAAACATGTTCAATCAGCTATGTTTACCAGAAGTCTCGCATGGAGGATCAGAAACCCCTACACTCCATCTAACACAAAACTCCAGGTGAATGTGGAAAAATATAATCTAGAGCAAGGGTTGATAAACTACTGTCCATGGGCAAAGTCTGACTCACTGCTTGCTTGTTTAAACAAAGTTTTATTGGAACACAGTCATAGCCATCCATTTATGAATTATCTATAGTTGTTTTCCTACTACAATGGCAGAATTGAGCAGCTTCAACAGAGACCACACAAACTGTCCAAAAATATTTACTACTTGGACTTTTATATGGGAAGTTTGCCAGCCTCTGCTCTAGAACGTAATTTGATTAACAGTGAATAATATTGTAAGACATAATATAAACATTTTTCTGTATTTTAAACTTGTTTGAAAAATGCTAAAATTTTTGGAATTATTACGCTTAGTTTTAGTGTCAAAGGAAATGCCATAGGCATTTTATATATTTATATATGTATATAAATTTATGTATTTATATATAAAGAAATATATTTTACCAAGAAATGGCAAAAGAATATCCTTTTAAATAAAGGTATTAATCTAGATATCAAATATAGCAGTGCGATAAATGTTACTTATAAAGAGAAATCTGGCATTTCTTTACATATTAAATTAAGAAAATGTTAGTTAACATGACTGTTGTTTCCAGTGTTTCAACAAAAATATTTAATTTAAAAGGTTATCCTGATAAAATTTTGTAGCAAAGGCAGCTATAATTGAACATAGCTAGCTTAGATCTTTAAACTGTACTTCTAAACTATTGCACATTTTTCAAACCTAAATTTTCACCATCATGATTAAAAAGTGAAGCATCTTTGAAAAAATAATCTTGCTCCATAAGGTCAAAATATTTTCCAACACAGAAAAAAATTCTGGAAGGAAATACATATCATTTCTAAAAGTGGTAAAATGATAAGATTAAGGATGACTTTCTTTAGTTTTTTTCCTATTTTCCAATATTTTACAGGGAACATTATACTTTTATAATCGGGGAAAAATACCTTCACTAGAATTTTTTTCCACCAGGAAATGGATTAGAATTGAGCTGTGCTGTTATAATAGATTCAATTAGCCTTTCAACTGTCACCAAGTTATTATTGCAGTGGGCTAGCCTTCTGAGGGATAAAATGATCAACTAAGTTTATTTTATACATAAAAAGATTTTAGGTGATAGCCTCAGAGATGTAAAATACTCAGAAAATAAGAATTGTGTCTGAAGATCATTGGATATAGAAAAATTGGCAGTTAATTTTTTTTTCTTCAGTTACCACTCTGGTTTGAAGAATAATATGAAATAGCACCTCCCCAGAATAGTTATTATGTTCTGGGGAGGTCTTTACCAGGTCCATTCCTCAACCAGGGCTTTCCTAGATATGGGTGGGCTGGAGGTGGAAGCAGTGGGGACAAGTTACGTATCATCCTTCCTCCTGATATTTTTCTACAGATAAAAATGAATGTGCAATTAATGTCTATGATAAATAGTTCCTATAATGTGAATGCTGATTCAATTTAGGAGTAAATGTACTAAGAGCTTTTAGAAGAAAGTCATATTTTTTTGGATGCTTCCCTCATTTAATCCTCAAATATGCAACAAATTAGCCATTATTATAGATTCAAAGGTTAAATCTGTAAACCAAGGCCTTGTCTACTGGAGTCCATGTTCCAAACCACCCCTCCTGATGGACTGACTCCTGCACTTCTCTACCTTTATGAATAACTGTAATAAGCTAATTTATTTAAAACATTGAATATTGCTAGCTTAGATCTTTAAATTGTACTTCTAAACTATTCCACATTTTTCAAACCTAAATTTTCCCCATCATGATTAAAAGGTGAAGCATCTTGGAAATCAATTTTCACTAATTCTATGTTTTCTTCAATGTATCAAATGTTTGAAAATACCATGCATGTACTCCCAGCAAATGGTTAACATCTTAACTATTCTGTTTCTTTTTCAATGCTGAGATTCAGATATCATTTATTTGTGGCAGTCTCTGTGGGTTTTCAAACTTTTATATTGCATCATAAGACAATTAACTTTTCCTAATAAGGGCTGTCACCCTAACTATAAGTAAAAAGTCACATGCAATATTAAAGTCCACAGAAAGATTGTGATTCAGTCACAAGCTCAAGACTGCACATTGATGGTATGGACATCTCTATTAAGTCAGGTGCTGGGCAGACTTGTCCCTTGCTCCTCATTTGTTGATTCATTTGTGAATTCACTGAACTGCACTGCACTGTGTTGAGCACTTGCTTTGTGCCTAGTGCTGTGCCAGACACTAGGCATCAAGAAGGTTCAGAGCCTACAGTGATATTGCAAGGATATTGACTCAGAACCTTGGTGCTGACTGCTTCTATTCTCAGTTATTGTGGTTAGGGTTCTCCACTCTAGTTCTGGCCCTGGGACTCCAACCCACCCTCTGCACACTCTGAGTAGGTATCCCATGAGGTATGTGAGATAACTGGGTTATTTAAGCCAGACTCCTAAAAGTGGAGGTTATTGGAAAACCAAACAAGGCATCTCAAATTCAGGCTCCAAGGGCTGTTTCTGTCCCACCTGGACCTGAGACCCCCACGGCCTGAGAATATTGTTCTAGTGCCCTGGGCTTCTGCTTGTCTAGCATTTTAGGGGACAAGGAAATATTCTGCAAAGGTCATTTATCTGTGAAAGCAGTGACTTATGACATGGGAAGGCCTCTGCTGGCTGCAGGGGTTGGCCCTGGCCAGATTTGTTGCTGCATGGATTTCTGTGCCCTGGTCAGCCATCCACCAAAGGTGGCAATCCTGTTCCTCACCCTGTGCTGTTGTTGCCAAGCACTGGGCCCTGCACTGGACAAGTAGGGCAAAGGTAGCTGAGGGCTCCACTGCTCTTATGATATTGACCCATTCACTGGGGACACCTCAACCTCACACTTCCCTTTGTACTCTCCCGTGTCTCTAAATCCTCATCTGTCTGGAGAACATCAGACCCTTGTGTCTGGAGGAAAGTGATAGAGGGTGGGAACACAAAGGAATGCACTGCTAATATAAATTATTTCAGGCTTCTGCTCAAGAAGGTCGGGTGGCGAGGTTGTAGAATTTATATTGAAAAAGAGAAGGGGAATTCTTCTTAGACCCCTTGACTCACTGATTGTGCCTAAACCCCTTCACTGTTTTATGGTTGTGGTATTCCAAGCCAGCCTTACCTAAAGTGAAAGAGTCAAGTGTCCTGCTCACATCTTTCTGCATGAAACTTGCCCACAACCAGCTGATTCCGTGTCAAGATATTTTTATTTATATTTAATTTGTTATTACATCTGAGATGGAAGGAAAGCAGTATGACTAAAACCAGAAAAAGATTCTTTTTCCTTCGAAAGTCAGTAAGGTCGAAATCATATCCAAGATGGCCAAATAGGAACAGCTCCAGTCTACAGCTCCCAGCGTGAGCGACGCAGAAGACGGGTGATTTCTGCATTTCCAACTGAGGTACCAGGTTCATCTCACTGGGGCTTGTCAGACAGTGGATGCAGGACAGTGGGTGCAGCCCACTGAGTGTGAGCCAAAGCAGGGTGAGTCATCACCTCACCCGGGAAGTGCAAGGGGTCAGGGAATTCCCTTTCCTAGGCAAGGGAAGCTGTGACAGACGGCACCTGGAAAATCGGGTCATGCCCACCCTAATACTGCACTTTTCCAACAGTCTTAGCAAACGGCACACCAGGAGATTATATCCCGCACCTGGCTCAGAGGGTCCCATGCCCATGGAGCCTCGCTCATTGCTAGCACAGCAGTCTGAGATCAAACTGCAAGGCAGCAGTGAGGCTGGGGGAATCAATGGCCTGCCATTGATGAGGCTTGAGTAGGTAAACAAAGCGGCCAGGAAGCTCAAACTGGGTGGAGCCCACTGCAGCTCAAGAAGGCCTACCTGCCTCTGTAGACTCCACCTCTGGAGGCAGGGCATAGCTGAACAAAAGGGAGCAGAAACTTCTGCAAACTTAAATGTCCCTGTCTGACAGCTTTGAAGAGAGTAGTGGTTCTCCCAGCACGGAGTTTGAGATCTGAGAATGGTCAGACTGCCTCCTCAAGTGGATCCCTGACCCCTGAGTAGCCTAACTGGAAGGCACCCCCCAGTAGGGGCAGACTGACAGCTCACACGGCCGGGTACCCCTCTGAGACGAAGCTTCCAGAGGAACATTCAGGCAGCAACATTTGCTGTTCAGCAATATTCGTTGTTCTGCAGCCTCTGCTGCTGATACCTAGACAAACAGGGTCTGGGGTGGACCTCCAGCAAACTCCAACAGACCTGCAGCTGAGAGTCCTGACTGTTAGAAGGAAAACTAACAAACAGGAAGGACATCCACACCAAAACCCCGTCTGTACATCACCATCATCAAAGACCAAAGGTAGATAAAACCACAAAGATGGGGAAAAAAACAGAGCAGAAAAGCTGAAAATTCTAAAAATCAGAGAGCCTCTCCCCCTCCAAAGGAACACAGCTCCTCACCAGCAATGGAACAAAGCTGGATGGAGAATGACTTTGACGAGTTGAGAGAAGAAGGCTTCAGATGATCAAACTTCTCCGAGCTAAAGGAGGAAGCTCAAACCCATAGCAAAGAAGCTAAAAACCTTGAAAAAAGATTAGACGAAGGGCCAACTAGAATAACCAGTGTAGAGAAGTCCTTAAATGACTTGATGGAGCTGAAAACCATGGCATGAGAACTATATGACGAATGCACAAGCTTCAGTAGCCGATTCAATCAACTGGAAGAAAGGGTATCAGTGATTGAAGATCAAATCAATGGAACGAAGTGACAAGAGAAGTTTAGAGAAAAAAGGGTAAAAAGAAACAAACAAAGCCTCCAAGAAATATGGGACTATGTGAAACGACCAAATCTATGTCTGATTGGTGTACCTGAAAGTGACGGGGAGAATGGAACCAAGTTGGAAAACACTCTTCAGGATATTATCCAGGAGAACTTCCCCAACCTAACAAGGCAGGCCAACATTCAAATTCAGGAAATACAGAGAACGTGACAAAGATACTCCTCGAGAAGAGCAACTCCAAGACACATAATTGTCAGATTCACCAAAGTTGAAATGAAGGAAAAAATGTTAAGGGCAGCCAGAGAGAAAGGTCGGGTTACCCACAAAGGGAAGCCCATCAGACTAACAGCTGATCTCTCGGCAGAAACTCTACAAGCCAGAAGAGAGTGGGGGCCAATATTCAACATTCTTAAAGAAAAGAATTTTCAACCCAGAATTTCATATCCAGCCAAACTAAACTTCATAAGT